>NC_000010.11:97264307-97567337 GCF_000001405.40 Homo sapiens | reverse complement strand
CCCAGCACTTTGGGAGGCAGTAGGATTGCTTGAGCCCGGCAGTTCTAGACCACCCAGGGCAACATGGTAAAACCCTGTTTCTACAAAAAAATTTTAAAAATTAGCCAGGCATGATGGCACGCTCCTCTAGTTCCAGCTACTTGGGAGGCTGAGATGGGAGAATCACTTGAGCCTGGGAGGTTGAGGCTGCAGTGAGCTGTGGTCATGCCACTGCACTCCATCCTGGGCAACACAGCGAAACCATGTCTCAAAAAAAAAATTATTAACAATTTTAACATCTTGTTACTAATGTCCCACTTAAAAAAAGGATTTTTTAAGCAATCATGACCAACAAACTCCCCCAAAAATTCCTGCAGCATCTGACAAAGAAAACAATTCTGTCAAATGTCATTTTTCTTGTTACCCAGCTCCAAGTGACCTCCAAGACAACTCCAAACCACAGCCAAGACTGAGGGCAGAGGTATCTCTCAAAGGCTTTTGGAGGCTCAGTCATCTCAAAACTAAAGGCAGAGTGAGCCACAGGAGTGAGATGTGAAGCACTCTGCTTCCACTATAACTCAGGTCCTACAGTGAGTGGAAGAACTGAGGCTGGGGGCCACCACCAGGCTGCTCCCACTGGCTGGGGCAAAAGGAAGCAAGGAAGAGAATTGCAGGCAGCGATCTCCGCTGAGAAAGAACCCCAGGCAAGCCTTTATTTATATACATGATCCCATTTCATTCTTGCAGTAGCCTTAGGCAGTAGGTATTATTATTGCTATTTCACAGGTGATATGACAGATTTAGAGAGATTAAATGACTTGCCCCAGGTCACATAGTAAGTGAGTGAGGGTTCCACCTCAGGTCTGACTAAATCCTGTAGTTCACCATCTGAATTCACAGTTACCTGTAGGGGCAGAAAACTCTAAAGCCAAATATTTAATTTAAAGTGTTCCTGGGGTGGTGAGGTGGCAGAAGGAAAGGCAAACCCTCTTTGGAGGAAAACAACTTCAAACCAGGCCTCAAAGAATTCCCAAGATAAAGTTCCAAGAAAAATAAATAAGGTAATAGTTTTAAAAAAAAAAAAAAAAATCTCAATATGCAAGGAAACAAGGCAGTACGAGCTTTACTGGCAAAAACAGCAGACAAAAGAATCAGATTTGCAAAGACTTTGGATAGATTATGAAATACTGAGTTAAGGGATGAGGGCCTTAAAAATATGAATAAGAGATTATAAAGAATGACCAAGGAGATTTTTTAAAAATGTTTAATTTTTGTGGGTACATAGTAGGTATAACCAAGAAGATCTTAAAAGAACCATATAGAACTTCTAAAAATTAAAAATACAGGCCAGGCCTAGTGGCTCACACCTGTAGTCCCAGCACTTTGGGAGGTCAAGGCAGATGGATCACTTGAGCCCAGGAATTCGAGATCAGCCTGGGCAATATGGCAAAAACCTGTCTCTACAAAAAATACAAAAAATTAGTCGGGCATGGTGGCATGCAGCTGTAGTCCCAGTTATTTAGGAGGCTGAGGTGGGAGGATCACCTGAGCCCAGAAAGGTTGAGGCTGCAGTGAGCCATGATCATGCCACTGCACTCCAAATCCAGCCTGGGTGACAAAGTGAGACCCTGTCTCAAAAAAATAAAAAGAAAATAAAAATAAAGAAAAATACAATATAATTGAGATTCGGATGTCTTTTTTCTGTTTGAGAGACAAGGTCACTCTGTCGCCCAGTCTGGAGTGCGGTGGTGTGATCATAGCTCACTGCAGCCTCAAACTCCTGGGCTCAAGGTATTCTCCCCCAGCAGCCTCCCAAGCAGCTGGGACTATATAGGTGACACTATGCCCTGCTAGGTCTAAAATTTTGAACTGAATTTCCAGAAGTATACAATAGGGAAAATGGGAAGGAAGCAACATTCAAAGAAATCATGGAGATGTCCACTCCCCCTAAACTGATCTATAAATGTAATACAATTCCAATATAATTCCTGTCAGTTTTTTCCCAAGGAACCTGGCAAACTGATTCTAAATTTTATATAGAAGAACAAAGATGTTCCTAGAAAAGAATCAGGTGGGAGAAGTTGTGCTGCCATGATCAGCATTAATTATAAAGCTACAGTTGGCACAGTACTGGAACAGGGACAGACTGTTGGACAAAAAAAGCCAAACCCCGTAAAATATTTGAAGAGATTTATTCTGAGCCAAATGTGAGGGCCATGACTTGTGATGCAGTCTCAAGAGGTTCTGAGAACATGTGCCCAAGGTAGTTGGATTACAGCTTGGTTTTATATGTTTTAGGGAGATTTAAGACATCAATCATTACATGTGAGATATACATTGGTTTGTGTGGAAAGGAGCGACAACTTGAAGGGGCGGGGACTTAAAGGTCATAGGTGGATTTAAAGATGTTCTGGTTGGCAATTGGTTGAAAGAGTTATTATCTTAAGTCCTCGAATCAACAGAAAGGAATGTCTGGGTTAAGATAAGGAGTTGTGGGCTGGGGGTGGTGGCTCATGCCTGTAATCCCAACACTTTGGGAGGCCAAGGTGGGCAGATCACCTGAGGTCAGGAGTTCGAGACCAGCTGGGCCAACACTGTGAAATCCCATCTCTACTAAAAATACAAAAATTAGCTGGGCGTGGCAGCAGGCACCTGTAATCCCAGCTACTCAGGAGGCTGAGGCAGGAGAATCACTTGAACTTGGGAGGCTGAGGTTGCAGTGAGCTGAGATCGTGCCACTGCACTCCAGCCTGGGTAACAAAGAGTGAAACTCCATTTCAAAAAAAAAATAATAATAAGGAGTTGTGGAGACCAAGGTTCTTATTATGTAGATGAAATTTCACAGGTGGCTGCCCTTAGAGGCAATAGATGGCAAATGTTTCCTATTCAGACCTTTAACAGGTGCTAGATTTTTAGCTAATCTCTTCAGGATCAGAAAAAGACCTGGAAAGGGAACGGGATTCTGTAAAGAAAATGTAAACTTCCCCCATAAGAGACAGTTTTGCAGGGCCATTTCGAAATATGTCACAGTCCATTTGAAGGTACAGTCCATTTGAACTTTTATATGGACGCACTTTCTTGCTCGGCCCCAACCTTGTCCCAGACACCAGCCCTCTAGGCGACTATCTTCCAGTCCTCCAGCAGGCTAGACAGGAAACTCGCCAGGCTGCTAATCTTCTCTTGCCTACTTCAGATTCCCAGCCATATGAAGACACCCTAGCTGGACGATCAGTTCTTGTTAAGAATCTGACCCCTCAAACTCTACAACCTCGATGGACCGGACCCTACTTAGTCATCTATAGTACCCCAACTGCCATCCGCCTGCAGGACCCTCCCCATTGGGTTCACCGTTCCAGAATAAAGCTGTGTCCGTCGGACAGCCAGCCTGATCTCTCCTCTTCCTCCTGGAAGTCACAAGTACTCACCCTACTTCCCTTAAACTCACCTGCATTCCTAAAGGATAACAGTAATCCTTATAAGCCTAATACATCCTTTCATTTTTATTAGGTCTATTCTTCCTTACCCTATCTTTACAACAGGCTTTATTCAGTCACCCCCCACCCACTCGGACTGCACCCCGAAAACTTGTCATCCCTCCTATCTTCTGTCTAGTCATACCCCATTCACCATTTTTAACTACTCATAAATGCCCTGCCAGTTTACACTTTTCCTCCAAACTATCATAGCAGATATCTCCTAGTACTACCCCTAATCCGCCACTCTTGACTCCCTCTTGGAGTGGATAGATGATCTTTGCTGACGGGGTACCCTCCAATACTTTCACTCTGATGAAGTCCCTTTTTTCACTTTTCTACTCACTCTTATACTTGCCCCCATTCTCCAGTCACTCTCTACCTCTCCCTACCTATCTCCACCACACTATCAATCTACTCACTCTCTCCTAGCCATTTCTAATCCTTCTTTAACAAACAATTACTGGCTTTGCATTTCTCTTTCCTCCAAAACTGACGAGGCCTCGATTTACTCATTGCTGAAAAAGGAGAACTCTGTATATTTTTAAATGAAGAGTGTTTTTACCCAAATCAATCTGGCTTGGTATATGACAACATAAAAAACTCAAGGATAGAGCCCAAAAACTCGCCAACCAAGCAAATAATTACGCTGAACCCCCTTGGACACTCTCTAATTGGATGTCCTGGGTTCTCCCAATACTTAGTCCTTTAATACCTGTTTTTCTCCTTCTTTTATTTGGACCTTGTGTCTTCCGTTTAGTTTCTCAATTCATACAAAACCACATCCAGGCCATCACTAATCATTCTATACGACAAATGCTCCTTCTAACAACCCCACAATATTACCCTTTACCCCCAAATCTTTCTTCAGTTTAATCTCTCCCACTATAGGTTCCCACGCCGCCCCTAATCCCGCCCGAAGCAGCCATGAGAAACATCGCCCATTATCTCTCCATACCACCCCCCAAAATTTTCGCTGCCCCAACATTTCACCACCATTTTGTTTTGTTTTTCTTATTAATATAAGAAGACAGGAATGTCAGGCCTCTGAGCCCAAGCTAAGCCATCATATGTCCTGTGACCTACATATATACATCCAGATGGCCTGAAGGAACTGAAGATCTACAAAAGAAGTGAAAATAGCCCAGTTCCTGCCTTAACTGATGACATTCCACCATTGTGATTTGTTCCTGCCCCTAACTGATCAATTGACTTTGTGACAATACAGCCTCCCCGCCCTTGCAATAATGTACTTTGTGATATTCCCCCGCCCTTGTGAATTACTTTGTACGATACACCCTCCCCACCCTTGAGAAGGTATTTTGTAATATCCTCCCCTGCCCTTAAGAAGGTACTTTGTAATATTCTCCCCTCCCTTGAGAATGTACTTTGTAAGATCCACCCCCTGCCCACAAAAAATTGCTCCTAACTCCACCACCTATCCCAAACCTACAAGAACTAACGATAATGCCACCACCCTTTGCTGACTCTCTTTTCAGACCCAGGCCGCCTGCACCCAGGTGATTAAAAAGCTTTATTGCTCACACAAAGCCTGTTTGGTGGTCTCTTCACATGGATGCGCGTGACACCGAGTAGCTGGGATTACAGATGTGTAACACCACACCTCGCTAATTTTTGTATCTGTAGTAGAAACGGGGTTTCACCATGTTGCCAGGTTGGTCTCGAACTCATGACCTCAGGTGATCCACCCGCCTCAGCCTCCCAAAGTGCTAGGATTACAGACGTGAGCCACCACGCCTGGACCGTTTTAATGTTAATGCTGGTCAGCTGTGCCTGAAGACACAGTCCGAAGGGAGGAGAGTATAATGAGGCCTGACTCCCCCTCCCATCATGGCCTGAACTCGTTTTTCAGATTTCTTTGGAATCCCCTTGGCTGAGAAGAGGGGTCCGTTCAACTGGTTGGAGGACTTAGAATTTTATTTTTGGTATACAAGACAAATGAGAACAGAGAGTCCAGAAAGAGATCCAGGTGTGTACAGGAACTTGCTCGTGGTGAGAAGGAACATTCCTCTTGCAGGTGGGAGGGGAAGATGACTATGTGTGACAAATGATGCTCGTGAGGGAAGAGAGAGACCCTCTCATATTGTTTTATATGGTTTTATACTCAGTACCCATTTTAAGAAAAAACAACAAGGAAGTAAAACCAAAGACAGGCAGCCCGGCGCCAGGCCCAAAACCAGACCTGGGCCTGCCTGGCCTAAAACCAGTAGTTAAAAATCAACTCATAACTTAGAAACTGATGTTATTCATAGATTCCAGACATTGTATAGAAGAACATCGTGAAACTCTCTGCCCTGTTCTCTTTCTCTCTGACCACCGGTGCATGCATCCCCTGTCACATACCGCCTGCTTGCTCAAATCAATCACGACCCTTTCATGTGAAATCTTTAGTGTTGTGAGCCCTTAAAAGGGACAGAAATTGTGCATTCAGGGAGCTCGGATTTTAAGGCAGTAGCTTGCAGATGCTCCCAGCTGAATAAAGCCCTTCCTTCTACAACTCGGTGTCTGAGAGGTTTTGTCTGTGGCTCATCCTGCTACATTTCTTGGTTCCCTGACCAGGAAACGAGGTAACTCACGGACGGCTGAGGCAGCCCCTCAGACGGCTTAGACCTGCCCTGTGGAGCATCCCTGTGGGGAACTCCGGCCAGCCTGAGTGATGCAATCCAAAGAGCGCTCCCGGGTAGGAAATTGACCCGGTGGAACGCCTCACCAGAGCAGCACGTAGCAGGCCCCCACGGAGGATTAACACAGTGGCTGAACACCAGGAAGGAACCGGTACTTGGAGTCCGGACATCTGAAACTTGGTAAGACTAGTCTTTGGAACTTGCCCCACTCCATCTGAGTGGAAGTGTGGCCTGATCACCCACGACGTGCCTGCATTGGTACTTTTGTTCTGGTTTTGACTTGACTTAGATTGTGTGATACTTTGGTTTTGGTTTTGACCTGGCTTGGATTTCTGGATACTCTGATTTTGGTTTGGTGTAAACTGCAAAAGTGTGTGTGTGCCCTTTTTACCTGTTTTTTGTTTTGTGGGGTGTGTGTGGTGTAAGCGTGGTGTTTTGTCTCAAAGAAGCATGGGCCAGGCACAAATAAGCCCACCCTACTAGGAACTATGTTAAAAAAAAAATTTCAAGGAAGAATTTAAGGGAGATTACAGTGCTACTGTGACACCAGGAAAACTTAGAACTTTGTGTGAAATAGACTGGCCAGCATTAGAGGTGGGTTGGCGATCAGAAGGAAGCCTGGACAGGTCCCTTGTTTCAAAGGTATGACACAAGGTAACCTGTAAGCCAAGGCACCCAGACCAGTTTCCATACATAGTTACAGCTGGTTTTAGACCCCCTTCCCCTCCACAGTAGTTAAAATAACAGCAGCATAAGCAGCTGGCAGAGGCAAGTAAAGACCAGCAGAGAGAAAAAAAGGCCATCTATACCAATTCTAAGTTAATTTAGACTAAACAAGGTCTTATTAATAGCAAAGGATGATTGAAATCCCAAACTTACAAGGTTTTCAACAAAACTGAAGTTTGCTAAAAGTTAACAGTGTAACATGTATTATGGTAACTTCTAATCTTGTGGCCTTAGACAGTCTAGTCCAAAGACATAAAGAAAGTTTGCTTTAAAAAAAGGAATGGTTATCTTCAAAAAAAGGGTGAGGCAGAATTTATGTAAAGAGTGTTATATGGTAAATTCTTGTCCTGAAATAAATTAAGTGGTTGTTTAAAGAAAAAAAAAATGTTTGTAACAAGTCAAAAAGTTGAAACATGTTAAAGAATTGCTGGTGAAAGTCATGAAAGAAAAAATGTTATAAAAAATTTATGCAAAAAATGTTGTATAATTTAAAAGTAATAAGGCCTCCTGAAGACTATTAAAAAAAACAGTTTATGTGCAAGGTGTATGAGAAAAGTAAAATATACTTTTGGTAAAAAGATTATAAAGGGGCATAAAAATGTGGATTTTTATCTACATTAAAAGATTAAAAAAATTAATGTTTTAAAAGTTTAAGCAAGTTTTAAAACGTTAATTATAAAGAAAATTCTGTGTGTAAACATATTAGCTAAAGTTAAAAAGGTATCATCCAGTTTTTCGGTGAACTGGACATTAAAGTAAAAATGCAACAGGTTTTTCTTTAAGCATCAACCTGCTCTTTTACAAAAATTATAAAAGGTTAAAAAGAGTCTATAAAATCTTACCTTATGGTCAAACATGAAAAATTGGATAAATATGTCTACAAGGTTTTATTAAAATTAAGTTTAATATTAATAACACACTAATATAAAGGTAAAATTTAGCTTCTCTGGTATAAAAATCATACAAGAAATATTATTAAATATAAAATGGTGTTGAGTTTTCTTTGGTCTAAAAACTAGTAAAAATTGGTGCTAAAGGAAACATTCATTTTACTAGAGGATCATAAAAGTTAGACTTAAAACAAACTTTGGCAATTAAGACAGCACACCAAGATGCAAATGCCTGGTTGAAATGGATCAAATATTCCATCTGCACTTTAAACAAATGCAATTGTTATGCTTGTGCACATGGCAGGCCAGAGGCCCTGATTGTCCCCCTTCCACTAAGGTGGTCCTCCAGTCGACCAGGCGTGGGCTGCATGGTAGCTCTTTTCCAGAATTCTACAGCCTGGAGTAATAAGTCATGCCAAGCTCTCTCTGCTATATCCCGAAGTCCCTGTGGGTCAGCCCCCGAGGGCCATCCAGCTTCCGTCTCCCAACACTAAGTTCACTTCGTGTCTCTCATGGCAGGGAGGAGACTTAGCATTCCGTGGAGACCTGAAGGGATGCAGCAAGCTTAAGAATTTTCAAGAGCTTATCAATCAGTCAGCCCTTGTTCATCCCCGAGCGGATGCGTGGTGGTATTGTGGTGGACCTTTACTGGGCACTCTGCTGAATAACTAGAGTGGCACTTGTGCTTTAGTCCATTTGGCTATCCCTTTCACCCTGGCATTTCATCAACCAGAGGAAGAAAAAAAATAATAAGACATCGTAAAACGAGAGAAGCCCCTTATAGGTCTTTCAACTCTCACATCTATTTAGATGCAATCGAAGCCCCGCAAGGAATACCAGATCAATTTAAAGCTTAAAATCAAATAGTTAAAAGATTTAAGTCAGTATTTTGGTAAATGACAGTCAATAAAAATGTAAATTAGATAAACTACATCTATTACACCCAACAGCAAGAGCTTTTCATGAGTTAAAAAAAAAAAAAAATTCATGTCGGCCCCAGCCCTGAGGCTACCTGACTTGACAAAACTCTTTACACTCTATGTGTCAGAAAGAGAAAAAATGGCAGTTGGAGTTTTAACCCAGACTGTAGGGTCCTGGCCAAGGGCAGTGGTCTATCTCTCAAAACAACTAGATGGGGTTTCCAAAGGCTGCCCCCACGTCCAAAGGCCCTGGTAGCAACGGCCCTGTTAGCACAAGAAGCAGATAAGCTAACTCTTAAGCAAAACCTAAAGTATGCCCAGGCTGTGGTGACTTTAATAAATACCAAAGGACATCATTAGCTAACGAATGCTAGACTAACTAGATACCAAAGCTTGCTCTGTGAAGATCCCCGCATAACCATTGAAGTTTGCAACACCCTAACCCCGCCACCTTACTCCTGGTATCAGAGAGCCCAGTTAAACATAACTGTGTAGAAGTATTGGATTCAGTTTATTCTAGTAGGCCCAACCACCAAGACCACCCTTAAACATCAGTAGACTGGGAGCTGTACGTGGATGGGAGCAGCTTCGCCAACCCCTGCAAAGTGACTCTGAAGAAGACGACAAGCCCTGCTCCAGTCACACCCAGAAGCTGACTGGTCCACGCACGGCCGAAGCATGAGGAAACTCATCACAGGACTCATTTTCCTTAAAATTTAGACTTGTACAGTAAGGACTTCAACTGACCTTTCTCAGACTGAGAACTGTTTCCAGTATATATATCAAGTCACTGAGGTAAGACAAAAGATTGCCACAGTCCTATTATTTTATGATTATTATAAGTGTACCAGGACTCTAAAAGAAACTTGTTTGTATAATGCTATTCTATCCAAGGTATGTAGCCCAGGAAATAACCAACCTGATGTGTGTTATGACCCATTTTAAGCCTCCCATGATCACAGTTTTTAAAATAAAATTAAGGACTGGTCCTTTTCTAGGTGACACAAGTAAGGTAACAGCTAGAACAGAAGAAAGAGGGGTCCCAAAAATGTAACCTTAAAATTTGATGCTTGTGCCACTATTGATAGTAAGCAGCATAGAATAGGATGCGGTTCTCTAAATTGGAAAAAAAAGTTACACAGTAAAAAAAAATAAGTATATCTGTCAAGAATCATATTTATGTGAGATGTGTCAGTACTGGTCTTGTGTCATTTGGGCTACTTGAAAAGAAGATAAAAAAGATCCTGTTTAGCTCCAAAAAGGAAAAGTCAGCCCCTCCTGCACGAGTGGGAGCTGCAACCTTTTAGAATTGATAATCACAAACCCCTCAGACCCAAAGTGGAATTAAAAAAAAAACATGCAACATTAGGCATTGATGGAAAAGGACTAGATCCTAGTGTAAGCATCCTAATAAAAAGAGAGGTTCAAAAACGCTCTCCAGAAACAGTATTTCAGACTTTCTATGATGAACTAAATGTGCCAGTACTTGAGATTCCAGGAAAAACTAAAAATTTATTTTTGCAATTAGCCAAACATGTAGCCCAGTCTCTACAAGTCACCTCATGTTATATTTGTGTTGGAACCGTAACAGGAGATCAATGGCCATGGGAAGTCCGACACTTAGTTCCTACAGACCCAGTTCCTGATGAATTCTTAGCCCCAAAGAACCACCCTGACAATTTTTGGGTTCTAAAAGTCTCAATTATTGGACAGTATTGCATAGCTAGAGAAGGAAAAGGATTCACTCATCCTGTAGGGCGGCTTAGTTGTCTTGGGCAAAAGCTGTAAAATGGTACCACAAAAACAGTTACATGGTGGAGTTCCAATTACACAGAAAGAAATCCATTCAGTAAATTTCCAAAGTTGCAGACTGTTTGGGCCCACCCAGAATTCCACTGGGACTGGACGGCCCCCGCCAGGTTATACTGGATATGTGGACACAGAGCTTATGCTAAGCTGCCTGATCAGTGGACAGGTAGCTGTGTAATTGGCACCATTAAGTCATCTTTCTTCTTACTGCCCATAAAAACAGGTAAACTTCTGGGCTTCCCAGTCTATGCTTCCCGCGAAAAACGAAGCATAGCCATAGGTGATTGGAAAGATGATAAATGGCCCCCTGAAAAAATCATATAATACTATGGACCAGCCACTTTGGCACAAGATGGCTCATGGGGATATTGAACCCCCATCTACATGCTCAACCGAATCACACAGTTACAAGCTGTTTTAGAAATTATTACTAATAAAACCGGTCAAGACTTGACTGTTCTTGCCTGGCAAGAGACTCTGATGAGAAATGCTATCTATCAAAATAGACTAGCTCTTGAGTACTTGCTAGCAGCTGAAGAAGGTGTTTGTGAAAAATTTAACCTTACTAATTGTTGTCTACACATAGATGATCACAGGCAAGTAGTTGAGGATATAGTTAAAGATATAACAAAACTGGCACATGCCCCCATGCAAGTGTGGCATGGACTCAATCTGGGAGCCATGTTTGGAAATTGGTTCCCAGCAATAGAAGAATTTAAAACTCTTATAATAAGAGTAATAATAGTAATAGGAACCTGCTTACTGCTCCCTTGTCTGATACCTGTATTTCTCCAAATGATAAAAAACTTCGTCACTACCTTAGTTCACCAAAATGCTTCAGCACAAGCATACTATATAAATCACTATCAATCTATTGCACAAAAAGACATAAGTAGCAAAAATAAGAGTGAGAACTCCCACTAATAAAAAGTGAGAGTCTCAAAGGGGGGAAATGAGGGAAGAGAGAGACCCTCTCATATTGTTTTATATGGTTTTATACTCAGTACCCATTTTAAGAAAAAACAACAAGGAAGTAAAACCAAAGACAGGCAGCCCAGCGCCAGGCCCGAAACCACGCCTGGCCTGCCTGGCCTAAACCCAGCAGTTAAAACTCAACTCATAACTTAGAAACCGATGTCATTCATAGATTCCAGACATTGTATAGAAGAACACTGCGAAACTCCCTGCCCTGTTCTGTTTCTCTCTGACCACCGGTGCATGCAGCCCGTCACGTACCACCTGCTTGCTCAAATCAATCACAACCCTTTCATGTGAAATCTTTAGTGTTGTGAGCCCTTAAAAGGGATAGAAATTGTGCATTTGGGGAGCTCGGATTTTAAGGCAGTAGCTTGCCGATGCTCCCAGCTGAATAAAGCCCTTCCTTCTACAACTCGGTGTCTGAGAGGTTTTGTCTGTGGCTCGTCCTGCTACACTGGGACTATGATGGAAACATGAACTCCAATCCCCACCTCACGTGAGCCACAAAAATCAAAACCAGGTTAATCAAAGGCTTAAATATGAGGGACAGAAAGGAGACACTGAAGAAACTGAAGGTTACAATTTCATCTAGATATTTTTTATGAAGTTTAGCCTGGAGGTGTTTATGCCTTGACCAAGGAAGTTGCTCCATTTCATGATTTCTGGACTCCTTTTCTCTTTCATTATTTAGCAGGGATGACCCCCTAATGAGAGCTTTGATCCACCAGGAGTCACAATCATTATACAGTGACTCCCTCAGGGATCCTTGGGTATGGGACTTCTGCCTCTTCCCTAAACAGCTGTTTAGCTTCAATGGCATTTTAAATTCTTGAGCTGATTCTACAGTTTCCCTGCCTCCTTCCTCTTTGCCAGATTGCACTTCTTACTGGTCTCGTCTGTCTGCTGCTCCTAACATGGGGAGAGGGCAGGCCCAGCTCATGGACCACTCCTAATCTACCAAGGGTTGAGAAAGGGCACGACCAAGCTGTCAGCACTGTCTACAAAAGAGGCTTCCCACAGAAGAAAGAGACCAGGCTTTGTGACATTTAAAAATGTTCACTGTTTGGCCAGCATGGTGGCTGACACCTATAATCCCAGCACTTTGGGAAGCTGAGGTGGAAGGATCACTTAAGGCCAGGAGGTCACGATCAGCCTGGGCAACAAAGCAAGACCACTCGTCTCTACAAAAAATAAAAAAAATTAGCCAGGTGTGGTGGCATGCACCTGTAGTCCCAGCTACTCGGGAGGCTGAGATGGGAGGGTCACTTGAGCCCAGGAGGTCAAGGCTGCAGTGAACTATGACTGCACCACTGCACCCCAGCCTGGGTGACACAGTGAGACCCTGTCTCATAAATAAATAAATAAATAAATGGTCAGGCACAGTGGCTCACGCAGGTAATCCCAGAACTTTGGGAGGCCGAGGCAGGTGGATCGCTTGAGTCCAGGAGTTCGAGACCAGCCTGGTCAACATGGAAAAACACCATATCTACTAAAAATACAAAAATTATCTGGGAGTGGTGGTGGGCACCTGTAATCCCAGCTATTATGGAGGTGAGGCAGGAGAATCACTTGAACCCCAGAGACGGAGGTAGCAGTGAGCTGAGATCATGTCACTGTACTCCAGCCTGGGTGACAAGAGTGAGACTCCATCTCAGAAAAAAAAAAAAAAACGAAAACAAACAAAAAAATAAAATGTTCACTTTTGGGCTCTATGCCCAACAAGTGAGGTTGCTGGACTGTGACTACAAGGACACCTGAGCTGTAACTGTGTCCATGCATCTCATTTTCTCTTGAGAAGACTAAAGAACTGACCTTTAAAATAAACACAGCTCCATGGTGGCCCCTTTCAAAGTCATCACCTCAGGAGGCCACACACGTGCCTGAAGGATGCTGCCTTGGCTTGCAAACCTCTCAAGCTCCCCCAGAGTAGCCTTCAGGGTCCCCTCCCCGCTACACAACAGCAGCCAGCTTTGCTAGCAGTCACTTCTATGCTTCTCTCCCACTGACAGTTACTGTGAGTGAGCCTCTGCAAGTATTAACAGCGCCTAATTAATGCAGTGACCCAGGATACAGCGGTGACAAACTCCTCACCCTCCAGGTAGGGCCTCTGTGGCTGAAAATCTTACAATGGGCTGGTGAGGGGGAGGGGGCAGGCAGGGTTAATGTAAGCTGAGCCCAGGAGTCCAACCGTTGCCTTCTCAGTCATCACTGCACCTCAGAGCCAGCAGAGGGCAGCCGCAGCACCTCTGGGCTGGTGTTGGCTCTCTTCATCAGTGGGTCAAACGCTGTACAAAAACAACTCACCAAGTTCTCCAGGCCCAGAGGTAAGTGTGTATAGGAGACATGCCCAAACATTTGCAGCCCTATACACGGGTGCTTACAATCTTAGCCACTGATACAGACAAACACAGAAAAGGAAGTTTTTCATCTAAGCATATAGACAAGTCGATGATGAACATATTAATTTCATTTACTTAAAAAGATATTGGCTGGCCGCGGTGGCTCACGCCTGTAATCCCAGCACTTTTGGAGGCTGAGGCAGGTGGATCACCTGAGGTCAGGAGTTCGAGAAAGCCTGACCAACATGGTGAAACCTCATCTCTACTAAAAATACAAAAATTAGCCGGGCATGGTGGCACATGCCTGTAATCCCAGCTACTCAGGAGGCTGAGGCAGGAGAACTGCCTGAACCCGGGAGATGGAGGTTGCAGTGAGCTGAGATCATGCCATTGCACTCCAGCCTGGGCAACAAGAGTGAAACTCCATCTCAGAAAAATGGAAAACAAAAACAAAAAGATACTGTATGGAGTCAAAAAAGTTGGGCAGTGGAAAGTGTGAACATTCATATGCTGCACAAATTGGTGCACGCCTCTGCGAGGTACTGAGAAACTTAAAAATGTCCATCTCTTTGGCTCACCTATTTGGTTCTAATAATTTATTCGAAGAAAATAATCACAAGTGTGTGGTGAAGACTTATCTACAAAGCTGTTTAACTCAGCACCTTTTTAACAGGTTAAAGCTAGGAACAACCTAATGCACATGGCCAGGAGAAAGGCTACATAAAATATGGGCATCCACTCGAGGCATCAGCGGCAGCCACTCTGTGATGGTGAGGTAGGATGCTAACACGGGAAAACGTCCACCATACAGTGAAAAAAGGTCTCAAACAGCAAGCGCACAGTGCTCCAGCTTTTGATTCAAAAAAAGTATGTATTGGCCAGGTGTGGTGGTTCACCCCTGTAATCCCAGAACTTTGGGAGGCTGAGGCAGGCAGATCACTTGAGGTGAGGAGTTCAAGACCAGCTGGGACAACATGGTAAAAACCCATCTCTACAAAAATACAAAGATACAAAAATTAGCCAGGCTTGGTGGTGCGCGCCTGCAGTCCCAACTACTTGGGAGCTTGAGGCAGGAGAATTGCTTGAACTGAGGAGGCGGAGGTTGCAGTGAGCCAAGATTGCACCACTGCACTCCAGCCTGGGTCACAGAACGAGACTGTGTTTCAAAAAAAAAAAAAAAAAAAAGGGTGTATAATTATTATTTTTTGTTTGTTTTTAGACGGGGTCTGGCTCTATCACTCAGGCCATGTGATCATAGCTCACTGCAGCCTCAACCTCCTGGGCTCAAGCGATGCTCCCACCTCCGCCTCCTGAGGAGCTGTGATTATAGGCATGTACCACCATGACTGGATAATTTAAAAAAAATTTTTTTTTTTTTTAGAGATGGGGTCTCGCCATGTTGCCCAGGCTGGTCTCAAACTCCTCCTGTCTTCAAGTGATCCTCCTTCTTCTGCCTCCCAAAGTGCTCAGCTGTATAATTATATATATTAAAAAGACAGGAGGGCTGAGCACAGTGGCTCGCACCTATAACCCCCGCACTTTGGGAGACTGAGGCGGGAGGATAACTTGAGCCCAGAAGGTCAAGGCTGCAGTGATGAGCTATGATTACGCCACTATACTCCAGACTGGGCGACAGAGTAAGACCTGGTCTTTAAAAGAGAAAAAAGGCTGGAAGAATTTATATCAAAATGTAAACAGTGGTTATATTTCATTGGCAGTTACCGATGATTTCTTCTTGGTTTATATTTTCCAAGTTTTCTACAATAAGAATGTATTACTTTAATAATAAGAATAATACCATAAAAGTTGTTAATAAGGAAAGAGGATACTTGGAGTTCTGGGGTGCAGCCATGGAAAAGTGGGAAGAGTTTGGGGAGCCGACGGTGGTGCTGACTTGCTAAGCCCATACCCTGTAGGATATCAGTTACTGACAGCTCCTGGAGGCTTTGTCCAGGGCCAGGCAGGCTCTGCTGGTTTCAGCAGCAGGAGCATTTAGTAGCTTCTACTTACATCTCCTGTCCTAGATAAGCTTCAGGTCAAAGACAGAGTAACAGAAATGGTTCCTGTCCTTAATGAAGCTGACAAAGGCATACAACCTGCACGGGGAGGCAGCAGAGCAACACACCCACAAAAAGCATGCGTTTCCGCAATTGTGCTGGGCAGAGGACACCAAAAGACATTTTTTGTTTAAACTTTTTTTTTTTTTTTAATAGAGAGGTCTCCCTATGTTGCCCAGGCTGGTCTCGAACTCCTGGGCTCAAGGGATCCTCCTGTCTCGGCCTCCCGAAGTGCTAGGATTACAGGTGTGAGCCACCATGCCTGGCCAACATTTGTGATTGAGCAGAGAATGTATATGTCTGTGTATAGAGGCAAAGGCTAGGGTCCCAAAGAGTTGTCGAAACCTCCCGTATTAGGATCTCCTGGGGTGCTGGTTCAAAAGACAGATTCTCAGGGCCTACCTCACACCCATGGAACCAGTTACAGGGGCTGGGCTGGGGTATGTACTTGATCTGACTTAAGAACCTATTTGTAAACACAGCAAAACAGGAGTGGAAATGGCATGCCCAGCCACATCTTAACAAACAGTTCAACACATGGTCTCCAGAGGTGCTGCTGAGAGCTGATTTGGGAGGGAAGAGAGCAAGAGGGCACTACGTCTGGGCTGGAGGAGGATAATGATGGTGGATGCTGTGGTTTGGCCTCAATAATGAATGGTGTCTGGTGATATCACCCCAAGGGAGGGCACCGAAAGGAGAGTGGGAGACAGAGCATTTAAGGTCCTCTCCAAGTTGCCCAGAGCTGGTGTGCATCTATGAGTGTGAGTGTGTATGCGTGTGTGTGTGTTTACTCCCACCACTCAATTCACACTGCTGAACTCAGGATGGCTACACAGAAGAGGAGATTCCAAAAACACAAGGAAGGATGGCAGACCCTAGCTGAATAGATCCCACTGCCTCACACAGTGCCTGGCCCAGCGCGGTTCTCAGCAAGTACCTGCTGAATTGAGAAAGGAACTGACCGAGGCGCCGTGAGCAGGTGGGGAGGGGTGGAGGAGTTACAGCTCCTGCAGCAGCAGGGAGGCAGGCGGAGGCAGGGGAGAGGTCTGCAGCGGGCTGGCCCCTCCTTCAATTCTTGATCTCAGACCCCAGGAGATGGTTCTTGTGACTTCAGGGACTGGAATAAGTGAGCCACTGGGATGTGACACCAAATCTGAGACCAGCCAAAGGGAGCAGAGATTTCCCCAGTCAGGCCACCCAAGCCAGGAAACAGCCCTATTTATACCTGCGGCAATCCCCAAGCTGTTCCACACTCGGTTACCAAGTTCTGTCCCCAGGCCCTTACTCCAGGGATGGGGCCAACAGTGTCCTTCCCAGATGCACCGATTATGTGACAAGTCTGGGCTTGCTCTGGCTGGTGTGAGAGACACGGCTCTCACACCAGACGGGAGAAGGCAGGAACAAGAGCCTCCTTGTCCCAACAGCTGGCCGGCAAGGGCCCTCTGGCCAGGATACAGACTCGAATCTCTTGTTTCTCTCCTCCCACCCCAGCAGTCACAGCTGAAACACAGGTAGTCTGAAGTGTCCCACCTGGCAGCGGGAACAAGGGGTCAGGAAGAACACAGGGCCCAGAAGAAGGATCAGCCCAGGCGGGGAGGGGGGAGCCAGGGGGTGTGGTGCCCAGGTAATCCCTTCAGGAAGCGCGATATTTATAGTTAGACTTAGCAGAGATGACCCTCAGAGCCTAGGTAACTTTTGAAGGGAAAGTGCTGGCCCAGCTCTGGTCAGCTGGGGCCTCCCATGCTCTGGGATTTGGTGGCCTCTTTACAGGCCTGTGGGCCTTTCCTCCTCTCGGGCCCCAGCTCAGGGAGGGAAAGGGGTGGAGCCAGTTGCTAAGTGATGGGCCAGGCTTCTTACCGGGCATCTCTAGAGGTACAGTGGGTCCCAGGTGGTCCTGAGCAGAGCTGAAGGATCAAGGCAGGGTGGCACCCCTGAGAGCCCCCTTCTCGGCTCTAGGATGATGCCCAGCCCATGGCAACAGAAATTCTCTGCAATGATCTTGTTTGTCTGCCTGAGGCTGGGACATCCTCCAGTTCATCTTTTTGATCCTACAGACAGAGTTAATGCCTGGCATGCTGCACGGGCGAGTGAAATGGGCAGGCAGTTTAGGAAAAGAAGGAGGAGCTGGAGAGGGGAGGCACAGATCAGATGGGAGAGTAGACAGAGCTGTCTGCAAGAAACCCCTGCAAAGGGGGAACAGAGGACTATGTTTTGTGAACAAGCCTCACTGAATAGGAAGAGGCAGAAAGAAAGGGAGTGGGTGGAGGTGGGAGTCCAGGAGGGACAAAACCAGTCACTGAGGTAGGTGTACAGTGAGGAAACCTGCTGGAGGAGGCAGGCCCGGATCCTCTGTGGCCATGAGAGAGACAAAATTGCAGCCAAGAGAAACAGACCTACCCAAGGCCTCAGTGTGCGGGCAGCCACAGATACGGACAAGGGGGCACACATGCGTGAGACAGGGTGTGCTTTCATGGTGCTGCATACAACGTACACATTCACGGGGTCGGCTGCCTGGCTGGGCTCAGGGAGAGCAGGCCTTTTTCTGCTCTCTGGTCCGTGAGTCCAGCCTGGGGGCCCTGGCCACATCTGGCCGGGCTCGGGGAAGGGTGGTCTCCCAGAGCTGGGCACTGACCAGCCATCCCCCGACCCATTTCCAGAGGAAAACTGGCCTATCTGATATCAATTACAAACAGAGCCCCCAAATCTTCAGGATCTAACTCTAGGGTTTTCGTTTAGTCTTTTTTTGAGACGGAGTCTTGCTCTGTTGCCCAGACCAGAGTACAGTGACGCAATCTCAGCTCACTGCAACCTCCACCTCCTGGGTTCAAGTGATTTTCCTGCCCCAGCCTCCCAAGTAGCTGGGATTACAGGCGTGTGCCACCATGGCTAGTTTTTGTATTTTTAGTAGAGATGGGCCAGGCTGGTCTTGAACTCCTGGCCTCAAGTGATCCGCCTGCCTTGGCCTTTCAAAGTGCTGGGATTATAGGCGTGAGCCACTGCGCCCAGCCTGACTCTAGGGTTCTATCCTGCCATGCAACTAACATGTTTTCTGAGGCTGCTTTGGAGAGAATACTATACTTCACAAGCAGAGTAAGACATAGGTGGGAATTACCGCACTTCCCTTGTTTTAAGCACCTATGTCCCTTTCCTGCAGTCAACACACTCTCATCTTTGCCACGTACTGATGTGTTTGCTCTCAAGTGCAGCCAGAGTCCTGGCTTGAATACGAGCAGTTCCAGCGTTAGCAGCTCTGGAGGGAACCCTGATTACATGTGCTTTCTGGCAACCTGGATCATGGATAATTATGTATGTGTAAAAAGACACTGTAGCCTCTCTCTGCAATCTGGCTACTCACATGTGGGCTTCAGAGATGGACAGTGGGGGTTTTCTTTGGCTGCTAACCACCTTTGTGACCACGGGTGGATGACCTCACCAACCTAAGCTTTGGTGTTTCCATCTGTAAAAAGAGCATGTAACTCCCACCTCATGGGACTGCTGTAAGGATTAAGTGAGACCACTCTGCCCAGTGCTGAAAAGACAGTAGCTATTGTCATTGGTAACCAAGCCGAGTCAGTAATGCTTTAACCATTACACAATTAAAGGTTACTTTTTTTTTTTTTCATAAAGTTGCTGTGATTTTGAAAAATGAAAACTGCGAGGCTGGGCGTGATGGCTCATGCCTGTGATCCCAGCACTTGGGAGGCCAAGGCAGGTGGATCAACTGAGGTCAGGAGTTCAAAACCAGCCTGGCCAACATGGTGAAACCCCATCTCCACTAAAAACACAAAAATTAGCCAGGCGTGGTGGCATATGCCTGTAGTCCCAGTTACTCAGGAGGCTGAGGCAAGAGAATCGCTTGAACCCAGGAGGTGGAGGTTGCAGTGAGCCAAGATCACGCCACTGCACTCCAGCCTGGGCAACAGAGCAAGACTCTGTTTCAAAAAAAAAGAAAAGAAAAGAAAACTCCTGCCATAGGGATGTCTTGGTCTTTATTTCGCGGTGCAGCAGAACGCAGGGGTTAAATGAGGTCAAGCTCAACAGGGACAGAGAGTGGGCTTGATGGATGTCTGCCTCCTTGTGCTGGTTGCACAGCGTAGGGTCAGCACTTTTCCTGGGGCAGAAGAGGGAGGATGGTGGCTAATAAATAAAACAGGAACTCCCCAGAGGTTGCTAGAAAGGTCTCCTGTATCTGGCTGGCTCCCTTTGCTACCTCAGGACTCCAGGAAGGGGAGGTAGGTTTTCTCAGCCACTGTGCTTTTTACTGCTGGACATAGCAGTCCAACCTCCCTCACTGCTGGTAAAGATGAGGACCCAACGGGCACCGGCACGGCAGCCAGGTGCCTAGAAGCGAACGGCACAGCCTGACTTCTGACACTGGGACTCTGTCCCACTGGGTGTCAACTGCCACGAGCGCTCAGACATGCACCACTCCAAGGGGGCATGTCCCCCGAGTATGGCAGAGTCCTGAAGCTGGGAGCGACCTTAAAGTCTTCTGCCCTAGCCACTTTATTTTACAGACAAGGAAACCAAGGCTGAAAGGTGATGTGACTTGTCCCAGACCCGACAGCTGTTTCCCGAGAGAGAGACGGAGACAGAGACAGACAGAGAGAGAGAGAGAGAGTGTGTGTGTGAGGTGGCAGTGGGGCACAGTAAATTCTTTCTGCCAAACTACTCCACCACCAGTGGAAGCTGAATTATAACTAGAATATGAAAATATCAGGAGCTGAATGCACAGCTCTGAAGAATATGCCAATGGGAAAAGCAGCAAGGAAAACACGCGGCAGGAGCAAGGCGGGAGGAGCTACCAACCTCCCATTGCCCACTAGAGAGGAACAGAATCTAAGAGCTGAGCCCTCCCAGGACAGCTGGGCCAGTGCTATCCACACCTGACTGCGTGCCCTGGTCTTCTGTCAGCTTTTTTTTTTTTTTTTTCTGAGACAGGGTCACACTCGGTCACCCAGGCTGGAGCGCAGTGGGTGATCAGGCTCACTGCAGCCTCCATCTCCTGGACTCAAATAATCCTCCCACCTCAGCTTCCCCAGTAGCTGGGACTACAGGTGTGCACCACGACATTCGGCTAATTTTTTTGATTTTCAGTAGAGATGAGGTTGCACTATGTTGGCCAGGCTGGTCTCGAACTCCTGAGCTCAAGTGATCCGCCCACTTCAGCCTCCCAAAGTGCTGGGACTACAGGTGTGAGCCACCATGCCTGGCCCTCCTGTGGCCTGACAGAAACACACACCTAGGCACCAGCTCAAGACTCTAATTCAGCATGGCTGGCTTGGAGCTCAGTGATGGAGACTCACCAACTACCCCACAGTCACCCCAGCTGGGGGGCAATTCAGCCTCTGTGCACCTCCTGAACTGAGGTGTTCACCATGCCACAAAGAAGCCTATTCCACTGTTGGATGAAGCTAATGGTTAGAAAGTTAATGGTGGCTGGGTGTGGTGGCTCACGCCTGTAATCCCAACACTTTGGGAGGCTAAGGTGGGTGGATCTCTTGAGATCAGGAGTTTGAGACCAGCCTGGCAAACATGGTGAAACCCCATCTCTACTAAAAATACAAAAATTAGCCAGGCATGGTGGCACATGCCTGTAGTCCCAGCTACTTTTGGGGCTAAGGTTGCAGTGAGCTGAGATTGCGCCACTGCACTCCAGACTGGGTAACAGTGAGACTCTGTCTCAAAAAAAGAAAAGGAAGTTAATAGTAATTATAGTTACCCTTTACTGAGCTACCTGGCAGGCCTAGAACAGAGACACGCAGGTGCTGAAGGCACAGGTTCTGTCCTCAGGCAGACTTGGGCTTGAACATCAGCTTCATCATTAACTAAAGCGCTAAGTGACCTTGGGCAAATGCCTTAAGCATTCTAGTCTCTTCTAGGAGGCAGGGAGTGTTCCCAGCCACACATCTAAGGGAGATTAGGGGGATTAAAGATACACACAAATATAGTCAAGAAGATTATCCTAATAAATCACCTAACACATACGTGTTATATATTATTACACAGAACAAATCACCTAACAGCCCAGGCGATGTCCTAGCACCAAGCCCCACAAGGCTCTTGCTTAAGACACACACACACACACACCCACACACACACACCCACACCCACACACACACACACACACACACGAGCCCCATACTTACCAGAGAATAGAAAGTAGGTCTTTTTTTTTTTTTTGAGACGGAGTCTCGCTCGTTGCCCAGGCTGGAGTGCAGTGGCGGATCTCAACTCACTGCAAGCTCTGCCTCCTGGGTTCATGCCATTCTCCTGCCTCAGCCTCCTGAGTAGCTGGGACTACAGGCGCCTACCACCATGCCCAGGTAATTTTTTTTTTTTTGTATTTTTAGTAGAGATGGGGTTTCACCACGTTAGCCAGGATGGTCTTGATCTCCTGACCTCGTGATCCACCCACCTCAGCCTCCCAAAGTGCTAGAATTACAGGTGTGAGCCACCATGCTTGGCCGGAGAGTAGGTACTTATTACTGTCATCATACGGTTGACCCTTGAACAACATGGGTTCGAGTTTTCTTCCACCTCTGCCACTGAGACAGCAAGACCAACCCCTCCCTTTCCTCCTCCTCAGCCTACTCAACATGAAGACAAGGACAAAGATTTTTATGATGATCCACTTCAACTTAATGAATAGTAAATATATTTTCTCTTCCTTATGATTTTATTTATTTATTATTTGGAGACAGGGTCTCACTATGTTGCCCAGGCTGGCTTCAAACTCCTAGGTGCAAGTGATCCTCCCGCCTCAGTCTCCCAAAGTGTTGGGATTACACGCATGAGCCACTGCCCCCGGCCATGATTTGCTTAATAACATTTTTTTTTCTCTAGCTTACTTTATTGTAAGAATACAGTATGTAATACACATAATATACAAAATATGTGTTAATCAACTGTTCATGTTATTAGTAAGGCTTCTGGTCAAAACTAGGCTATTAGTAGCTAAGTTTTTGAGGAGTAGAAAGTTTGACATGGATTTTCAACAGCATGGGGGTCAGCATTCCTAACCCTGCGTTGTTCAAGGGCCAACTGCAGTCGCTTTTGTCATTATTATTAACATTATTATTTTGATCTGAAATCCATCAGCTCTGCTCTCTGGAATAACACAGAACAAGTCACAGCCTCTTCAGTGGAGTTATCTGACACTTTTCTGCTCTCCAGGCTGAAGATCTCCATTCCCTCCTGCAGTTTCTCCAGATTCCTTTTTTTTTTTTTGAGACAGAGTTTCTCTCGTCACCCAGGTTGAAGTGCAATGGCGTGAACTTGGCTCACTGCAACCTCTGCCTCCCAGGTTCAAGAGATTCTCCTGCCTCAGCCTCCTGAGTAGCTGGGATTACAGGTGCTGGCCACTACACCCAGCTATTTTTGTATTTTTTTAAATTTTTTTAGTAGAGACGGGGTTTCACCATGTTGGCCAGGCTGGTCTTGAACTCCTGACCTCAGGTGATCTGCCTGCCTCGGCTTCTCAAAGTGCTCGGATTACAGACATGAGCCATTGTGCCTGGCCTTTCTCCAGATTCTTTACCGTCTCACCCATCCTTGTTTCAACTAACTTAACAGTCCAGATGTGGCCCATCCAGCACCAGGCCCCACCGGGCTCCTGCATACTCCATCTGAGCACCAGCCCCCTGCTCCACAGCAAACACCACAGCAAATCTGCCCACAACTGTTCGGGCTGGAGGTAGAAAAGACCCCGTAATTTTCATAATTACATAATTTTCACCCTGGTTGTGGTTCCTAATTCTTGCAAGCCTTATAGTTCATTTAGTCCACACCCCAGCAACAGGCTCTAGGTTACTGTCTTTCTGTCTTTCAGGTCTGTGTCTTCAGTGGGGTGAACTTGGGGTCAGAAGACCTGGGTCCATTTCCATCAGGACCTGCTGTGTGATCCAGGGCACGGGGCTTCATCTGTCCAAGCACATCTGCCAAATGCAAATGCCACTCATCAGTCTGCCTTACAGAAATGCCAAAATACTCCAGGGAATTTCTGTACGAAGTGTGAAGCGCACACACAAATGCCTAACATGCCGAGTCCTGGGAACCCCATCTTTTCAAGGCTCACCCGCTCCTTCATGTGGCATGGCTCAGGACCACAACACTGGGTTTGTGGAACAACAGAGAAGCACATTCATTCTCCTCCCAAGCCAGGCTCGGGCCATGCAGGCAGCTGTGCCTGACTCATCCCTTCCTCTTCCTCCTCCTCGGCCCATGACTCACCAGAGCTGTCAGACCAGCATCCTCCCTGGTTTCCTTCCCAAGCCATGCCTGGTCAGGATGCAGGACTGAAGCCCTCTTCCCACCAGGCGCTCCCCGCTCTCCCCAAGTGTCTCTTCTGACCCTCGGGGTCCGCATTGCACTCTAGCATGACTGTTCCCTGGGTGTTGTGCTGTGCTTGCAACTTCACTGTCACCTCTGGGAGGGCAGGCTCTTGAGAGGCAATCCAGTGTGGTCCACCAAAAACATGGTTCCTGGAGCCTGCTCCCTGGGATTCTGACTTACTTGCTCTGGAGTTTGGGAGCAGCAGAGAGGTTTAAAAGCTCTCTAGGTGATTCCAACATATGGCCAAGGCCGAGAAGTGCTGATCTAGAACCAGGCTGCCCAGCTGGCTGGCTGCTTTGGCTGGGTTTAATGAGGCCTCTGCGAGGGTTCTATGCCTGTGCTATGCCTGCATGAGGCTGACCATATGGACAGCCCTTATAGCCAGGGTGGTCAAAAGGCAAGAAGCAGGTGGCTCAGGGGACCCTCTGCTTAGGGAAACCCAGCTGCCCTGCCCAGAGGATAATCCCACTTTATAGACAGGAGAGGGCAAGCCGACCGGCCAAGAGCACAGGCTTCGGAGTCAGACAGCCTGGGACTGCAGCCCTGCTCTCCTTCCCAACAGGGAAGGCCCCTTCACCCTCCGCCTCCTGACTAAACTCAGCCTGGGGCCCAGTCTTTCCTGCCCAGTGTGGCCCATGGGACACTCTCTTTAGTGGGAACATGAAGGCCTCTTTTTCCAGGGCTGAGCCAGGGCCCTCCAGATAGAAAATGAGCAGCTCCAAGACAAGGGGATGAGTGGGAGAGCAGAGGGAGGGAGGTCCTGTTTCCTAAGAAACCCCCCACTCCCTCCCCAGCTGCTCTGGGCACAAAGAAGGGAAAAACCTGACTCATCAGTGCTGGTGTGACTCACAGGCCAACAAAACTGGCTTGCCAGACTGGTTGGGAGGGGAACCTGCTGCTGCCACCATAACTCGGGGCTGTGGGCAGGTAAAGCCCATCCCTCCATCCCTCTGGCTGTAGAGGACGCATCCTGCCCACCGCCAGATGCAGGGCCTGGGTGGTGGGCCTGGCTGGGGCACCACTCTCAGCCTGACCCCCGCCCTGGAACAGCCACAGCTGCTTCAGGAACTTATTAGCGAGGGGCGGAGCTGGGAGGGAAGACAACTCAGAGGCTTTGGAACACAGAGAGGTGGCTTTAAGAATCAGAGAGGAGGCCGGGCGTGGTGGATCATGCCTGTAATCCCAGCATTTTGGGAGGCCGAGGCAGGTGGATCACCTGAGGTCAGGAGTTCGAGACCAGCCTGGTAAACATGGTGAAACTCCATCTCTACTAAAAATACAAAAAATCAACTGGGTGTGGTGGCAGGCGCCTGTAATGCCAGCTACTCGGGAGGCTGAGGCAGGAGAATTTCTTAAACTAGGGAGGCGGAGGTTGCAGTGAGCCGAGATCGCACTACTGCACTCCAGCCTGGATGACAAGAGTGAAATTGCATCTCAAAAAAAAAAAAAAAAAAAAAAATCAGAGAGGACCTAGGTCTAACTCCCAACTCCACCCCCTCACAGGTGTGACCTGGAACAGCTGAACCTCTGGAACAGTTTCCACATCCATAAAATGGGAGCAATAATATCCTAATATCCACCTAGAGGGACTGCAGTGAGGACTGCAGTGCTGTGTGGAGCACACAGTAGGAGCTTGAAAATGGTAGCAATTACTTACTAGTTGTAGAAATACCAGTTTTATGATTATAAGGAGTTTTTTGTCTTTTTTTTGAGACAGGGTCTTGCTCTGTCATCCAGGCTGGAGTGCAGTGGTGTGATCATAGCCCACTGCAGCCTTGACCTCCTGCGCTCAAGCAATCCTCCCGTCTCAACCTCCCAAAGTAGCTGGGACTACAGGCACATACCACCACGCCTGGACAATTTTTAGATTTTTTGTAGAGATGAGATCTGCCTGTGTTGCCCAAGCTGGTCTCAAATTCTTGGGCTCAAGCAATCCTCCTGCCTCAGCCTCCCGAATTGCTAGGATTACAGGCATGAGCCACCGTGCCTGGTAAGATATTTTTTTACATGCTTCATTTCACTTAATCCTTGTAACGACCCTGTGTGACAAATATGACTACTCTTCTTTTACGGATGAGGACACTGAGGCAATGACAGGAATCCAGTGAGTGGTTTCAGGTCCTCTCACTCCCAGCCTGCTGCCTGTTCCAGACCCCGTCATGCCTACCAACTCCCCAGGGCAGCAAGACCAACCCCTAGTGGACACACACGCAGCTGACAAGCAGAGAAGCAGCGCTGCCTCCAGCCCAGGACACAAGGCCCAGCTGACACCATTGGCCAGTCCTACCCTGCCGCCCACACAGCCTGGCTGGGGTCTAACCCACATGGTGTCTCCAGAAATTGACTCGGCAATGCCCACGTCTGCCTCCATGCCAGGCTGTGAGCTCATCAAGGCAGCAGGTGGTCTCCTTCATGCTGACGTCTAGATACCCAGCTCCTAGCCTGGACCCAGATAAGCAGTACCAGTAGGTTGCCAAAAGGCTCAGATTCCAAACCTGAGAGAGAACCCTGGCTCTGCACTTATGTGCATGACTTAGGCATGTTATTCAACCTCTGAGAACCTCAGTTTCCGTATCTAGAAAATGGGGCTAATAACTATACCTTACAGGAGTAGCACAAGCACTACGGTAATAAGAATGACATGAACAAGAACTGCTAACATTTATTAAGTGCTTATCATATGCCAGGCAGTCTTCTAAACACTTCATATGTATTACATCATCTAATCCAAAGGCCACACAGCTGGGTGGTGGGCTGGCTCTGGAACTCCCATCCTGACCCCCACAAGATACTGCGTCTCCTGAGTGTCAGGGGACTGGTAGGTCACAAGCGCTCAGAACGTAGGTGGGAGTCTAGCCGATGCTCAGGAAGCAGTTCTAAGATGAATCAATGAATGAACCTCTTTCCATCTAATTCCATTTCCAGCACTTATTAACAAGTCCTATTCTGTGTACAGTCTAGCTGAGTTATTTGAAGTTCCTGTGAAATATAAAGCAAAAACCCACAAAAAAATGTGAAAAAACAAGACCTCAGTGAACAGAGCCTCCTTGCTCCCTCTATAGGAGGGTAACAGGATCCAGATTTCTGGAGGAGAGGCGATGACCCCAACCCTGGTGGTGCCATGCCCCTCCCCCTTCCTCAGAGAAGGTTCCAGATGGGAGGTGGCAGCCCCTCAGGAGAGGGGGCGGAAATGGTCAGAGGCTTTGGCTGCACCCAGCCCTCTGGGGGTGGTTGTTTGGAAGGGCCTCGGGCTGCACAGGCATCCCAGCTATTTGATTTGGCAATGCTTAAGGAGGTGGATCTGGAAGGAAGGGAGCTAACGGTGACAGAGCTGCCTCTAGGAGTTGGCCCTGGTGTCTGCACAGGGAGCAGGGAGAGACAGGGCCTCTTGTCCTCCCACACATCATATCCCCAGCCTCCCACCAGGCCACAAGAGCAGGACCCCCAACTAAACACAGCCCCACTTCCCTCCATGCAGGCCGTCCCCTCCCCCAAGAAAGGCTTGAGGGAGTAGGCAGGTGAGGCCTGTTTTGGGTGTTAACAACCAGTCTTGAACTTTTTTAAAAAACAGCAAAACTTCTTTTTTTTTTTTTGAAATGGGGCCTCTCTCTGTCACCCAGGCTGGAGTGCACGGGCACAATCACAGCTCACTGCAGCCTCCACCTCCTGGGCTCAAGAGATCCTCCTACCTTAGCCTCCCGAGTAGCTGGGACCACAAGTGTGCATCACCACACCCAGCTAATTTTTAAATTTTTGTAGAGACAGGGTCTCTCCCTTTGTTGCCCACACTGGTCTTGAACTCCTGAGCTCAACTGATCCTCCCGCCTTAGCCTCCTAAAGGGCTGGGATTCCAGGTGTGAGCCACTGCTCCCAGCCCAAAACTTTTTTTCGAAGTTAGTGAAAGGCTTTGAAAGAAGCCTATCTGAGGCCGGTAAAGTGGAGCTGTTCAGGGTTGGGGTTGTTGTTCCCCTGCCCATCCCTCCTGACACCTCCAGAAACCCCAGGCTCCAGAGGACATGTGAGCTTCAGCTCCTACCTGACAACTGCCCATCCCAGGCCTCTCAAGAGAAACCCGCTTGTGCTGTTAGACAGCCTTCACCTCCTGGGCAGCACCCAACTCAGCTGCCTGAACTGGGACACCTCAGGCCCAGGGCAACACAAGCACTGCCAGGCATGGCCCTAATGCACCATGTGATCTGCGCAGGTCTTCTCCCTGGAGCCACTCATCTGTAACATGGTTCCCAGGGCCCGTTCCAGCTCTAAGACTCAACTCACATCCACTTTGTGGAAAGACCTGTGCAGCGCTCCTGAGGACCACAAAGACAGCTAAGGCAAGATCCTAGCCCTCCAAAAATCCCCAGCCTCTGCCCCAAACTGCAAAGCAAACCATATGTGCAATAACACACTCACACACACATATACACACAGAAGGGTTACCAGATTCTGTGCAAAAAAAGCTTTGAGATCCAGAAGGAAGAGACTCTCATAAGCCCACAGAGACTCTGTTAAAGTAGAAACTGCTCAGATCATTCCCACAATCATTCATAAAATGTTCACTGTCATCTACCAGTGCCAGGCACGGTGGACGTCCAGACGAGCATGGCAAGTCCCTGACCAGACGAGCTCATATCACTGTCTGGGCTGAAGCTGAATCACACAAATGATACACACAAGGATCCCTCTTAGTTTTCTCAGACATTTTGTTCATGCTCACTATTTTGAATATATTTGAATGTGTAATTTAGGAAATCTTTGTAATCTGTTACTCTGTGGTACATTTTAAAAACATACAAATGTATAATAAATAATATATGTAAATTTTTAAATTTTATTTCTATTTTTACTTTTTTAAAAATAAAATAGGGATGAGGTCTCACTGTGTTGCCCAGGTTGGTCTTAAACCCCTAGCCTCAAGGGATCCTCTCACCTCAGCCTCCCAAAGTACAGAGATTACAGGTGCGAGCCACTGTGCCTGGCCAATATATGTAAATTTTAAAAACAAAGCAAAACAAGCAGGCAAACTGGTATGCGCTAGAGTAGAGGTATGTGGAAAGTCTGTTGGGGCTGAGCATGGTGGCTGGTGCCTGTAATCCAAGCATTTTGGGAGGCCAAGGCAGGAGGATTACTTGAGGCCAGGAGTTCAAGACCAGCCTGGCCAACATGGTGAAAGCCCATCTCTACTTAAAATATGAAAATTAGCCAGGTGTGGTGGCACACACCTGTAGTCCCAGCTACTTGGGAGGCTGAGGCACAAGAATCGCTTGAACCTGGGAGGTAGAGGTTGCAGTGGGGTGAGATCATACCACTTCATTCCAGCCTGGATGACAGAGAGAGACCCTGTCTCAAAAAAAAAAAAAAAAAAAAAAAGAGAAAGCCTGTTACAAGCACACACCCTGAAAGACCAGGCCTCCTTTCTGCTTCTACTGCAGGGGATGGAGGGAGCTGGGTTAGCTCATCTCTAAGGTCATGTCCAGCTCTGACCCTGTGTGACAAGGACTCTGGAAATAGGCTCCGGCTGGCTGGGAGGGCCCAGGTGGGAGCAAGCCTCACCCTCCTCCCTCTTTTCAGACCTCTTACCTCACTCACCCTCTCCACATACAGTGACCTGCCCTGCTTTGGCCTCTGCTGCTGCTGGAGGGAGAGGCAGCATACAAGCTTTGCGCCTCAGTTTCCTTCTGCAATAATGAGGGTGACAGGGGAGGTGAGGCATTTCTGATCAAGAATCCAGGTGCAAGAGCACAGGTCACATGTATCCTCCAAGCTATGTGCAGGTCGCTGGCCCCTGCTCTCTAGCTATCCTACCCCTGGTGCTAATGGGCTTGGC
This sequence comes from Homo sapiens, assembly GCF_000001405.40. Taxonomy (NCBI): domain Eukaryota; kingdom Metazoa; phylum Chordata; class Mammalia; order Primates; family Hominidae; genus Homo; species Homo sapiens. Next base: position 97,537,363 of record NC_000010.11, on the reverse strand, counting down.
CTGGGAGCAGCCCCTACCACCCGACCCCCAAGGTAACCCAATTCTTCATGGTCAAATGACAGCTGGAGGTGGGGCTGGGGGGTCCTACAGCAGGAAAGGGTGATGATTACCAGGGTGCTCAGGCCCAGACAAAAGTGTCATGGCCTAGATTCATTTCAACACACAATTCCTGCGTACCCACTGTGTTTAAGATCCTGCCGGGCACTCAAGGGGCTGAGAAAATGAGGGAGACATTCTAATTACCTTAAAGTGTGTCTCAAGGTTTAAAGAGCACCTCCTCAGACAGGCCTGCCCTGCTGGCCTAACTAAAGTGGGCTCCCTCAGTCCCCACCACACCCCTTGTTGTCCGAATGCACGTCTACTCCAATTCTGCCATCATTTCCTCACTTCTCTGTACCTCTCCGAAGGTCAGCCCCTCCAAGGGAGGGCCCTGGTCTCTCCCTCACAGTTGCACCCTGTGCCTCCTCCTGTGTGAGCTGAATGAATGAATGAATGTATGACCGAATGACTCCACCACTGGACAAGCAGGAAGTGGCATAAAGGAGATTCAGAAGGCTTGGAAGGAACAAATTTGGGGAGACTTCCTAGAGGAGGAATGACATTGTGATCCTGGCCTTGAAAGAGGGTGAGGTAGGAGTCATTCCCAGTAGAAGGTACAGAAGCATCTACGGCCTGGAGTCAGGCTGGGTAGAGTGTGCAGGCCGGCAGGATAAGCTGAGGCCCCATGAGTTGGCCCAGACCCTTCAAGTTCTGATGGGCACCCTGCCCCTGGGCCCACTGGCCTCCTACGAGACACTGGTCTTCATTCTGCATTGACAAAGTCAGGTCTACATAAATGTCTGAACACAAGTCTGCAGTATGGTGGGCAGGGGTCATTTTAAAATCAAACACTAGCTGGGGTACCCACAGATTGCCCCATTTTCTTCTTCTCTAGTCTCCTTCACCCTGGCTGTCAGGCTCCTGTTCTGACCAGCCGTGCCACCACTGGGGGACTAAAGGACAACTCCCAACTGTGTCATGACGAAGACCTTGTATGACCACCTCACTCAGGTCTCTAAAGAATTTCTCTCCTGGCCGGGTGTGGTGGCTCTCACCTGTAATCCCAGCACTTTGGGAGGCGGAGGCGGATGGATCACATGAGGTCAGGAGTTCGAGACAAGCCTGACCAACATGGTGAAACCCCATCTCTACTAAAAATACAAAATTAGCTGTGCTTGGTGGCGGGAGCCTGTAATCCCAGCTACTTGGGAGGCTGAGGCAGGAGAATCGCTTGAATCCGGGAGGCGGAGGTTACAGTGAGCTGAGATCGCACCACTGCACTCCAGCCTGGGTGACTAGAGCAAAATTCTGTCTCGAAATAATAATAATAATAATAATAATAATAATAATAATAATTTCTCTCCAACTACATGTAGGTGATACATTAATTTTTTATTTTATTTTTTTGAGACAAGATCTTGCTGTGTCACCCAGATTAGAGTGCAGTAGTGCGGTCATGGCTCACTGAAGCCTTGAACACTTGGCATCAAGCGATCCTTCTACCTCAGCCTCCTGAGTAGCTAGGACTACAGGAGTGCACCACTGCACCTAGCTAATTAAAAAAAAAAATTTGTAGAGATGGGGTCTCACTTTGTTGCCCAGGCTGATCTCAAACTCCTGGCTTCAAGTGATCCTCCCATGGTGCCAGAATTATAGGTATGAGCCACTACAGCTGCAAGTAATTTTTTTTTCTTTTTCTTTTTCTTTTTTGAGACAGAGTCTTGCTCTGTTGCCCAGGCTGGAGTGCAGTGGCTCAATGTCTGCTCACTGCAACCTCCGCCTCCTGGGTTCAAGCGATTCTCCTGCCTCAGCCTCCAGAGTAGCTGGGACTACAGGCACATGCCACCACGCCCAGCTAATTTTTTGTATTTTCAGTAGATATGGGGTTTCACTGTGTTAGCCAGGATGGTCTCAATTTCCTGATCTCGTGATCTGCCCGCCTTGGCCTCCCAAAGTGCTGGGATTACAGGCGTGAGCCACCACACCAGGCCAAGTAATTTTTTTTTAATGGAAATGCTAAGACCTAGCTGTTGTTTAATGGAAATGCTAAGACCTAGCTGTTGATATGTCTTATCAGCATATGGGAACTAGCCGTTCACACGGAGCTGGTAGCAGGCCAGTCCAGAAAGGAGGCTTTGGCCAACCTGGATGGTGATGCCTCTGTGACTTGGTTTCTTGGGGCCATGAGACAGAGGAGGTGAGAGATATGGCCAGAGTGAGGAAGAATGGGCAGAAAAGCCCAGAAGCCCCCAGCCTCCAGAGTCCAGGTGAGATTTCTGCACTGCCCACACAAACCCTCTTCTTCCAGGCAAAGAGGAGTGTGGGCCTCAAGGGGGTGGCAGGGAGAAAGGCCGCCCCCTCCTGGCCAATGAGGGCTTTCAACAGAGGGCTTTAGAAAGGCTGGCTGAGTGCCGCTTGGTGGGGAGGCGGGCAAGGAGGACTGAGAGCTTGACATCATTTCTACTCTGGGCAGAGGTGTGGGCTGGAGTCTCTGCCAGGGGTCAGATGGTGGCCCTTGGAGGCTGTGTGCCTCCCAAGCAAACTGGCAGCTCCCAAATGGGCCCAAGTTTGTAAAGACAGTGTTAGCATCTGCAAGGGAAAAAATCTGGAGGAACACACACCACCTTTTCTACCCCAGAAGTGGGGTAGTGGACCTTTCACATTCTAGGATATATATTTGTGCATGTATTAGCTTTTTTAGGAGTAAGGGTGGTGTGTGTGTGTGTGTGTGTGTGTGTGTGTGTGCGCGCGCGCGTGTGTGTTCCTTAGTGCCTTAAGCTTTGGCTTGAATGTGGTGTGGTAGAAAATCTTGAGACTTAGGGGGAAACGCAGTAAAAGATCCTTGTCATGACAAAGTGGAGAAAGCTTAGCCAGGACTTGGAGTGTCTTCTACAAGGTACCTCGAAGGAAAGACTGTTTCTAGCTGCCTTGGATCAAACAAAGCTCCCATTTAAGCCGCTTTGTGCGAATTGTACCACAAACAAGCTGTAAGGGCAGGGCTGGGCCCTCCCCATCTCAGTCCCAGGGCTCAGGCCAATGATCCGCACACAATAGGTGCTCAATAAAAGCTGACAGAATGAACCAGCGAGTGGACCACATGGGAGGTGGTGAGAGCTCTGGTTTCCTGGGAAGGGGGTGAAGTGGGAAAGGGCCCAACAGAGGAGCCCTGTGGAAAGGCAGAAACCAGTGGAACCCTTGGCAAGCTGTCCTCAGACCTTTGTCTTAGGGGAAGGCGGCAGAAGCTGGCCAGAAAAGGTTGCAGCTGGTCCTGCCTGCAAGGTTTCCAGGCAGTAGAAGGCTTCAGGGCCCCGCTGGCCTAGGGCAGATGGGCTGTGGCCCACATCACCTGCCCCTCCCAAGGCGAGTCTGATGAGGGCTTAAGATTTTTTTTTTTTTTTTTTTGAGATGGAGTCTTGCTTTGTCACGCAGGCTTCAGTGCAGTGGCGTGATCTCAGCTCACTGTAACCTCGACCTCCCAGGTTCAAGTGATTCCCCTGCCTCAACCTCCTGAGAAGCTGGGACTACAGGTCTGCACCACCACACCCAGCTAATTTTCGTATTTTTAGTAGAGACGGGTTTCACCATGTTGGCCAGGCTGGTCTCAAACTCCTGACCTCAAGTGATCTGCCCGCCTCAGTCCCCCAAAGTGCTGGGATTACAGGGTGAGCTACCACACCCAGCCCAGAGCTTAAGATCTGTGTCAAGCAAGGGCTGAGTCAGACTTGGTGGAGGTGGGGGGCAAAGGGGGATGCTGCGAAGAGGGAGGGCAGACAGATCAGGCCTCATTCCCTCAGACACGCTCCACCAGCCCAAGGCCAGGCAAGAGCAGCCTCCTCGTACCCTTCTCCCACCCGCTATGGCGTAGAATATAGGCGGCCTTCCATGGTGCTGAAACCCAGGAGAAAGCAAAGCCCCGGGAAGAAGTCTCCCTTGCAGACAGGATGCAGTTGGTAGCTGTGTGCTAGGAGACCACCACCTGTTTTGGCCCAAACGTCCTCCCTTCATAGATGCCAGACAGGCTCTAGCAGTGGGTGGGGAGGAGAAGGCAGCAAACCCGGGGCAGCAGGAGGTATCTGCTTTCAGCACAGTCACCAAAGGGTCAGGGAGGGAGCCCTATGGGCTCAGCTCCCAGCTGGTGGAAAAGGCATCCTCTCAGTTTCAGCTCAGCTGGAGGTCAAGAACTGCTGAGGCTGGCAGCCCTGGGCAGGGGATCCTATTTGCTTGCAAGTGAGCATCTTGTCGCCGTGGTGACCCAGGGAAACACCATGCAGGAGTCAGCCACAAGGCCAGGAACAGAGCTTTCCAGCTGGGAAAGTGGATGCAAAGCACTCCTCCTCCCCTGGACCCTGACCATGGGCCAGGCACTGTCCTACCCACATGGACTGCGAAGATGCGCCAGACTCCAGGCTGCCCTTGGTAGGGGCCCGAGACACACCGGAAATAAGAGCACAACATTAGAAAGTGATGAAGGTGATAAGAGGCAAGACCAAAGACCAACAAGGCTTTCTTTCTTTCTTTCTTTCTTTTTTTTTTTGAGATGCAGTTGCGCTCTTGTTGCCCAGGCTGGAGAGCAGTGGCACGAACTTGGCTCACTGCGACCTCCGTCTCCCGGACTCAAGCGATTCTCCTGCCTCAGCCTCCCAAGTAGCTGGGACTACAGGTGCCCGCCACCACGCCCAGCTAATTTTTATACTTTTAATAGAGACGGGGTTTCACCATGTTGGCCAGGATGGTCTCGATCTCTTGACCTTGTGATCCGCCCGCCTCGGCCTCCCAAAGTGCTGGGATTACAGGCGTGAGCCACCGCACTAGCCTCGCCTGGCTAATTTTTTTGTATTTTTAGTAAAGACGGGGTTTCTCCATGTTGGTCAGGCTGGTCTTGAACTCCTGACCTCGGGAGATCCGCCTGCCTCGGCCTCCCAAAGTGCTGGGATTACAGGCATGAGCCACTGCGCCCAGCTCAACAGAGCTTTCGAGGAGAAAAAGAGCTCGCCTTAACTGTGGAACATATACAGGAAGAGACTCAGGAAAGGCTTTGGGAGGAAGATGGCATGAAACAGCAAACAAGTGAACTTACAAATCTCCCTGCAGACAACTCCAACTGCTTGGTTTGCTCCAGGGCCAAGAGATGGCAGACTGAGAGCGCCTTGACCCAAGGTGCTCCCTCCACTGGCTGCTCTCCCGGCCCAGTCAGCCCCCCACTATCTACTCCTTGACTCTCTCACCTTTCTAACCCTCAGTGTCCCACCTGGCTGTCCCTGCCCACCTCCAACTGCCTGCCAGGATGGCCAACTACCCAGCCCCCAGGATCACAATGCCTTGTTGCTGAGTCTTCCTGCTGGTCTTGGCCCCCAGGTCTGTGGTCCCACTCCTCATCACACCACAGGCCAGTTTTTCTATTCTGGGACCCATTTGGAGACTACCTCCTGGTGGTAAATTCTTAGCAAAATCCCATTACACCATGGCCTGTCACATTCCTCATGCTCCGCCCTCACCTGGGGACCTGGAAACCACAGGGGAGACTGTTGTGGGCCTAGGAACTGTTTATCACAGTTTCCAAGGGCACGAGACAGTTTCTCGGAGCACCAGGATGCTGGTGCTCAGAAAGGGCCAGAGGGTCAGGAATGGACCCGATACCTAGAATCGCCCCTGGGGGACTAACCAAAGGCTGAAGCTCAGGGACTGGCTCCATGACCCAGTGATCCCAAGCACAGTCAGGAGTCTCTGGTCCAACCACTTTTCTTATTTTTTACATTTAAAAGATGACATATGTCGGCCGGGCTTGGTGACTCACGCTTGGAATTCCAGCACTTTGAGAGGCTGAGGCAGGCAGATCACTTGAGGTCAGGAGTTTGAGACCTGCCTGGCCAACATGGTGAAACCTCGTCTCTACATAAAGTACAAAAATTAGCTGGGCGGAAACCTCACCTCTACGAAAATACAAAAATTAGCCAGGCGTGGTGGTGCACGCCTGTAATCCCAGCTGCTCAGGAGGCTGAGGCAGGAGGATCACTTGAGCCCAAGAGGTGGAGGTTGCAGCAAGCCGAGATTGTGCCACTGCACTCCAGACTGGGTGACGGCAAGACTCCATCTCAAAAAAAAAAAAAAAGATGGCATATGTTAAATTTAAAAAAAATAGGCTGGGCGCAGTGGCTCATGCCTGTAATCCCAGCACTTTGGGAGGCCAAGGAGGGCGGATCACGAGGTCAGGAGATGGAGACCATCCTGGCTAACAAGGTGAAACCCCGTCTCTACTAAAAGTACAAAAAATTAGTTGGGCGTGGTGGCGGGCACCTGTAGTCCCAGCTACTCCGGAGGCTGAGGCAGGAGAATGGCATGAACCCAGGAGGCAGAGCTTTTAATGAGCCGAGATCGCGCCACTGCACTCCAGCCTGGGCAACAGAGCCAGACTCCGTCTCAAAAAAGTAAAAAATTTAAAAATTTAAAAAATTTTTAAAATAAAAATTATATAATAAAAACATAAAAAGGAAAAACATAAGTAACCTATATCCTATCACCCCCAAATAACCAGCAATAATATGTTGAGACATTTTCTTTTGTTCCTCTCAATTAGCATTCATATTGCTGAGATCATATGGCATGTACAAGCTTCTACCATTATGATGTCCACGATCCTGTTTTTATTTTAATCTGAAACCAGCTGCTGGACCAGTGGTTCTCAACCCCTGCTGCTTGCCGGATTTACCTGTGCCCCCTCTTCCCTAGGTTCTATCCTTAGAAATCGACTCAGGACATAAAGAAAATATAGAATAAATATAACACTTCAAAAAAATCCTGTTTTTACTTCACACAGAATCATCTAATAAATATTTATTGAGCAAATATGTGCTGAGCACTATAAAGTATGCTTTTGTAAAAATTTTTTTGAGATGGGGTCTCACTCTGTAGCCCAGGCTGGAGTGCAGTGGCGCGACTGTAACTCACTGCAGCCTCAAACTCCTGGGCTCCAGCATTCCCCCTGCCTCAGCCTCCTGAGTCACTGGGATTAAAGGTGTAAGCCACCATGCACAGCTCAGGATGCATTTCTTATAATAAAGAGCTTGCATCATTCTTCATTCATTCATCGATTCATCCATCCATTCATTCATTCATTCATTCATTCAAGAAACATGTATTGAGCTTCTAGTATGCACCAGGCCCCGTGCTGGGGAACACGGACACAAAGTCACTAAGGCTCTCAAGGTCAGAGCTAGTGAGGGAGACAGACATGTCAGGAGATTGTTAGAAACTAATGCACACATGCAAGGGGAGTGATATGCACAGGAATCAGGGGGACACGTGAATGTGGTCTCACCCCCTCTGCGGAAGGTCTTAAAGTTTGCTCCAAGTACCAAAGAACAAGCTGGAGTTAGCCAGGCAAAAGGGCAAGGGGGCTGGGCTCGCCAGACAGAGGAGGCAGTGTGAGCCTACTCTGGGCTCAGGTTTGTGGAGCTGCAAGCAGTGCTGCCAGGTAGATCACACGAGGCAGGAGGTGGTCAGAATGAAGCCAAAGAAGGGCAGATCAGTCCCAGTCCCTCTCCCTCTCCCCACGGTCTCCCTCTCCCCACGGTCTCCCTCTCCCTCTCTTTCCACGGTCTCCCTCTCATGCCGAGCCGAAGCTGGACTGTGCTGCTGCCATCTCGGCTCACTGCAACCTCCCTGCCTGATTCTCCTGCCTCAGCCTGCCGAGTGCCTGCACGCCTGACTGGTTTTCGTTTTTTTTTTGGTGGAGACGGGGTTTCGCTGTGATGGCCGGGCTGGTCTCCAGCTCCTAACCGCGAGTGATCCGCCAGCCTCGGCCTCCCGAGGTGCCGGGATTGCAGACGGAGTCTCGTTAACTCAGTGCTCAATGGTGCCCAGGCTGGAGTGCAGCGGCGTGATCTCGGCTCGCTACAACCTCCACCTCCCAGCCGCCTGCCTTGGCCCCCCAAAGTGCCGAGATTGCAGCCTCTGCCCAGCCGCTACCCCGTCTGGGAAGTGAGGAGCGTCTCTGCCTGGCCGCCCATCATCTGGGATGTGAGGAGCCCCTTTGCCTGGCTGCCCAGTCTGGAAAGTGAGGAGCGTCTCTGCCCGGCCGCCATCCCACCTAGGAAGTGAGGAGCGCCTCTTCCCGGCCGCCATCCCATCTAGGAAGTGAGGAGCGTCTCTGCCCGGCCGCCCATCGTCTGAGATGTGGGGAGCGCCTCTGCCCCGCTGCCCCGTCTGGGATGTGAGGAGTGCCTCGGCCGGCCGCGACCCTGTCTGGGAGGTGAGGAGCGTCTCTGCCTGGCCACCCTGTCTGAGAAGTGAGGAGACCCTCCGCCCGGCTGCCACCCCGTCTGGGAAGTGAGGAGCGTCTCCGCCCGGCAGCCACCCTGTCCGGGAGGGAGGTGGGGGTCAGCCCCCGCCAGGCCAGCCGCCCCATCCAGGAGGGAGGTGGGGGGTCAGCCCCCCACCCGGCCAGCCGCCCCATCCGGGAGGTGAGGGGCGCCTCTGCCCGGCCGCCCCTACTGGGAAGTGAGGAGCCCCTCTGCCCGGCCAGCCGCCCCGTCCGGGAGGGAGGTGGGGGAGTCAGCCCCCCGCCCGGCCAGCCGCCCCGTCCGGGAGGGAGGTGGGGGGGGTCAGCCCCCCGCCCGGCCAGCCGCCCCGTCCGGGAGGGAGGTGGGGGGGGTCAGCCCCCCGCCCGGCCAGCCGCCCCGTCCGGGAGGGAGGTGGGGGTTCAGCCCCCCGCCCGGCCAGCCGCCCCGTTCGGGAGGGAGGTGGGGGGGTGAGCCCCCCGCCAGGCGAGCCGCCCCGTCCGGGAGGGAGGTTGGGGGTCAGCCCCCTGCCCGGCCAGCCGCCCCGTCCGGGAGGTGAGGGGCACCTCTGCCCGGCCGCCCCTACTGGGAAGTGAGGAGCCCCTCTGCCCGGCCAGCCGCCCCGTCCGGGAGGGAGGTGGGGGAGTCAGCCCCCCGCCCGGCCAGCCGCCCTGTCCGGGAGGGAGGTGGGGGGGTCAGCCCCCCGCCAGGCGAGCCGCCCCGTCCGGGAGGGAGGTTGGGGGTCAGCCCCCTGCCCGGCCAGCCGCCCCGTCCGGGAGGTGAGGGGCGCCTCTGCCCGGCCGCCCCTACTGGGAAGTGAGGAGCCCCTCTGCCCGGCCAGCCGCCCCGTCCAGGAGGGAGGTGGGGGAGTCAGCCCCCCGCCCGGCCAGCCGCCCCGTCCGGGAGGGAGGTGGGGGGGTCAGCCCCCCGCCCGGCCAGCCTCCCCGTCCGGGAGGGAGGTGGGGGAGTCAGCCCCCCGCCCAGCCAGCCGCCCCGTCCGGGAGGTGAGGGGCGCCTCTGCCCGGCCGCCTCTACTGGGAAGTGAGGAGCCCCTCTGCCCGGCCACCACCCCGTCTGGGAGGTGTACCCAGCAGCTCATTGAGAACGGGCCATGATGACAATGGCGGTTTTGTGGAATAGAAAAGGGGGAAAGGTGGAAGATTGAGAAATCGGATGGTTGCTGTGTCTGTGTAGAAAGAAGTAGACATGGGAGACTTTTCATTTTGTTCTGTACTAAGAAAAATTCTTCTGCCTTGGGATCCTGTTGATCTATGACCTTACCCCCAACCCTGTGCTCTCTGAAACATGTGCTGTGTCCACTCAGGGTTAAATGGATTAAGGGTGGTGCAAGATGTGCTTTGTTAAACAGATGCTTGAAGGCAGCATGCTCGTTAAGAGTCATCACCACTCCCTAATCTCAAGTACCCAGGGACACAAACACTCTGCCTGGAAAACCAGAGACCTTTGTTCACTTGTTTATCTGCTGACCTTCCCTCCTATTGTCCTATGACCCTGCCAAATCCCCCTCTGCGAGAAACACCCAAGAATGATCAATAAAAAAATAAAATAAAAATAAAAATAAATAAATAAATAAATAAATAAAAAAGAAGGGCAGATCAGTGAGGGCCTCTGGGCCAGTGACACAACTTGGACATTATGCCCTAAGGGATGGGAGAGCCTCTGAAGGGGCAAAGCCAAGGAAGGATAGGCACTCTTTTTCTTTTTGAAATTTTTTGTATAGATAGGGTTGCCCAGGCTGGTCTCAAACTCCTGGACTCAAGTGATCCTCCTGCGTTGGCCTCCCAACGCATATGGGATTATAGGCATAAGCCACCGCAGCCTGCCAAGGCAGGCTTTTTTTTTTTTTTTTTTTTTTTGGAGACAAGAGTTTCGCTTTGTTGCCTAGGCTGGAGTGCAGTGGCACGATCTTGGCTCACTCCAACCTCCGCCTCCTGGTTCAAGCAATTCTCATGCCTCAGCCTCCTGAGTAGCTGGTATTACAGGTGCCTGTCACCACGCCTGGTTAATTTTCATATTTTAGTAGAGACAGGGTTTTCCTATGTTGCCCAGGCTGGTCTTGAACTCTTGAGCTCAGGTAATCCACCCGTCTCAGCCTCCCAAAGTGCTGGGATTACAGGTGTGAGCCACCACGCTCGGCCTAAGAGAGGCATTTCTTTTTTTTTTTTTTTTTTTTGAGACGGAGTCTTGCTCTGTCACCCAGGCTGGAGTGCAGTGGCGTGATCTTGGCTCACTGCAACCTCTGCCTCCCAGGTTCAAGCAAGCAATTCTCCTGCTTCAGCCTCCCAAGTAGCTGGGACTACCGGTGCATGCCACCATGCCCGGCTGACTTTTGTATTTTTAGTAGAGATGGGGTTTCACCATGTTGGCCAGGCTGGTCTTGAATTCCTGACCCCAAATGATATGTAAGGCAGGCATTTTTGATTGTTCACTCTGGAATCCATGTGGAGAGTGGGTTTAAGGAGTCTTGAATGAAGGCAGGAAGATCAGTTAAGAGGCTGCTGCATTAGAAGAGGAGCGAAAAAACAGGGGCCTGGACTCAGATTTTATTGTGTCGATCATGGTAGGCAGAGTTTTAGTGGGATGGAGATGAGAGGATGGATTTGAGAAGTCCTTGAGTCACACATTTAGACTTTCCATTTTTCACGCTAGAATCAAAGTCTTAGTGCATAAAGCTTTGCACACACTTCGGCTTCATTCTCTATGATAAAGTCCTTGTTGTGGAATTTCTAGGTCAAAGAGCAGGGATAGTTTTAAGGTTCTTGTTACCTTTTGCCAAATTGCTTTCCAGAAAGACTATCAATTTTCACTTCCACCAGCAGTGCACAAGAGTGCTTGTTAGACCCTTAGGGATGAAGCCCTGCCAGAGATCGAATCCTCTGCTTCGCCCCAAACACAATGACTGCGAATAGGCTTCCAGACTACACAAATGGCACATCAGTCTGCAGGGTAAGTTGCTTTGGAGCTGACCTAGGGCCAGGGAAGTGGCACTCTCTCCCCACTCTGACCATCTTCCTTGCTGCTGCCAGGAACCTTGTTAATAGTGATTATGTCACTCCCCTGCTCAAAAACTTTCTATGGCTCCCCACTACCTAAAAATAAAAGCCAAACACCTTAGCATGGAAATCAAGTCTTTCCAAAAATATGATCTTCAGTCCACATTACCACATTCCCATAAATTCATTTATTCATTCAACAAATATTTGAGGACCCAGTATTTACCCATACAAAACAAAGTCCTTGCTCTCCCGCAGTTTACATTCTAGCAGGAGAGACAGACAATGCACAAGGCCATCTAGAGTATGTCAGGTATTTATATGTCATCCCCAAGTTAAGCAGAAAAATACAGTGATTAGAATTGAGAATGGGGGACCAGAGAAGGCCTCTAATATGGAGATGGGTGCAGAGGCCAGTGGAGGGAGAAGTGAGCCGCATAGACAGCTGGGACCTGTTCTCTCACTCACTTCCACTAGGCTCAGACCACACCTGAGCCACTAGCCCTCCATGAGCTTCCAAGTCTCCATGCCTTTGCTATTGGTTTTCTCTCCCGAAGATACCCCATCTTTTGAAATAGAAAATGTCGGCGCCCAGCTAGAATGTCACCTCTTCTGTGAAGCCCTCCTAATTCCTCAGCCACACTGCTCTCAGCACTTCATTCCATTTTCCAGTCCACCCAACTGCGAGCATATGGAGGCCCCAGGTGGTCTTTTAGCTCTCTATCTGCGGTGCCCAGCATACAACAAAAGAGATTCTCTGTTTTGGCATTTACAGATTGTCTGGGTTCCACACACACCCTCTCCAGACTACACTGTGAGTTGCTAAAAGGCAGAAATTGCCTTCTTTGGCTTCTGGTCCCCTAAGTTGGTGCAGCATAGTCTGGCACACAGATGTTTCCCAAGGAAGGGGGCACATGTGCAAGTTGCCAAAGAGTGTGGGCACATGACTAGCAGGGAGGCATATTCTTCTCTCAGCACACACAAGTGAAAATACTCTCCATCTTCTGTAGTGAGGCTGTTAGTTACCTACCCAAAGCCACTTTCCCCTTCTTCATGGCCACACAACAGCCCAGGCAGACATTTCTCAGCCTTGCTTGCAGCCAGGGAGGCCATGTGACTATGCTGCACATGGGCCATGGAGGACCAGGGCCTAGGGAAGGTAGGCAGGCCTCCTCCACCCTTTCTTCCCCCTCCACTGGCTGGAGCCCAGACATGGCTGCAACCCAACTTCAACCATGCAAACAACAATGTTCTATGATGTGGCAGCAACTTCAAAAAAACAGGATCCCAGGTGACCACAAGGAGCCGAGCTGCCCCCTCACTTGGTCTGTTCACGTTGAGGACATCAGGGCCATTACATGAGACAGAAAAACAAACTCCTCATTCTTTAAGCCACTGTATCATTAGACCCCTTCAACGCAGCAGGGCAGCTTTCCACAAAGAAATGCACCTGCCTTCATAGGGTGAGCAGAGCATCAATGAGACATAAGTCATCGTAGTCCTCAAAAACCTGTCTTGGTGCCTCCAGGAGGAATGGTGAATCCTGTTCCCAGCCAACCCCTACGATTTGGGAGTATCAGGAAGAGGGGGCTAGAAGAAGGAGGTGTGCCAGTCAGGGTAAAAACTCTATGGGGGACCGGGCTTGGTGGCTCATGCTTGTAATCCCAGCACTTTAGGAGGCTGAGGTGGGTGGACTGCTTGAATCCAAGAGTTCGAGACTAGTCTGGGCAACATAGTGAGACCCCCCCGCATCCCTACAAAAACATACAAAAATTAGCCAGGGATGGTGGCGCATGCCTATGGTCCCAGCTACTCTAGAGGCTAAAGTGGGAGGATCACCTGAGCCTGGGAGGTAGAGGCTGCAGTGAACCATAATCGCGCCACTGCACTCCAGCCTGGGTGACAGAGCGAGGAACCCATAAGGAGCAGGGGCACTGTGATCAGGGTGGGAGGGCAGCCTCGGAGCCCATGGCAGGTTTAAAAGCCAAGTCCTGCTGCTAAAGAAGGGCTGAGGAACACAAAACCAAATGCACACAAACATTCATTCTAGCCCCTCTTACGGGTCTCCCCACACTCATCCTGCTGGCTGTCACGGAGGCAGAACTGCAGAAAACAGTAAATGGGGAAGGGGCATCATCTCACTGGCTCCAGCTGCCACAGAAGCAGCAGGAACAAGGGACGTCGGGTCTTCAGCAGTCTCACGAGGCCACAGAGACCAACAGTCCTGCCTTAATTCTGGGTCTGCTACACCCTGCACCACCTCAACTCTGAACTCTGATGTCCACCAAGTTACACCCAAAGAAGGTACAAAGACAGAGGAAAAATACCGCCCCCATCCCCAGCCCCCAGGTGCCCAAATCATCTTCCCAACTATCCTGGCTCTACCAAGCTCAAGTCCCTGCCTGCCAGCTCTAGCCCACCTTCTACAACCATCGCTTCATGTTGATGCCAGGTGCTGGGCTCAGTGCTAGCAAGGAAACAGTGGAGAAGACAGGCCCTGCAGACAGGCTGCAAAGACCAGGAGGAGTTGGGCTCTGGAGCCAAGCAGAAGAGGATTCTCATTCTGACCCCAACCAGTAACTGGCCCGGTGACCCTAGCAAGCTTTAGTTCTCCAATCTGTAAAATGGAGATGAATGATGCCACACCACCAGGTGCTGGGAGAACACAATAGTCTGTGCCTGGAGCATGGAAGACACTCCGCAAATGCCCATTTCCCTCTATTGCTCCCAGATGGCCACCTTGTTGACCTGCCACAATTCATGAAATTCCCACCTTCAGGGTGAAGACACTGTCTATAAAATGTCCCGGTGGGGTAAGATGTCACTTCCCGCAAAAGATAATTAAGTGTTCTGGGCGGCTGGCAGGCAGCATCCAGAGCATCTGGTTAAGGCTCTGATGTTAATGCTCCCAGGTGCAGGCAGGAGTGGCTCTGAAGTGATATGGGTGCACAGCCCGAAGAGGAAGGCATTATAAAGAAATACGCTGTGTCAAGGACACTAAATCTTAAGGTCTGGAGATCTCCAGGTAGGCAGGGGAAGGAACGCTCAGGGATGCCTCAACAGAAGAGGAAAAGGAGACAGCGGAAAAAGAAAGGAGTCAGGGAGATGAAAGCCTCTAAAGGAGACGCAGGCAGGAGTGGCCAGGGTGGCCCTGGCCCTGCAGCTATGGCCCTCCTCTGTGGCACTCAGCCATCACACCCTGGCTCCCTCCAGACCCCTCTTCCAAGCTGCTTTGTCTTATTCCTGGCACCAAATGGCTCCTACATGTCTATCCCCACCCTCACCTTCACCCACCAGCCAGGTACAATCTAAAGAGAAAGGAAGCTAAAAGCTCTGACTTGCTGTTTAGAGAGGGCTCTCAGAATCTTGCTCATAAAACATGCTGGAGGTCAGAAAGGAGGCAGAATGTGTCTGAGCAGCAAAATGACAAGATCAAGCATCTCTGGGGTTGTGTTTCCTGCCTGGCCACAAATTTGAGATGACCTGGGCAAGTTACACACCCTGTCTCCGATCTTCACCACTCTGTAAGACAAGTCACCCAATTCAAACCCCAAGAGCTATAACAGGAAAACTTTACCTAAAGGAAACAAACTTCTCAGGCAGAACCAGTGAGTGAGAGACACAAAGGAAGCACACTTGGGCTCAGCCAAGTTCACACTGATCGGAGGGAGCTGCTCTCACAAGGCCATGGTGTGGGCAATGAGACAGGGCACAGGCACTCACTCTACAGAGAGACAGGCCAACGCATTCAGTGCGTTCAAAAGCTAGCCTCGCCCAAAGAAAGTCTGGCTGAATGCCTGGCAAGGGTGCTAAGTGGAACGACCCCACATTGCGTGGGCAGCTGGACATGACCTTTCAGGCTTTTCCAGCTCTGGTGCCCTGCCACAACACTCTGGAGTTGAAGAGGTGATCTTGTCTATGTCTTGCAGAGCTCAATTCCAATCACTGTCAGACATGCTCTTGCCACCTTCTGAGGTTTACGGAAGGGCTCCCATCTATAGAAACTTGATGTTGTGGCAGGCACTGTGGGACCACCTCACACCTCTCTGTATCCAAAGCTAACCATATGGCCACAGAAAGTCAGTATGGCAAAGAAAAAGTCAAAGGACAATCAGTCCAATGACGCAAACATCTGTAGTTCCAAGAAGCCCAAGGCCAGCTACTTGACAACAGCAGCACAAAACAGGTGCATGCTATCCCTGAAGCCCATTCTAGTGCCAGCCTCCATGCCAGAGCCTGGCCAGGTGGGTGTGTGACCCACTCCAAAGGGGGCCAGGCACACACTGCTGCCCAGCTGCTGCTGGGGGAAATCTGGACCAAACTCCGTAGCTGGGGCTTCAGGGAGATCAGGGACCCAGAACACAGAGCTCCAGGATCTGGTTAGTCTGGAGGCTGCTGCTCCTGCCTGCCTGAGGGTGGCCCTCCCAGCTTGATTTAGAAAAAGCCTCTACCAGGCTATGGCAGAAGGGCTTAACTTTTGCAGAGCCAGATCCCACTGGAGTCAGAGAGGTCGTGGAAGGCTCTGCAGCGTGTGCCCCAGCTGACGCAAGAATCCCTGGGAGTGACCCTCACCACCCCTGGAGGCTGGGCTCTCAGAGGCAGCCCGTTCCCACGTCAGACCACTCTCCTTTGGGAAAGGAGATCTCCCTCAGGGGGAACAGAAAAGTAACTCCTGGAAACTTCCACTCATGAGTGCCAGGCATCCAAGCACCTAGAAGTGAACTCAAATGCCACTTCCTCAAGCGTGCCCTCCACCAGCCAGGGAGCTGCCCACCCAGCAGAGTCTCACCTTACCAACCATCATTTGCATTGAGTTCATCACCCCTACCTGTGGAATGAAAGGCGGGTCCCAGGTGAGAAGGCAAACAAAACAAAACACTACAGATTAAATAACAAGGTTAGCTCAGAACTCAGCATGAAGTAGGCACTCGTGCTGGGGAGGCGAGATGGGAGCTGGCAGGCCCAGGGCCTCAGTCTGTGGCCCGGCTTCCCCAGCAGATCTCC
The DNA here is from genome assembly GCF_000001405.40 of Homo sapiens. NCBI lineage: Eukaryota > Metazoa > Chordata > Mammalia > Primates > Hominidae > Homo > Homo sapiens. The sequence continues at coordinate 97,521,030 of NC_000010.11, read as the reverse complement.
CTCCTCTCTCCCTCCTGCCCTCCTAGTGGTCCTCTCTCTTTATAGAACATTGTGGAAGAGATATCTGCTATGGGAAGAAGGTCACAGCAGACAGTCACCAACTGCAGCCCATGAAAACCAGACTCTGAGCACTTGCTGGCCAGTTTAGCAGCTCCGGACAGTGTCCTGGACACGGCCTCTCTCTCCTTTCTCCTGGAAAGGGAAAACACCTCCTTACCCCAACAGGGCAGAAACCGGGGTGGCCACTTGCTTATTTCCCTTTCTCTCTCCAGCTGTGCCCCTGCCCAGAGGAGGCATCTTTCTCTAATTCACCCAAAGGTGGTACATGGACCAGCAGGCAGCCCTGGCCAGGGGTGGGGACACATGAGACAAACACGGCTCCCTCAGTCCCAGTCTCCAGGTGTCAGCGTAGGTGTCTCTTTTTCAGGGAAGGCTTCCTGACCCTCCATTCCAAAATAATTCATTTCTCCTACCCCATAATTCTCTCCCAGTACCTTATTCTTACCTTTGTAGTATGTCTTACATTTTGATTACCTGAGTATCATGTGTTTCCCTGTTATTCTGTGGGACCTGGGAGGGAAGGACCGTATCTATTTTGCTCAGCTGCACACCCAGGATCAAGCACGGCACTGGGCATGGAGAAACTCAATGCTCATCTGGGCTTTATGCAGACAGATGCTTCAGATTAGCCTTGAACCAGGACCTCAAGGACCACATAACACTTTCATTTCGACAAAGCCATTGGGTCAGCCACCCAGAGCCCCATGAGGGTTTGATCCAACTGAGACAAAGCAGGTAGGATGGGTAAGAAACAGCATCCACCATCACTGACTACCAGCCAGGTGCCAGGCATTATCCCACATAATCACCACAGTTACATGATAGGGTAGGTACTACCACCATCTATGTAACAGATGAAGGAACTGAGACATTTAGAGGTTAAGGAATACTACCACAAAGCAGTAAAGCTTGGATTTAAGCTCTGCCATGGTCTGAGCCGAACCTGTGCTCTTAACCACTAAGCTACAAGGTCCCAGTTAGTAAACCAGTGGTGTTTAGTGCACTTGCCCCAAGCCCCAAGCCCTTGGGTCTTTTTTGATGCCCCATATAGTATGCACCATCCTCAGAGACCTCCAGTAAACACCTGCAGGGCTGTGGGAGACAGAATGACAGGACACATACAGTCTCTTGTTGGGAGACAGCTTCTTAGCCTCTTAAAGCACATACCCCCTTTTAATCAACATACAGGCTTCCCATATACACCCCCACCTAAAACTGCTATGCCTCACTTGAGAATTCCTGCAATATCAGGCAAGATTTTGTCCAAGTCCACTTTCTTTAATTGTCTACATTTAAAAAACAATATATTTTTCCAAAGCTAAAATGAGATTATGATCCTGAATATGCTTTTCAAATTTCACACTTGCCCCAATCCCCAGAGACTGTGATTCATTCTCCCTCTCTCTCCCCAGTTGACAATCACCACTCACGGACAATAATAGCACACAAAAGGTTTACCACAAAGAGCAGAAATGTTCCCTGTCAATACAGAATGTGTAGAACAGGCATCTTGGGGCATTTCAAGCATGCTCAGGAGAGAAGGGAACATGATTTAAGTGGAAAGATCGTCAGAGAAAAGTCAAGATTAGGCTATTATTTCTTCCTCTGTAGCCCCTTATTTGCAAGGATAATGTCGTGAAGTTCTTAAAGCTTTACGGAAGACTATAAAATGGGATGCTGGTAGGGGGACTCCAAGCAAAGAGAAATACTACAACCTCTACCATCCAAAAGTTCTTTTTGCTGTTTGGGATACAGAGAAAGGAGAACAAAGGATGGCTCTGAGAATGACACTATGAGGTCTCCTTTGAGCACGTTATTATTTGCAACAGGCAACTAGAGAAAACGAAAACTTGAAGTTCAAGTGGGCTCCGGAGATGCCTGGCCCATGGCCGTCTCCTCCTCTAGTGATTAGGAGAGTGCCCTGGGAGTCAGACTGATACAGGTTCTGGTCTGGTTCTGCTACTTACTCATTGATGATGTTGGGCAAATTACACAACCTCTCTGGGCCTCTGTGTTCCCTGCTGTGAGAGGATGATCATACAACTTACTTCATTGAGTTACTACAAAGATTAAATGAGATAATACATGGAAAAGGTTTGGTACTACATCTGGAAAACATTAAGTGAACATGGGAAGTACTTCTAAGTGTTAGCCTTATTGTGCTTATTTCTCTCCTTGTTTCCCGAGAGGAATTCAGGCAGCTGGAAGGGCAGTCTGGCAACCCTCTCATTCTCATTTCCTATTTATTGTCACAAGTGACATAAACTCTCCAGTCAACGACAAGAACAGCTGGGCAGACCAGGGAGATGCACAGCTGCTGCACTTTAGAAAAAATAATGCTCCAAGGGGTCTGAGATTGGAAACGAGCAGGCAGGAGAAGACAAAATCTGGCTTGGGGTGGGAGAGAGCAGGCAGCTCTGCCAGATGCTCCGTGGAGGGAAAATGAACAGAAATAGCCAAACGGGCTGGAGGGCAAGGAAGACACACATAGAAGCCAGGCCTTCCTGGAGAAAGGAAGCTGCAGGTGAGCTGGAGGCAGCCTCGGGCCGGTAGGCATGACTCATACAGGAAAAGTGGGATGTCGGCTGCAGAGGATAGAGGGCCTTGTCCTCGGGGAGGGGCAGCTAGGGAGAAAGAACCAGGCTGCCAGGCAGTCCTGGATGGAGCGAGGTCGGCATCAAACAGGAAGGAAGCCGCAGGTTCTCCCCTGTTGACCTCAGGTCCTCGCCTCAACCCCCATCTGCTTCCCCCAGCTCTGTGGGCCCCAAGATGCACCCAGTATTCCAGTCTCTGCCACCATCTACTGTCCCCATCTGGGTCCTCTTCCCTAGGCCAGCAGCAAAACAGGATGCAGGTTTCAGCATTCCCCACTCTCCTGGCATCTTTGAAACAAGTGCTCCAAGATTTTCTCCCTGGGAAGCAGGCCAAGGAGGCCAACACCATTCTCGGAGCGGCCCCTCCAGTTCCACACTAGGAAGTAAATGGGGTGTGTCTGTCCCCCACTCAACCACGTCCCCTATGGCCTCTTCACTTGCCCAGGAAGGAGAACACAGCCACCTCCCTCCTGCCTCAGCCCTGCTGCTGGTCTCCACACACACACAGCACCACCAGGGATCTCAGAAGCCAGTGTGGGTGAAGGGATCCTAGGCCTATGCAGTTGGTCATTCCTAGACCCTCAGACATGAGGCCTGGGCACCTGCTGTTCTCTACTCACCCCCAGGGACCGGGAACACGGTTGGCAGCAGGGTCACCGGCCTGAGATGCCCAGGAGATGGGTTGTAGTGGAGCCCATGTCCAGTCACATCCCAGGGCCAGAAAAGAAGCCTCCCTGATCCCGCAGAGGGCCACCGGGCAGTGCCATGCCACGAGTGACTGCAGTCACAAGGCTGCCTGCATCCGCACGAGACTTCCCAGTGCACAGAGCCCTGTGACATGCACAACCTCAGCCCTTCCCCACACCTCGGCAAGGGGACTGGGCAGAGACTGTCCCCACGTTGAAGATGAGGGAGCTGAGGCGACTTGGCCACTGTCACAGCTCCTGAGGGGCAGAGCTGGTGGGCCCAGGAGCCATTCTCCAGCAGCTCCTCCTCTACCCAGGGACTTCCCTTCCTGCTGTAAACATCCCCAGATCTCTCCACCCTCAGCCACCACCACCAGGCTCTCCAGTGGCGCTCCACTCCTCTAGCTGCCCATCTCTCTCCTTCCTCAAGCCCCAGTTGTGCCAGGCCCCTCCCCAGAGCCCCTACCACTGGACCCTCACTCTGCTTCAGCCAGACTGTCGCCAAAGTTCGGGACCTCCTTCTTGAAAGCGTCTTCCATACCTCTTGCCCTTCCACTCCTGACCCTCCCTTGCTGCCTGGAGTGCCACCAGGCTCCCAGGTGGTCTCCCTGTCTTCTATCCTGCCCTACTCCTTTCCCAGCTACCCCTGTCATCCTTGGAGTCCAGCAATGCCCTCCCAGGTGCCCTGCCTCTCCCTGGTCACAGGCTCCCTGTGGCTCCTCACACCTCCATGGCCCTGCCCCGCAGTCAGCATCCGAGGTGCCATCAGGCCCCACCTCTTACTGCCCTCCCCTCCCTGCACCCTGGCTTTGGTGCAGGTTGGTCCCCACTCCCCCCAGCTGTCAAGGCGTTGCTCTCCAGTGTCCACAGCATCCCCTGACTGTAGGAGATGCGAGGAGATGGGTTTCTTTTTTTTTTTTGAGACAGAGTCTCACTCTGTTGCCCAGGCTGGAGTGCAGTGGCACGATCTCGGCTGCAACCTCTGCCTCCCGGGTTCAGGCCATTCTCCTGCTTCAGCCTCCCGAGTAGCTGGAACTACAGGCGCCTGCCACCGTGCCCGGCTAATTTTTTATATTTTTAGTAGAGACGGGGTTTCACCACGTTAGCCAGGATGGTCTTGATCTCCTGACCTAGTGATCCACCCGCCTCAGCCTCCCAAAGTGCTGGGATTACAGGCATGAGCCACCGTGCCCGGCCGAGGAGATGGATTTCTAATGTCTGCCCTGCCCAAAGCCCTGAAAGGGGCAGCCTCCCAGTCAACGAGGTCCAGCCCCCTCACTGGCTGCCTGTGACCCAGAGAAGCCATCCACGGTGGCACTGTGTGTTCAACCATGGAACACGCCGACATGTAAGAGGAGAAGCCTGGGTCCTCTGTAAGAGGGAGGCCAGGAGCAGATGCTCAGACAAAAGCAGAGAGGCCACACAGCTCCCCAAAGACAGGGCCACCTCCACTCCTGACTGCCTTCCAGCCTCAGCTCCCAGGAGGCCAGGCTGCCTTGCCAAAATCCTTCCAACAAAGCCCCTTTCCCCTGAGCGAACCTGGAGGGGCTCCTGCTGACACCAGGCTTGGGGAGCCCCTGGCCCCCGCTGGTCTGACAGCCCCAACTGGAAAAGCCATGTATTTGGCAACAGGTGGGCTCTGCCGAGGGTCACTTCTTTCATTGTCTCCTTATGTGGCTATTAAATGTTCCACATAAACCCAGTTTCCTCCCTGGGACCAGAGCTCCTGATCAAAGCCTCGAGGAGCACCCGGCTTTGTGGCTGTCAAAGTTCCCCTGTTTGGAGCTGCCTCCGATCTGCATGGTATCAGGAGTGGCTCCTGCCAGACCTGTTTCATCACGTGTGACCCCATCCCTTGGCTGGAGCTGAGTAGACTGAGGGTAGAGATGTGACCCAGGCTGTGCCAACCAGACTCTCTTTCTCCCATGGGAATATGGACTTTGGACTGGGAGATCTCAGTACATCTGAGTGTGGCTGGAGCTGCAGCAGGAACATTTGGGACCGTGTGGGCTCAGGAGGGGAAAGCCAGGCTGCAGAGAAGTGAAGGAAGCTCAAAGAGAAGCAGAGATGAGAGAGAGGGAGAATCTAACAGGGTTTTTCTAATCCCTGCTTAAGGCCAGGCAGCAACCCTGCCGTGGGGTCCTGAGTCCTCCATGAAGCCCTATCATAAATCACCCTTTTTGCTTAAGCTGGATTCAGTTGGTTTCTGTTACTTGCAATCAAGGAGCTCTAACACAGCTGGGATCTCCCTTGCGCTTCTCTGCTTCTCCAGGAATACAAAGCTGGCGCTCTACAAATACTTGCTGAATGAAGAAAAACTGGCCCCACGTTCTGGCTTTCCTATATCTGCCAAAGGCACCACTGTGCTCGACAAATACTCTCTCTATAAAATGTGTAACTCAGCCACACACAACTTAAATTAAATGCTCTTTCCTTGCCTGAAATGCATTAAATCCTCATTTTCATCTCTTCTTTGGGGCAACTCAGTGCTAAAAAGAAAGGCAGGCAGGAGCAGGCAGAAAAAGAAACAGCCCTTCAACATGCAGGCCAGCAAGTCCAACTGCATCTGCAAACTGTGCTATGGCCTAGCTGCCCCAACTCCAAAAGACTCTGCCCTGAGATCTGTCCCTATGCCACACCCCCAGGCTACCCAAGATGATCATCAATGTCTCCAAAGGTCACAGAGCTTGCAACCCTGCTTATGCGTTATTTATGCCAGATCCTATGCACGAGGCCAGACTCTCTGAAAGAAACCTCAGAGGATCAGCTTGCTCAGTGGTTTTCAAACTGTGTGCCCTCTAGGACCCCAGGACATAAGTGGAACCCTTTGGGGGGCCATTCTCTCCGGCTTCAACCAGTGCAGTACCCAGTTGGTTGTACATATCAAGCTACATTGTAAGCTTACCCCAGAAAGGGTTCAAGTAGCTTTGAAAAACGGTGCAAAATTCCCCTCCCAGACCAACTCCTTCATCACTCAGATGAGGAACCAGAGATTCATGGGCTTACACAGAGAGGGCAATGAAGATAAGACGACCTTGCCCCGGTTCCTCGGGGCTCCTGACCACACTCCCACTGGATGAGTGCTGAATCCGAGGTGACCCTGCCTGCATCAGCGGAAGGGCGATGCTAACCGGCCTGAACAACGTGGAGCTGTCCTGATGCTAGTCCTCCGCTATATATAGTTTCTCCCCTGAAATGACCTCATGCAGCAGCAAAGGTTTGCAGTGTGGCAAAACCGGCTGTGTCCCCAACAACTCTAGGGGAGGAGAAATGCTTAAGAAACTGGGCAGTAAATGGAAAAGAGAGGAATTTGGGGGATGGGGAGGGATGAGGGTGGCAGGTGGGGAACAAGCTTTTGAGACAATTCAGGAGAAATTATTTCTCTGAGCCCCTGGGGCAGCAGTGGAGAATGGTAAACCTGAGACTCTCATGCAGTGGGTAATGAAAGAGTCCCAAGTCTGGGGTGGTAAAGCCAGTGCTTCGTCCCAGGCTCCCATCCTGCCTGCTCACAGATGTTGAGTGTCTCTTCTCAAACAACTACATTCATCTGCACCCCTTGAGCAAGAAGCAACAGAGGCTCCCTTTGACCTAAGCGTCCCCATATACTATTCGATACCTTCCATAATCTTGGTGGACACAACAGATTTGATCTCAATGCCTTTAAAAAAAAAAAAAGAAAGAAAGAAAAGAAAAAGAGGCACCTGTAATCCCAGCACTTTGGGAAGCCAAGGTGGGAGAAGTGCTTGTGGCCAGGAGTTTGAGACCAGCCTGGGCAACACGGCGAGACCCCATCTCTATAAAAAATACAGAAATTAGCTGGGTGTGGTAGCCCGCACCTGTAGTCTTAGGTACTCAGGAGGTGGGATGGGAGGATCACTTGAACGCAGGAGTTCAAGGCTGCAGTGAACTATAATAGCTCCACTGCACTCCAACCTGGGCAACAGAATAAGACCCTATCTCTAAATAAAAAGAAACAGGCAGATAAATACCAAATGAGAATGGAGACTCTGTCTGGGTAAGAGTACAAAGATTTTCTTCTTTGAGCTTTCTCATATCGTTCACATTTTTTACATGAGCACACATAACTTTTACAATAAAGAAGACTGTACTGCTTGCTTCTCTCCAACCTGTACCACTTCCTCAAATCACTAACCCTTCTACAAACTATGCCCACTTACTTCCAATATCTGTCCTATCCCAATCCCCCAAGGAGCAACTTGAGTCCCACCACCTTCAGAAATCTTCCCTCCGTAACTCGAGCTCCCAGGGACCTCTCTCATCCCAACTCTTGTTAAAAGGGTCTACATGTTGCCTTTGTCTCAACTTGTCTACACTGTATGACTTAGCACTTGTCTACATGCTGTCTTGTTTGAAGTGGTATTACACCTTTATTTGTCTTTGCTTCCTCTCCCAAGTAGACCATAAGCCATCTGGATGATGAGATATACATGTATAATATGTGCACACACATTTGCAGGAATGAGGCAGGGTGGAATTTTAGAAAAGGCACAGGAAAGGGAGTCAGATTTCCTGGATCGGATACCAGCACCACCCCTGTGCAGAGCAGACCACAGACAGTGGCTTGACCCCTCTGAACCAGTCCCAAGTTCTTCCAGCTGAATTCCCCAGCAATACCAATTCCCTTCCCCTAAAAGGCAAGGAAGGATTCTGTGCAAGCCTGCCAACCTCACAAGTTTTGAAAAAGAGATCATTTAATCTCTAGAATTGAGGCCCCAGGTGCAGCCTGCAAAAGGGGTCCCCATCCATCCCTACCCAAACTAGCACCAGAGGGTGGGCCAGACACATGAAGGACAGGGCCTTTGGGCGGAAGTCTCTCCTTGCACACTTGCTCTGGGCTATGGCCCCATCACAGACAAATGCCCAAGGAATGGTACTGTCAAAAGCAGCAGGCTGAACACTTCTGTCCAGGGCTGCAGAAAAACTGCTTGGTGCTCAGTGATGGATCAGACATCTAGGCCCTGAATCTTCCATGGGACATGTGTCACAGCAGGACACAGCTAGGCTCAGCTGCAAACAGGAGGGGTTAGCTGCAGATTCAAGGGCCCAATGTAGCTTTGCTTTTGCCTACTGACCCTGAAGACTGGCCCATTCTGTCCTTAGGAAGACATCATAAATAACAGTGCATACAGCATGTGGGTTTCTAAGAAATGTCATTTGGGCCTTATAAAAAGTCATACAAGCAATAAGTTATGGCCAAATAAGGCCTCCTGTCTCCTCAGTAGCCAGACATGGACCAGGCAACAGCAGGACTATCACACTGAGCCAGACCTAAATGAGCTCTTGGCTCTGTGGATCTGATATGAGAGTATAGGGGAGAAGGGCAAAGAGGAAATGGAGGAGTCAGCCTGGGGTGTAAACACACATTACAAAGTGCTGCTGTCCCCCCGGGAACTGCCTCCTCAGCTCCCCTGGACCCTTGGCTCTCTGTGTGTCTCTGTGTGGACTCTTGGATCTGCTGCCTGGGCCAGGGGCCAGGGATGGGGACATGTGGAAATAGATTTGGAAAAAATAAAAACCAACCACAGAAACTCCAGTATTATTCAGTCCGTCACTCTGAACTCCTTGAGGAGATGAACTGACTCTCCATGCTGTGTTCCCCTCCCCAACACAGTAGCTGGGATAAGGCCGATGTAGTAAATATTGAGAGGCAGTTTCCCATACTGGCTAAGGTGTAAGCCTCCAGGATACAACTCCCAGGATTCAAACAGCAGCTCCTCCACTCTCATGAGCAAGTGTCTCAACACTCCCCCCACAGCCTCAGTTTCCTCATCTGTAAAATGGACATAAATTAGGCCTGCCCTTACAGGGTAGATGTGAAAACTGTAAACAGTGATGTCAAGAATCACTGTGGTGTGCCTACCACACACATGGTAGGAGATTAATAAATTATACTGATTTCAGTGATGGCAATTCCTGGAGCTGCTGTGAAGGCTTAGGAAATGAAATGCTCATCCATGTGACAGTCTATTTTGGGGGAACAGAGCGCTTTCACTAAGTTAAAAAAAAAAATCAATGCCATGTGTAGTATCCCATATAACAGAGGACAGTGTGGTCTGTGTCCCAGACACTGCGTGGGAGGTAGGAAGAGGTGGAAGGAGGGACAAATCCATGAAGGTTGTCACAAAGTGCACTTTCTGGCACATTCGGATATATAGTGCAAGAATTGGCAGAAGTAGACTATTTGCTAGTCATGAGTGGCAGTGACATCAGTAAACCAGAGATACCTGTTTAGGGCCCAGGGAGTCCTTTGTTGAAGTTGACAGTCAGGTGGGTATTGCATGGAAGGAACCTGAGACTGATGACCCAAATATTTCATTCTCACTGTGTGTACCCCCACCCCCTCAAGACACACAGTTAACATCACTGAACCTCTCCCCTAAAGGAGAATCTCTACCTCAGTGGACTATCAGGAGGATTAGATGAGATGTGTGTAAGTACCTACTACAGTGCCTACTGCACAATCAGTGTGCAATCAGTAGCAGTATACAAGAAATCGAACAGCAATTTTGAATCTAGGTATGCGGGGATGCTCATCAAGTGCGAAAGAGGCTCTGATGTGGAAGTTTATCAGCAGTGCCTTGGAAGTTCACAGAGGAGGTATCTGCGGCTGACAATGTGTATCAGAGAAATACACAAAGCTCCAGGAAGGAAGCCCTGGGGACTCGGAGGTGTTCTGCCAAGCTGAAGATGGGCCACCACAAACAGAGGGCACTCACAGCCTTGACCTACTGGCAAGAAATGTTTCCATCTATGTGGAGATAGCCTAGAAAAGTAGCCTCTGGTTGTTGCTGAGATCAGCAAGAATTGTATGTAGGGTGTGTTGCAAGTGATTTGCTACTAATGAGAGTTGATTCAAGCTGGATTCAAGGCTATCTCTATGATAATGACACTATCTTGCAACTTGCTTCGGATTTGCCTTCCTGAATAAATGGGTCGAACAGTAGATAACCCAGGACACACTGAAGAAGTCAGGTTTTGCACATGAACTTCACTGGCCGTATATCTCAACGTAGGGGGAACTGTAAGGCTGGGGGCAGCTGGCTATAATATAGCATCAAGCATGGCGAGAATAGTAAAAATAATAACTAATGCTTACTGAGTAGGTAATATGTCCCAGGCACCATTCTCAAGACCTGATGTGCAGTAATTCATCTAATTCTTATGACAGCCCTATGGAGTAGATACTGTTATCTCCATTTCACAGATAAGAAAACTGAGGCCTCAAAATTCAAAATAACTTACCCGAGGTTACATAGCTAATGAGTTGGAGGAGCTGGGATAATAAAATGCAAATTTGTACTAAATGAATAAAACATTTGTCATAATGACCTGTCACCAAAGGAAAACTATCTTATAGATGTTCTCTTTGACAGACCTCAGATTTTACAAATCAAAGGAAATTCATGGCTGGGCAAGGTGGCTCATGCCTGTAATTCCAACACTTTGGGAGGCTGAGGTGGGTGGACCACTTGAGGCCAGGAGTTCGAGATCAGCCTGGCCAACACAGTGAAACCCCATCTCTACTAAAAATACAAAAAAATGAGCTGGGTATGGTGGCACACACCTGTAATCCCAGCTACTCAGGAGGCTGAGGCACAAGAGTCACTTGAACCCAGGAGGCAGAGATTGCAGTGAGCTGAGATTGTGCCATTGCACTCCAGCCTGGGCAATAGAGTGAGCTCTGTCTAAAATAAAGAAAAAGAAAAAAAAAAAGGCCAGGCACAGGCATGGTGGCTCATGCCTGTAATCCCAACACTTTGGGAGGCTGAGGTGGGTGGATCACGAGGTCAGGAGTTCAAGACCAGCATGGCCAACATGGTGAAACCCCGTCTCTCCTAAAAATACAAAAAAATTAGCTGAGTGTGATGGTGTACGCCTATAATCCCAGCTACTCGGGAGGCTGAGGTAGGAGAATCGCTTGAATCCAGGAGGCGGAAGTTGCAGTGAGCCGAGATCATGCCATTGCACTCCAGCCTGAGCAACAGAGCAGGACTCCGTCTCAGGGTGGGGGGAAAAAAAAGGAAATTCATGGCCAGCCCTTGTGATTGCACTCTGACTCCAAGGGATGAGCCAGAGGGTGACCAGAACAGAAGGTGACCAGGGAGGACTAGGGAGGCTATACTATGCTCCCCCTAAAAGTGGGGGTGGAACAAGGGTCAGTACAATATAAGTCATCAGTGGAACAATGAGCTTTGCGTTGTTCCCCATCTAAGCATCCGCTGTGCTGTGTGTGGGCGCCGTGCTGTGTGTGGGCACTGTGCTGATCACATCACACACACATGATCACATTTCACGCTTCACTACTCTAAATGATGTATGCTTACCCCATTTTACAGATGCAGAAACTGAGGCTCTGCAAAGAAAGTAGTGGAACCGCTGCCCTCTCTATGATTTCTGCCACTTATTCAGTCAATAACCTTGAGTATCTTAACATCCTCACCAAGTCTCAGTGTCCTCACCTATAAAACGGGAAAAATGAGTCCTGCCTTGCCTATCTAACAGGATGGCTGTGGAGATCAAATGATATCTAATACTTGAGAAAGCATTTTGAAAACCGCAAAATGCTGAGAGAAGAAAGAGATTGTTAATCTTATTAATTACGAAGAGTGACACCTGATTCTGCAAGCACTTTGCTAACATGACTCTCTGTGCCTCTTTTCCTTTGGGAATTTGGGAATAATTCAAAGTTTGCAGAGCAAGGACAATCTTTTCTTCAAGTCCCTGGCATCTGGGTGTTGGAAAGCGGAGGTTTGCTCTGGGAGAAGGAGGAGGAAACAACAATATTTGCATTCTACTTGTGTTTCTCTTTAGGAACACAATCTTGGCTGAGATTCTATTGCCTCTAGCACACCGAGCCCTCAAACAACATTCAACGCATATTTATTGAGCACCTACTATGTGCCAAGCACTTTGATCCAAGATGATGGACTCACATGGCTTCTAGGTGTGGAGGTGGTGGTCTGGGGGTGGGGAAATTAAAGGAAGAAGGGACAGCAATGTGAAAGGAAAGCAGTGGCTATAGTCCTTGGAGTTTTGCAGACTTCACAGCTGACCTACCAGCTTCTTTCCATGGGGGTGGGGTGGGAGCTGGTCAGGGCTCACAGCACAATGGAACGAGCTGTGAGCACTGGAATGAATCAACATCCTCAGGCTGAGTTCCAGCTCTGTCTCTTAGCATCATAACCACTGGCAATCCATTCATTTTCCTGGCCATCAGCTTTCCCATATGTAAAATAGGTAGGCATGTTCCCATAGGTAAAATAGGGAGAATCAAATGAGATGATGTTTGTGAAGGGATCCAGCAAAGTGGTGCCTGAAGGTGCTCAATAATAAACTCATTAAAAAACAAAACAAAACAAAAAAGCGTTCTCTTCTTCCCATTCTCATGAGGACAAACTACACACTGGCCCAAAGCGTGGGCTCTGAGATCAGACACCTGGGTTCCAGTCCCAGCTCTGCAGTTTACAAGCTGTGTGACCTTAGGCAGCAGACATTACCTTTCTAAGGCTCAGCTTCTTCATCTGTGAAAAGGTGATAACAGAATCCACCCATAGGGTGGTTGTGAGAATTAACCCAAATACTGCACGTGATGCTCCTAGTACATGGCAAACACCCTGCAAAGGTGAGCTGCTGCTAATTACATCTCTCTGAGCCTTTAAAAACAACAAAACTCCAAGTGCGCAGGCTGGAAACTAAGATTCAGGCTACTTGGTTAGTGACTGGCTGCCTAGGCACCATTCACCCTTTGCTCCTTGTCCCAAGACTTCCAGAGGAAAAACATACAAACGAGGAGTCATCCCTGTCCCTTCAGTCTCCCTCCCCACACCTTGCAGAAGGTGTTCCAGCCCCTTTCCTGCCAGGTTCCTCTCTTTTTTTTTTTTTTTTTTTTTTTTTTGAGACGGAGTCTTGCTCTGTCGTTAGGCTTGAGTGCAGTGGTGCAATCTTGGCTCACTGCAACCTCCGCCTCCCAGGTTCAAGCGATTCTCCTGCCTCAGCCTCCTGAGTAGCTGGGATTACAGGCACGTGCCACCATGCCCGGCTAATTTTTTTTGTATTTTTAGTAGAGACGGGGTTTCACCATGTTGATCAGGCTGGTCTCAAACTCCTGACCTCGTGATCTGCCCGGCTCAGCCTCCCAAAGTGCTGGGATTACAGGCATGAGCCACCGTGCCCAGGCCAATTTTTTTTTTTTTTTAATAGAGACGAGGTCTCACTATGTGGCCCGGGTTTTTCTTGAACTCCTGGCCTCAAGCAATCCTCCTGCCTTGGTCTCCCAAAGTGCTGGGATTATAGGTGTAGGCCACCATGCCCAGCCTCTATGCACAATTCTAACACACTCAGATGTCTGTTTTCCCAGAGATTTGGAGGGACTGCTCTTTGAGCCCAGCATAAATGATCACTACATGATAAACCACTTCACACTCATTAGGATGGCTATTATAAAACCAATCCAAACCTAATCAACAAAAAGCAGAAAATAACAACTGTTGGTGAAGATGTAGAGAAACAGGAACTCTTGCACCCTGTTGGTGAGAATATAAAATGGTGCAGCTGCTGAGGAAAGTGTTATGGGGGGTTATTCAAAAAAGTAAAAATAGAATTACCTTTTGATCCAGAAATTCCACCTCTGGGTATATACACAAAATAACTGAAAGCAGAGACTCAGAGAGCATTCACCTTTTGCTCCTGGTTTGCACACCCATGTTCACAGCAGTATTATTTACAATAGCCAAAAGGTGGAAGCAACCCAGGGGTCCATCAATGGAGGAATGAATAAGCAAAATGTGGTATATACATACAATGGAATATTACTCAGCCTTAAAAAGGAAGGACATTCTGACACATGCTACACCATGGAACCTTGACAACATTATGCTAAGTGAAACAAGCCAGCCACAAAAGGAGAAATACTACATGATTCCACTCATATGAGGTATCCAGAGTAGTCAAACTCATAAAAGAGAAAGCAGAATATCAGTTGCCAGTGGTTGGGGGGATGAAGAAATGGATAGTGCTTAATGGGTAAAAGAGTTTCAGTTGGGGAAAATGAAAAAGTTCTGGAGATGGGTACTGGGATGGTTGTACAACAATAAATACAAAGAATGTACTCATGCTACAAAACTATAGACTGAAAAATTTGCTGTTACATACAAGTAAATTTTATGTCATATCTAGGTAACCACTTAAAAAAAAAGAAAAAGGAAAGAAAAAAAAGAGAAGTGACTACTGTCTACCAGGCAGAAGACACAGCAATGATTGTAGGTGGAAACATGAACCCCCAAAGCCCAACAGCTGGGAACCACGTAGTTTGGGGCCCACTGCCCTAGAGTCTCACAAGCCCCGTGGCCTCACACTACTATAAGCACAGTAACTGACCGGGTAGGACTGGCTCTTCCCACTCAGAGCCTTGAACAGGATTTAAGAGCCTTCCTGCAGTGCCAGTGTTGCTACTTGGAACCTTGAGGCAGGGCACTCCCGGAGTGGGCTCTCCCCCAGCAATTTCCCTCTGCCCACCACTAGGTCCCTCCCCCACCCCAGGTCTCTTCTTTGGGAGGTAACACTTTTGAGAGAAAGAACCTTTTGTGGTCCCACTCTCACCAAGCAGGCGCTCTGTACACACCGGTATGAACTCAACAACCCCTAGTCCCAAACCAGAGGTTCTTTCTGAGCTGTATATTAATATTTTGCTCAGAAGCATATCATTCGTTTCAGAAAGATTCCCATCCAAAAATAGTTTTTAAACATTTCTTTTATAGTTTTGCTCCTTAAAAAAGAGTAAGCTTCAATGATCTAGTGGGAAAAATCACTGGCTATGGCTTTTGTGTGTAAAAATCCTGGTAGCTTGGAATAATAGAAACTTTCTAAGATCACAAAATCTCTTTTCATCCAGGGTCTCACTTTAATCTTACAACCTCTCTGAAAGGTGATCAGGGTGGCAGTCACCTCATGGCACAAATGGGGAAACTGAGGCTCAAAGAGATCAAGAGGCTTGTCCAAAGTCACACAAACAACTAGGAAGGAGCAGAGACCCCAGGCTTCATTTTCCACCAATGCCAGATGAAACTCTGTGTTGGGACCTCATATCTGAGCACACTGTGTAGCCATGAAAGTAATTTTTAAACCACCATTAGCTTATTTTATCTCCATAACATCTCTGTGAAGGAAACTGGAAATATTATCTTTTTAAAACGGGGGATCAACTGAGGAAGAAACAAATGACCTGCCCAAGATTACCACTCAAGAAAGTGGCAGAGACTAGACCTCCTCTCCTTTGAATACACTTGACCTCAACCACTTCCCTATAATATCTTGACCTCCACACACTCACAACTTAAAGGAGCACATGCAGTTTTTATGTAGGTTGCACCATGTTTCTGTGAACTAGGCAGGGGACAGACATACCTTTGTTCTCTTTCTAATGGCTGGGTAAGAAAAAAGAGGTTATAGAAATCTTTAGGTTCCTTTTCAGCTCTAAAATTCTATGATTCTAAAAATTCTCCAGCAAGTTGATGGGTAAGAGATGCCTGGAATCCACATCACCTAACTTCCTCCCTTGTAGTCTATTAGGCCACCCTATCCCTGCCCTGCGAGTTAAGGACTACAAACATCACGTGTGCCTGGAAGAGGGGGGTCCACTCTGACATAGGTGCACACATAAAATGGCAAGAAGGTGCTACTGCCTGGTTAGGACCCCAATAGTGAGCTTCACTTTGCCCTCCTGCTTCAGCCCTGGTATCTCCCAGCAAGAGGCACCCAAACCACAGGAGTCATATATATCCCAGGTATCTAAGAACTTACGCAAGCCTGGGGCAAGAGAGAAGCCAGTCCCAGAGATAGAACACCACTCTGAGGTTGCAGTTTAAGTCCCTTCATTAAGATACCTGCCTTAACACCCATCTAAGGTAGGAGATCAATCAGACGTGTTCACTTATGCTTTTCTATAGACTTCACCAACTCTAGTTTTATCCAACAACTATTTACCAGGCACTGCTCTTGGTATCACAGAGTGAACAAATAAAAATCTCTGACAACATGGAGCAAGGGGAGACAACCAATATCAGAGGATGACATAAGCAATGGAACAAAATAAAACAGGAAAGGGAGGTACATAATGCCGAGAGCAGGTGATAGAGGGAAGGGGATAATTTTAAATGAAATGGCCTGGGAGGGTTTGATTCCTTAAATAGGAGACTGGGACAAGGAGAGAGAGGGACCCATTCAGATATCGGGGGGTTGAACAAGGTGATGGAGAGCATGAGATGGCTTAAGAAAGGTGAGCAGGTGAAAATCATATCATATCTTGTAGACCAACACAAGAAGTCTTGAATGAGATGCAGTGTCACAGGAGGCTTGAGCAAAGGAGTAATGAAATCTGACTTACAGTTTAGAGTATCACGCTGGCTAGTGGGATGGAAATAGTCTGTCGGGAGACAAGGGAGGAAGCAGGAAGGTGAGTTCACAGGCCAGTGGTAGCTCAGACCAGGGTGAAAGTGGTGGAGATGGTCAGAGTCAGGTTCGGGACATATTTAAGGCAAAACCAACAGGATTTATTGATTAAATGGATGTGAAGTGTGAGAGAAAGGGAGAAGTCAGGGACGACGAGAATTTTAGGGGCCTTGGCAAGCGGAAGGATGAAATCATCATGAACTGGGATGGGAAAGACTTTGGGAGGTACAGGGATGGGATGGGGGTTCATTCTGTTTTGGACACGTTAAACTAGGAAGCCTTTTAGACAGCAGGTGTGGTGAGCAGGCAGCAGAATATCCAAGGCTGAAGTTGCAGAGAATGGGCTGAAATTATAAATGTGGGAGGAGTCACCAGCATATATAATACTACATAATTCTATGTATGATCATGTGTAATTTGCATGACTATGTGTTTACTGTCTGCCCCCTACAAGACTGTAAGCTCCATGTGGCCAAGGACCACGTCTGTTCACAGCCAGCAGGGTGCTTGGCACTCAGTACATACTTACTGAGCAAATGGAGAAGTTGCCCAATTACTCCCTCAAGAATAGCCACACAGCCCACACAAGAAGCAGACTCTCTTGCAACCACAGTGCCAAGCCCAACCAGCCCCAAACAGGGCCCTGGGTCTGTCCACCCCGAGCTTGAGATTCCAGAACGTAAGTGGATATGCCTGGCACATCACAGAGTCAGATATTTGGGTTTCAGCCCTGCCACATTCTCAAAGGGTGGAGCTGGGCAAGAGACTTGCCTGTTCTACCACCTCTACCTCTCCCTGGAGTGGCTGGGGGAGAGGCTGCTTCACCCAGTTCATGGGCAGAGATATTTATCTACCTAGTGTACATGTATGGGGTGGCAAGAGCCCCCACCAAAGGAGTAAATCCCCAAGTATTCTCCGAAGCATACAAGAACCACCCAGCATCTGAAGGAGAAGAACACAGACCTACTGGGGATGCATTAAGAGTAACAATCCAAAAAAAATTTTTAAGGCTGGGTGTGGCGGCTCACGCCAGTAATCCCAGCACTTTCGGAAGCCAAGATAAGAAGATTACTTGAGGCCAGGAGTTTCAGACCAGCCTGGGCAACATAGCAAGACCCCATCTCTACAAAAAATAAAAAGTTAGCTGGGCGTGGTGGTGCACACCTCTAGCCCTAGCTACTGGGAAGACTGAGGGGAGAGGATCACTTGAGCTCAGGAGTTAAAGGCTGCAGGGAGCTATAACTGCACCACCATACTCCAGCCTGAGCGAGAGAACAAGACCCTCTCTCTCAAAAAAAAAAAAATATATATATACATATATACACACATATATATACGTATATATATACATATATACGTATATATACGTATATATGTATACACACATACGCACACACACACATATGAGTGACAATCACAAAACTTGATGAGACGAGAGGACCTCTCCCTTCTCCCTAATGCAAGAATCCCTGACCAGACAGTATTGTGTCTCTGCTTTGTCTACCAAGTGACTAAGAAGGCAGAACTAAGGACAAAGGGTGACATTACAAGCCATAAAGATTTCACCTCAATAACTTTCTCGCTTTAAACAGCTGCCTTTGTGAAGATGATAAAACAGCTCTAATGATCTTGTATAACCCTCCCCCTTTCTGAAATATTGAAAGTGTGACCCAGAAAGGTTAGATGACTTGCCCAGGGTCACTGAGTTATAGGCCCAGGACTAGAACTCAGGTCCTAGCTCCCTGTTGAGGCTTTCTTCCCATTACATTAGTGCCAAAGGAAGGTAAGAGTTACAGTGGCGCTGGGGGAGTTTTAGGCATTAGTCTTACAACGTAAAACTATGTCCTTGTCAAAGGAAAAGCCACAGATGTTACAGGAATGCCAGGTGCACTGTGGAGTTAAGAAGGATTCCTTCCCTTGTACCAAATTTGTCATCCTACAGAGTTCCCCTCGGCTTTGGACTTTATGAATAAAGCTATTCATAGTAGGACCCACAGAACTAAAGCAATGATAAACTAGCAGGTAAAAAAAAAAATGCAGATATATGAAAAATGCAGATGGTAGGATGAAGTTGAGTTTGCTTTCTAAAATCAACAAATACTGAGTGCTACTTCTGTACAACTCATTGTGTTAAGTGCTGAATGTGTGTGTGTGCGTGAGAGAGACATATACTACAAGGATAAGACAGAACCCAGGTCTTCAAGGCTTGCAATGTAGTTGCTGATAAAAGACTGTAAACATCAAAGACATGATTAATAATACAGAGTACATAATTGTTAAGTAAGTGGCATAGATAATGTGTCTGCAGGAGTTCTCAGAAGGAGCAATCACTTCCACGGGGTGTGTGTGGTGGGGTGCGGAGGGAGGGGGAAATGGCAGACTTGTCAGGCAAGGTGCTTCAAACAAGGCACGGCACTTGAAATGAACCCAAAGGATGAAAGACTCTCGATAAGAAGGAAATGGCACGAGCAAACACTGGTGGTCTTAATGTCAGAGAAGGGAAAGAAATCAGGACTTAAAAGAAAGGACTGGCCCACACTTGAACAGCCTTGAAAGTTAAAGTACTTGTAGGAGTGGGAAAATGCAGAAAGGTGTTTTGTTGTTGTTGTTGCTGTTGTTTTGTTTTTTTTTGAGACAGAGTCTCGCTCTGTCACCCAGGCTGGAGTGCAGTGGCGCAATCTCAGCTCACTACAACCTCTGCGAAACTTCCAGTTCAAGCAATCTCCCTGCCTCAGCCTCCTGAGTAGCTGGGATTACAGGCGCCTGCCACCACCATGCCTGGCTAAGTTTTGTATTTTTAGTAGAGACAGGGTTTTGCCATGTTGGCCAGGCTGGTCTCGAACTCCTGATCTCAGGTGATCCACCTGCCTTGGCCTCCCAAAGTGCTGGGATTACAGGCATGAGCCACCACGCCTGGCCAAGTACAGAAACATTCTGAACACAGAACTATAAAATCTGGAAGAAGTTAATTTAACAAATGTCTTCTGTGGGGACAACTGTGTGTAGGACTGAATGATGACTGAAGATGAAGTTGCCTTTGGGGGGTACCTCACTTCAGCCTGAGACAAGGGTTGACTTGAGGTGAGAAGGGTACAAAGTAGGGTGGCAAGGGGCAGGTTTGCAAGTCCCGCGGAAGGAAGACCCAGCAGACCCCAATGACTGGCTGAGAGGCAGGCGACAAGGAAGCAGAGAAAGTCATGAGAGAAAGAGCTCTTCACAGCCTAAAGTTAGGCAGCTGGAAGAACATAAGAGTAAAGAAGGAAAGCTGGTGGACAGGGAGCGATGCAGAGCCTGGTTTTGGAGGTGTTAAATCTGGGAATATCTATATCACAGTGTCCAGTGGGCATCTAGAGATGGGGTTCTGGGGTTCAAGAGAGAAGAGCTGAAGTTTAAGCATAGGGGTATTCCCAATGGACAAAGAGTTGTGGGACTGAACAAGATTTCTCTGGGAGAGAGTGTAATGAGAGAAAAAACAGAATGTCAAACTTAAGCACCAGCGTGCCCCCAAGCTAGAAGGTGATGGTGGAAAGGGGTGTTCAGAAAGGAAAACCAAGACAGTCTGATGCCAAGAAAGGAAGGGGGGGAATGTCTCGTAGGAGAGAGTTGTCAACAGCAAAAAATGCTGCAAAATCAATTATGGGGCCTGAACACATATTTGTTGAACAAATGAATGAATGAAAGCAAGCCAGCCCTTGGTTTTGAGAGTCATCTCTCCTCAGCCAGAAGAATGGCCAGAGTTACCTTCAGACAAGAGAATTTCAATAAGTTTTACTGCATCCTTCCCATAAAAACACATTTCTGCCTCCACAAGTCATCCTGTCCACCATGCAGACATCCTTCCCTGCTTCCCCTGGTTCCCCCATCTTCCTTCCCAGTTTCCGCAACCCAAGCAACACACCTTCGGTGTCAAGGGAGACAGGAAACTCCAACTAGAGTTTCCACTTCATTAACAACTCTGCCTGTGGCTCCTCTTACATAAGGGGATATGTGGCAATGGGGTGGGAGAGGAGGCTGAGTTCTAGCCCCAGGTGAGCTCCTAACTAGCTGTGTGACTTTGGACAAGGTGTTCAACCTCTCAGGATCTGGGCTTTGACACAGAGTAGGAGATGGGTCCATCTGGAATCCAGACAAGTTTGAGCTCTCAAGTCTACGATATTATTCCCAGCGGGTCCTTGCAACACCCTCAAAGAAGGAAGTGAGTGTAAGACCCAGAAAAATGACCGACAGACCTCTTCCCGGGGCGAAATGCCAGGGCAGGCGGGGTGTACCATGAAAGTGAGAAAGCGTTGCGCGGGCCTGGAGGATCACCAGCGAGCGATCTCACTCCCAAAGCTGGGAAGGATCCCAACAATCCCAAGGGTGACTCTCACCCCGCACCCCATCTTTTATAGACTCCCAGACGGCCGAGAGGCTCTAAAAACCCCTGCGGGAAAAATAAAGATTTCTTTCCCAGAGTCCTGCGCTGCTTTGCAAGTCGGATTCCCGCAGACACGATCTGCAGCTCGATAATGACACAGTCTTTGGAAGGAGCGACTGTTCTCGCCTCGCTCGCTCCGAGTTCTGGGGACGCCTGGCTGCCCGCGCCGTGCCCCGACGGGCCGGCGTCCGACCCCGGCCGGAGCTGCCAGGCCAGCGGCGCCCTCGCCCCCGGCCTCCTCCCGATCCGTCGGCCCCGCTGCGGTCTGCAAACATTTCCTGCCCCCACCCCCACCAGGAGCTACCCAGTTGGAGAGAGTTGGTCGCGCAGCCGGCTCAGTGCTCGCAGTTGCCCCAACTCAGCTCCCCCGGCCGCCCGGCGCTGGGGAGCGGCCCCCTCTGGCTGCGGAGCAGCCCATCGGGGAAACCCAAGCGCCAGCACCAGTGGGGAGTCCATCGGTAAGCCCAGGACTCGGGCGAGGAGGGGGACAACTGGCGGGATGCCCGAGGCCCTGCTCCCTTCCCCATCGTTACCTGCTCGCTTGCGGGGGTGTCCCGGGGCTGCCGGCCTCTCCCGGCGCTGTCTCCCCACGCAGTTGCCCATGCTGGCTCCTCAGCCAGTCCCCATGCACCGGAGGCGGCGGGGTGGTCGGCTGCTCAGCGGACGGCGGCGTCCCGGGTCAATGGCTCCGGCCGCCCGGCATCGGGCGCTCCCCGATCTCCCCCCGGGGGCGCGCTCAGCCCCAGCGATGGCTCCGCCAAAACTTTGCGGGCCAGGGGAGAGAGGGAAGTGGCAGACTCCCCAGCACGGTCCCAGGTGGCCGGGCCAGGGGGGCCCGCGACGGTGCCCGGCCGGAGACCAGCTCCGCTGGAGGGGCGGAGAGAGGGGGCGGGCACCGCCGCAGCTACTCCCGGCTCGCTCGGGGCACCAGGCAGGGGCCGGCCCCCTGGAGCCTGTCACTCACCTGCCTAACCCCGCCCCAGGCCGGCCCCTCTCCCTTCCGCCGGCTCGCGGTGCCCGCGCCGCCGCCACCACCCGCCCCAGGTGCGCATGTGACCGACAGCACCGCCCCCTAGGGCTGGGCCTGATTTTCTCATTGGCTTCCCCCGTGGTGCGTACCGCCCCTCTCCCCACCCAGCCAGGTGCCCGCCCCGCAGCCCGTCTCCCGGGGAGCCGGGCTGGGAATTATTCGCCCTCAATCGCCTCCGGCTGCGTGCCCAGCAGCCGCCTTCCCTCTCGGTGCCACCGCCCCATTTCAGGCCCCGCCCCTCCCTGGAACTGCCTAGGCAGAAGCCGGCAGGCACGTGACCCCGGCGCCCCGCCCCCTTGCGCTTCCCCGGAGATTGGCTCGGGAGGCGCATGCGCGGAGAGCCCGTCTCGAGCCACCGCCCATATCCCCTCCCACGGTCTCTAGTTCGCGTTATGGCCGCTGCCGCGGCTGTGGAGGCGGCGGCGCCTATGGGTGCCCTATGGGGCCTCGTGCACGACTTCGTCGTGGGTCAGCAAGAGGGCCCCGCTGACCAGGTGGCTGCAGGTACGGCAGACGGCGCCGCGCGCCTTCCGCATGGGGGCCAACAGGAGGGAGCGGCCTCAGTACAGGCGCCGGGCGGGAAGGGAGGAGCGGGGTGACTTTGAGAGATTGGTCTCAAGGCTGGTTAGTGAGCACCGCGAGGTTCAGAGCCGTAACAAGTTAGAGAGTTGCCTGTGTCTTCCTTAAAACCATTTACACTTCTCATCTCCCTGTAGCCAATTATAGGGAATCATTACATTTTACAGATGAGGAAACTGAGGCTCAGCGAGGGCAAGAGGACTTGCGCAGGGCTGCAGACCAGGCAGGAGGGGGAGGTGGGACTCGGACCCAGGCGTTCAGGTCCGAACCGGGTGCTCACGCCACGAAGCCATGCTGTTTGTGGGAGGTTGACGTGTGGAGGTGCATCCTCGCAGCGTCCGCTCCCGTCGCGTGGCATCCTGGGAGTGGCAGATGGCCCCGCGCTCTGACTGGCTGGAATTAAGAGGAGTTGAGGAGACGGGCCAGGAGGAGCTGGAGATGTTCTGGGTGTCCTCCTTAAGACTTTCTCTCCGTTTCTTGCTAAAGTTCTTGATTAGTTTGCTCCATGACGTTTTATGTGGCGTTTGTTTTTGTCTTCTTCCCAGACCCCCACTTTCCTGCTTTTGACCAGTTCAGAGATCTCTTAGTTCAGACAGCTTATCTAAAATTAGAATAAAACGATTTCCAGGCTTCCGTGGAGTTCTGAGACTTTGCTCTTCTAGGAAAAAAAAAAAACTACTAAAAAGTTATTGAATGTTAGGAGGCCTTCAGATCTTGGGTTTAAGTAACAATATAAAATTATCTAATGAGTAGTTTTTTTAAAAAAACTTTGGAAATTTCGTATGCTTGGAGAGAAGTAAGGACACATTTCTCTTGGATATTGAGCGTATTAACCTTTAGAATATGTAAGAAAAGAATAGTGAATCTGCTAGAAATATAATACTTTGTTCGTTAGCAGTATTCCACTTTAATTCAATCATGCCACTATTGTTGAATACATATTATTCCCCAAACATGATGCAAAGCAATAGGAATATAAATACAAATTAGGTTAGATCTGTGCCCACCAGGAACTTATAGTATGCTGGGAGAGGCAACCATTCTGTAAGAGGTGTGTGCAGCGTAGTTTGGAAGCATCAAGGAGCAAATACCTGGTGCTGCCACCAAACTTAACATCTTACAATTTTATGAAATGTAGTGTGTTATCAGTGTTTACAATTTACAAGTACAGTGTCTTACCAATGTCATTTTCCCTCATATTTTATTATGAAAATTTTCGAATATCCAGCCAAGTATAAAGAATTTTATAAGGAGCACATCACTTAGGATCTATCCTACCATTAACATTTTAATATTACTTGCTTTATCATATAGCTATCCATCCATTTAAATTGCAGATACCTGTACACTTTCCTTTAAATACTTTGGCATGCATGTCATTGACTAGAGTTTGTTGACGGTTTATTTTGATGTAAAATGGAATATATAAACCTTTAAGTGTACGTTCACTGATTTTGACTAATGCATACACCTATACAATCCAACCCCCTACGAAGATATAGAACATTACTATATCAGTGTCATTTGTGATGAGTCTTTCACATTTATGCGATACGAAAACAATAATTTTGGATTTTTTTTTGATTCAGAACATATTTTGAAAAGACATCTTGAATGTCTTATCTTGAATAAGGACTTATCTTGAATAAGGACTGCAAATTCTTCTCTTTTTTTTTTTTTTTTTTTGAGACAAGGTCCCTCTCTGTCTGCCAGGCTGGAGTGCAGTGGTGAAATCATGGCTCACTGTAGCCTCGACCTATGCTCAAGCAATCCTCCTGCCTCAAGCCTCCCGAAGTAGCTGGGACAACAGGGAGTGTGCCACTGCGCTCGGCTAATTTTTGTATTGTAGTGACGAGGTTTCACCATGTTGCCTAGGTTGGTCTCTAACTCCAGGACTGAAGCCATCCTCCCATCTCAGCTTCCCGAAGTGCTGGGATTACAGGCATGAGCCACTGGGACTGCTAAATTCTTACAAACGTTTTTGCAAAATTTATATTTTTGTTTCTTTCTGAAAAAAAATGGTCTAAACTGTTGCTTAATTTGAATTCAACTCAACTGATTTAAGACTGTAACACTAGCCCTGTTGTAATTTAGCCCTCCTAAGAAAAGAAAGTTGGTGGTGGGCACAGTGGCTCACGCCTGTAATGCCAACACTTTGAGAGAACAAGGTAGGCGGATTGCTTGAGCCCAGGAGTTTGAGACCAGCCTGGCCAACATGGTGAAACCCCGCTCTACTGAAAATACAAAAATTAGCCAGGCATGGTGGTGCATGCCTGTAATCCCAGCTACTCAGGAGGCTGAGGCTGGAGAATCGCTTGAGCCTGGGAGGCAGAGGCTGCCGTGAGCGGAGATCGCGCCCCTGCACTCCAGCCTGGGCAACAGAGCGAGACTCCGTCTCAAAAAAACAAAAAGAAAAGAAAGTTGGTACAAAGGAATAGTAACAGATAAAAGTTGAAAAGGTTTGGTAGGGTTGGATTGTGTATAACTTTGGATTCCAGGCAGAGAAATTTGAATGACCTGTTATCTGTACTAAGAGTTGTTGTAGATCCTTGAGCCAGGGAGCCATAAAATGAAAACAAATTTGACAAGGATTAAGTTAATATTGTCAATCTTAGATCACAGCCCTAGTTAGGGTTGTTGAAGGATAACAGAGTGTTGAAGCGTTTATAGAATAAGATGTGCTTTCTAATCTTTCAGCCTAAATCAAGCTTTGTTAGCGCTAAAGGGACCAGCTAGCTTCCTGTTCAGTCACTCAGAGTAGCAGCCTGCAAATTTAAATGCAGAAGGAGCACCCTTTGATCACAAAAGCAGCTGCTGCCACCTTTGTTTTGTACCTGGGTTCCTGGTGAAAGTGTCAGCTGTAAAGAAGCTGCAGGCGATGGGAGGGAAATAACCTGGCAGCCTAAGGGTTAAAGGCCTCTTGGGCAAGCCTTCAAAGCCTGCCACTACCTGGCCCCAGCCTTTTTTTCTCACTGCTCCCTGGACGTTTAATTCCAGGCAGCCACCTTTATTCGTAGTTCCCTGAGTGCTTTCCTTCCCAATTCCCTTCACTAGCTCTGTGTAATCGAAGTTAGACCTGAGAGTCAAGGCCCAGCTTGAGTTCCCTACCCCTCCCCAAGGGTTTCCTGATTAACCCAGCCAGACAGCATCTCATACGTCAGAATCTTTGTAGTACGCACTTATTTCTCAACCACTCATGTATTTAGTGGACTAGTTTAGTAGCTGTTGCTGTATACATCTCCACATCCTACCCTCCCAGTTGTACCACCAGAATCTCCTGAAATTGGCATCAGTAGGTACACAATAAAAACTGCTTGAGTGAATGCAATGAGAAATGTTGAAGGAAGAATCTGTGGAATTTGAGTTCTAACTAGTTATTATAGGGCTTGAAGGAGATAGAGGACTCTAAGAAGACCCCAAGGTTTTGAACCAGAGGATGAGGAAAAGAAATACTTTGTCCAAAATTAGGACGAGAGCTGATTTTCAGAGAATGTGATTTTTGAACACGTTGAATTTGCAGGTGATGGATATAATTTTTTTCCTTTTAGTTATTTGGATTTTCCTTCATTTCAGTCTTTATTGTATTGTGTTTTTCCATGTTTGTGATTCCCTAAGAATACCTCTATTCCTTAAGTCAAAGTATTAAAGAACAGTAAAATACAGTTTAGTGAAATATCTGAGGCATTATCAGCAGAAAGGGCATTTTGAGAGCTTGATTGGAACTTAGTCCTGATTGGGATTTTTCTCTCTCCTGCTCCTTCTCATCCTCCCACCCTACCCGCTTCCCCTCACTTCCCTTTGGCTGCTAGTCCAGATTCTCAAGAGGCTTCAACTCCATCAGACAGAGATCTGTTTGTGCATTCTGTGTCAATGATCACATGAATACTCCTTTGACTTCTCAGTGCCCCCACACAAACTGGTGCCTTGCTAAGGAAAGTGTGGGTAGTTAGGAGGTGCTAGTAGGTCCATTTTTAAGAGCAAATCTTGAACGTGTTGGAAAATCTTAGACCCTCCTATAAAGGGAAATGAACTTACACTGATTTTTTCCTTGATACCAGCGAAAATACCGTTAGGAAAATTAACTCTCTGTTAGCTTTCTTCATCCCAGGAGTCCAAGTGCATAATTAATAGTATTTCCAGGTATTACGGGTGTGTTGTTGTTGTTGTTTGTTTGTTTGCTTTTGAGATGGAGTTTTGCTCTGTTGCCCAGGCTGGAGTGCAATGGTGCGATCTCTGCTGACCGTAACCTCTGCCCCCCAGGTTCAAGTGATTCTCCTGCCTCAGCCTCCCGAGTAGCTGGGATCACAAGCATGCATCACCACACACGGCTAATTTTGTATTTTTAGTAGAGATGGGGTTTCTCCATGTTGGTCAGGCAAGTCTCTAAACTTCCGACCTCAGGTGATCTGCCTGCCTTGGCCTCCCAAAGTGCTGAGATTACAGGTGTGAACCACCATGCCAACCCTGGTTATTTTTAATTTTGGATAATTTGCACCATTAAAAGAATTAATCACTTAAAGTTAGTGGCCCATGGTCCATAAACCCAGGAATTTTACTTCTTTCTCATGCCAACCCAATCTCTGTTTATATCACTGTGGTAACACAGAACTTGTTACACTGTGATTGTTTTATTTATTTATTTTAGAAGCAGGGTCCACTCTGTTGCCCCAGCTGGAGTGCAGTGTGACCTCGAAGAACTTCTGGGCTCAAGTGATCCTCTGGCCTCAGCCTCCAGAGTAGCTGAGACTACAGGCCCGTGCCACCACACCTGGCTAATTTTTTTGTAGCGAACAGGGCCTTGTTTTGTTGCCCAAGGTGGTCTCCAACTCCTGACCTCTAGCGATCCTCTAGCCTCAGCCTACTGTGATTGTTTTAAATGTCTTTCTGGGCTAGGCATGGTGGTTCATGCCTGTAATCCCAGCACTTTGGGAGGCTGAGGTGGGAGGATTGCTTGGGCCCAAGAATTCGAAACCAGCCTGTACAGTATAGTGAGACCTTGTCTCTACAAAAATCTTTAAAAATCAGCCCAGCATGGTGGTGTGCCTGTAGTCGCAGCCACTTGGGAGGCTGAGGTAGGAGAATCACTTGAACCCTGGAGGGAGAGGTTACATTGAGCCAAAGATGGCACCACTGCACTCCAGCCTGGGTGACAGAGCAAGACTCTGTCTCAAAAATGAATAAATGAATGAATGTTTGTCTTTCTGCTCCAACAGACTATGGACTTCCCCAAAACTCCCTGCCCATATTTCTATCTTAAGCCCTAACATGGTACCCTATTTATAATATTCAGTAAATGTTGAATGAAAACGAACATATGGCTTTTTTTTTTTTTTTTTTGGGAGATGAAGTCTTGCTCTGTTGCCCAGGCTGGTGTGCAGTGGCGCGATCTTGGCTCACTGCAACTTTAGCCTCCTGGGTTCAAATGACTCTTCTGCCTCAGCCTCCGAAACAGCTAGGATTACAGGCCCATGCCATCATGGACAGCTAATTTTTCTATTTTTTTTTTTTTTTAGTAGAAACAGGGTTTCATCATGTTGGCCAGGCTGGTCTCAAACTCCTAACCTCAAGTAATCCACCTGCCTCGGCCTCCCAAAGTGCAAGGATTACAGGTGTGAGCCACCATGCCTGGCCACCATCTTCCTTACTTTTTTTTACGGTCTTGTAATAGCTTTATTATCTCATTTTTCTCTAATTTTTTCTTTCTTTTCTTTTCTTTTTTTTTTGAGACAGAGTCTCACTCAGTCGCCCAGGTGGGAGTGCAGTGGCTCCGTCTCCACTCACTGCAAGCTCTGCCTCCTGGGATCACACCATTCTCCTACCTCAGCCTCCCAAGTAGCTGGGACTACAGGCGCCCGCCACCACGCCCAGCTAATATTTTTGTATTTTTTTTTAGTAGAGACAGGGTTTCACTGTGTTAACCAGGATGGTCTCAATCTCCTGACCTCGTGATCCGCCCGCCTCGGCCTCCCAAAGTGCTGGGATTACAGGCGTGAACCACCGCGCCCGGCCTCATTTTTCTCTAATTTTTTCTACTTTTATACTTTTTTTTTTTTTTTTTTTTAGATTGAGTTTCACTCTGTAGCCCAGGCTGGAGTGCAATGGCATGATCTCAGCTCATTGCAAACTCTGCCTCCCAGGTTCAGGTGATTCTCCTGCCTCAGCCTTCGGAGTAGCTAGGATTACAGGCATGCGCTACCACACCCGGCTAGTTTTTGTGTTAGTAGAGACAGGTTTTTGCCACGTTGGCCAGACTGGTCTCAAACTCCTGACCTGAGGTGATCCACCCACCTCGGCCTCCCAGAGTACTAGGATTACTGGCATGAGCCACCGTGCCCGGCCTTATAGTCACTTTTATGTTTGTGCTGCATTAATTCAAGAATTTTGTGAAAGCTATATGAAGACTAAAGGGCTTTGCCAGGAGAGTTCACCCACATACTGGGATTCAAGGAACCACATGCAAATGGCTATTTATTTGTAATTATAAAGCAGCCATTTTCATATTAATGTATGCAGAATGCCAAAGAAGCATTTTTCTTTTTTTTTCTTTGAGACGGAGTCTCGCTCTATCGCCCAGGCGTGATTTCGGCTCACTGCAACCTCTGCCTCCCAGGTTCAAGCAATTCTTCTGCCTCAGTCTCCTGAGTAGCTGGGACTACAGGCGCATGCCACTACACCCAGCTAATTTTTTAATTTTTGGTAGAGATGGGGTTTCACCATATTGGCCAGACTGGTCTCGATCTCCTGACCTCATGATCCACCCACCTCGTCCTCCCAGAGTGCTGGGATTATAGGCGTGAGCCACCACGCCCGGCCTTTACCTCAATTTTTTTAAAAAAATGAAAAAATAGAAGGTACTGAATGGGCCCTATTTGGCACTTCTTGTCTTAGAGCCTTCGTTCCAAATATAGACCCTAGCCTGACATCCACAGAGGGTTTTGATGGTATTGCTGAAGAAAAATGATTCAGTTCATTGATATCCTTTGCTATTAACAGTTGTTAGTCCCCTATGGCTTCATCTGTACAATTATTAACTCCTTCTGTGCCCATTATTGAAATTAGTTTTTAGATGGGTTGTTTCAGCAGAGTTTTCTGTACTATAGCCAGGCTGTTCCAAGAAAGTACCCTTTTCTACCTTCCCAAATGTTGCAATGCCCTTTTGTGGTTCGTAACCCAGAAATAGGTGTTTCAGTTCATGTAAGTGTTGCCATTAAGGAATTGGGTATAGAACCCAACTTGGTTTGTTTGGCCTGTTAGTCTGGCTGCTACCCCTTCCCCCACCCTTACAGTCTGCTCATTTTTTCCCTTGGCTCTTTCTCAGGAGCTGGGGCAGCAGCTGGGCCTTCCACATCCTGGCACAAGTGGGCTAAGAGTGCCTGATGTCTAAATTGGTGCCAGTCACGAGCTATAAGTCCTAACTAGAGCTCTCATTTTCCTCAGTCTCATTGGACGACTTCTTACTGTGGTGCTAGAGTGAGCCTCTGCCCAGGTCAGCTCATAACTGTTGCTGTGAGACCACAGACTTTAGGAGAACTGGAAGTTTAGGATTTCTTCAGACCTCTCTTTCACTTTTTCCAGCATTGGCACAAGCTGACTAGTTAAGGTTCTGCATTTAGAGGTAGGTGGATTAGGAACCCAGAACAGGCTGCTGGAAGTAATTCTCTGGTTGTCACACCTTATTTAGCTATAAGTGTTCAATGTGAACCAAAGCCTTATGAAGATTGTTAGCCTTTTACCCTGTTTCTCCCTTGAAAATACATTCTAAGATGCTTCTCTTCAATATATGTGAGTTACTATTGTGCTGCTAAAATTGCATTTAAAGGCCAGGTGCAGTGGCTCACATCTGTAGTCCCAGCACTTTGAGAGGTCAAGGTGGGTGGATCACTTGAGCCCAGGAATTTGAGACCAGCCTGGGCAACATGGCAAAACCCTGTCCCTACAAAAAAATACAAAAATTAGGCGGGCATGGTGGTGCATGCCTGTAGTCCCAGCTACTCGGGAGGCTGAGGTGAGAGGATCACTTGAGCCTGGGAAGTCGAGGCTGCAGTGAGCCATGATTGTACTACTGCACAGAGCTAGACCCTGCCTCAAAAAAAAAATCCAAATAATATAGGTAGATACTCCTCCCTCCAGGAGGTGGAGTTTAATCTTCCCCTCCCCACTGAATGTGAGCTGGACTTAATGAATACCTTACAAATAAAAGAGTACCAGAAAGAGAAAAGTAGTAACTATAGTGCAGAGACCTGGCAGACATACCTTAACCAAGTGATAAACATTAACATTGCCAGTGATGGAGAAGCCATGTTACTATCTTATATCCCTGATATGATATGTTGAGAAGGGTACTTCACCTCTGTGATATTCTTTTTTAAAACCCATAACCCCAGTCTAAACATGAGGGAAACATCAAACAAATGCAAATTGGGGAACCTTCTATAAAGTACTTCTTTAAAACTATCAAGGTCATGAAAAACAAGGAAAGACTAAGAAACTTTCACAGACCAGGAGAGACTAAGAATTCAAGATGACTAACTGCAATTTGGTATTCTTAATTGGATCCTGGAACAGAAATTTGGCATTAGTGGAGAAACTATTGAAATCTGAATAAAGCCTAGAGTTTAGTTAATAGTGTGTATCAGTGCTAACCTAATCTCTTAGTTTTGACACTCGTACATAGTTTCACAGATGTGTGCCATGTAAGACGTTAACATTAAGAGAAACCGAGTGATGGCTATACGGGAACTCCGCACTGTCATTGCAACTTTGCTATAAATGTAAAATTATTCCAAAATGAAATATTTCTTTTAAAACAATAGTCTACCTCTCAACCCTTAACTATGCATTTTCCCTCCCTGAAGGCAACAAATGTTATTAGTTCCTTTTATATCTTCCAGAGATGTAAATAAATGCAAATAAAAACAATCCCCCCTCCCTTTAAAAACAATGCTACGCACATATTATATACACTGTTTATACACACTGTTATTTTAGATCTTGACTCATTATCAGTATATATGTAGCTTCAGTCTTTCTTCATTTGTCTTTTTAAAAGTAGCTACAGGCCCGGTGTGTTGGCTCATGTCTGTAATCTCAGCACTTTGGGAGGCCAAGGCAGGCGGATCACTTGAGCTCAGGAGTTCGAGACCAGCCATAGGCAACATGGCAAAAGCCCCATCTCTACTAAAAATACAATCCAGCCTGGGCAACAGAGCAGGATGCTGTCTCAAAAAATAAAAATAAAAAAGATTAAAAAATAAATAAAAGTAGCTACAGAGAATTCCATTGTATGGATGTACTATAATTCATTTAACTGGTTTCTTATTGATGGGCATGTGTTGTTTGCAGTCATTTACTGTTACGAATAATGCTGTATTGAATAACGTTATACATGCATTATTTTGCACTTTCACAGTACAGTTAGCCCTCCATATCTGTGTGTTCTGCATCCTTGATTCAAGCAACTGCAGGTCAAAAGTATTTGGGGGAAAAAATAGCAACTGTACCAAACATGTATAGACTTTTTTCCTGTCATTATTCACTAAACAATACAATGTAACAACTATTTGCGTAGCACTTAGATTGTATTAAGTATTATGAGTAATCTAGAGATGATTTAAAGTATACAGGAGAGTGTCCATAGTTTGTATGCAAATACTCTTACCATTTTATATAAGGGTCTTGAGCATCCACAGATTTTAGTATCCTCAGGAGGTCCTGGAGCCAGTCTCTCATGTATATACCAAAAGATGACTAGATAGCTAGAGGATAAACTTCTAGCTTTCCTGGGTTAAAGCCTATATGTACCTGGAATTCTAAAGATGTTATATTGCCCTCAATATAGGGTTGCACCAGTTTATAATCCTACCTACAATGTTTAAGAATGTCTGTTTCTGAATATCATGACCAAACATAATATATTGCTAAGTTTTTTGTCTTTGCCAGTCTGTTAGATTTTCTTAAAAAGTTTCTGTGTAGTTTAATTTACATCTTTTATTGTAAATATGGTTGAGCACCTTTTCGTACATACTTGTAGTTCCTTTTATGTGGAATGCCTGTTCATTTTTTTGTTTTTGCCCATTTTGTTTTTTTAATTTTATTTATTTATTTATTTTGAGACAGATCGTCACTCTGTCACCCAGGCTGGAGTGCAGTGGCACGATCTCGGCTCACTGCAACCTCTGCCTCCCGGAATCAAGTGATTCTTGTCCCTCAGCCTCCCGAGTAGCTGGGATTTACAGGCATGCGCCACCACACACATGTTTTGCCATGTTGGCTAGGCTGGTCTCAAACTCCTGGCCTCAAGCAATCTACCTGCCTTGGCCTCCCAAAGTGTTGGGATTACAGGCATGAGCCACTGTGCCCAGCCTGTTTTTGCCCATTTTAAATTGTTGCCCTTTTCTGCATTGATTTGTGGGAACTCTTTATATATCGGGAAACTGGCCTTTTGTTATAAGACTTGTAATTTTTTTTCCCAGTTTGTCCTATGATCATTATTTTTGCCTTGTAGAAAATCTGACTTTTTAAAACCAATCTTTTAGGGCTTCTGAATGTTATCTTGTTCTTAGAAATTTTCTCATATTTAGGCCAGGCGCGGTGGCTCACGCCTGTAATCCCAGCACTTTGGGAGGCCAAGGCCAGCAGATCATGAGGTCAGGAGATCGAGACCATCCTGGCTAACACGGTGAAACCCCATCTCTACTAAAAATACAAAAAAATTAGCCGGGTGTGGTGGTGGGCGCCTGTAGTCCCAGCTACTCAGGAGGCTGAGGCAGGAGAATGGCATGAACCCGGGAGGCGGAGCTTGCAGTGAGCCGAGATCGCGCCACCGCACTCTGGCCTGGGCGAAAGAGCGAGATTCTGTCTCAAAAAAAAAAAAAAAAAAGAAATTTTCTCATATTTAAAAAACATATTTTGGTGAAAGATTTAAAGCCAATGTTTTTGTTTGTTTTCCAAATTGGTTCCAGGACAATCATTCTAACACTATTGAATAGTCTTTATTTTTCCCATTAACTGAAATAGGATTTTAAAAATCATATTCTCATATGTATTTGTGTCTCTGGACTTTCCATTCTATTTTTGCACCACTGATTTCTTTGAATATGAATTGAAACTGCACTGGTTGTTTTTTATTTTTATTATGGAAAATTACAAGTATATTCAAAAGTGTATACTTTTTATTTTTCTTTTTTTTGTTGAAAGTGTACACTTTTAAAATGTGACCATATAATAATCTCTTAATATCTGGAAGGGCTACCTTCTCCCTGATTTTCTATTACTCCTTTTCACAACTTGCCTGTCTTAATTTTATATATATATATATATATATATATATATATATGGCACTTTAATTTCAGGATAAGCTTATCTAGTTTCCAAAAGTATTCTGTTAGTGTTTTTATGGCGATTATCTTAAAATTACAGATTGATTTGGGAAATTTGTCATCTTGAGTCTTTCAAAGATATGAGATGCCTTTCTATAAAGTTTCCTTTTCAGATCTTCATTAGTGCTTGTTTTAAAAAACGCTTTTACCAATTTCTCCCCATTTTCTTCTGTACTTTGCAGCCACCATTCTACTCTCTGCTTTTGTGAATTAAACTTTTTTAGATTCTCCATATAAGTGAGATCATAGGATACTGTATTTGTCTTTCTCTTCTGGCTTACTTCACTTAGCAAGATGTTCACCCAGGTTCATTTGTGTTGTCCCAAGTGGCAGGATTTTGGCCTGGCACAGTGGCTCACGCCTGCAATCCCAGCACTTTCAGAGGTTGAAGTGGGCGGATCACCTGAGGTCAGTAGTTCAAGACCAGCCTGGCCAACATGGCGAAACCCCATCTCTACTAAAAAATAAAAATTAGCCAGGCATGGTGGCATGCGCCTGTAATCCCAGCTACTTGGGTGGCTGAGACAGGAGAATTGCTTGAAACAGAGAAGTGGAGGTTGCAGTGAGCTGGGATCACACCACTGCACTCCAGCCTGGGTGACAGAGAGACCCTGTCTCAGAAAAAAACAAACAAACAAAAAACACCAAGTGGTAAGATTTCTTTCTTTCTTATAGCTGAATAGTATTCTGTTGTATATGTGTACACACACGTCACATTTTCTTTATTGATTTATCTGTTGACACTTAGGTTGCTACCAGATCTTGGCTACTGTGAATAATGCTGCAGTGAACATGGGAGTACAGACATCTCTACAGATACTGATTTCATTTCCTTTGGATATGTACCTAGTAGTGGGATTGTTGGGTCATATAGTAGTTCTATTTTTAATTTTTTAAGAAACCTCCATGCTGTTTTCCATAATGGCTGTACTAATTTACATTCCCACCAACAGTGTACAAAGGTTACCTTTTCTCTCTCTCTTCACCAGCACTTGTTATCTCTTGTCTTTTTGATAATAGCCATCCTAGCAGGTATGAAGTGATATCTCACTAGTGCTTTAAAATTTTCATCGTCTAGGTGCGGTGGCTTATGCCTGTAATCCCAGCAATTTGGGAGGCAGAGGCGGGTGGATCACCTGAGGTCAGGAGTTCAACACCAGCCTGGCCAACATTGTAAAGCCCTATCTCTACTAAAAATACAAAAATTAGGGCCAGGTGCAGTGGCTCATGCCTGTAATCCCAGCACTTTGGGAGGCCAAGGCGGGCGGATCACGAGGTCAGGAGTTCAAAACCAGCCTGGCCAACATGGCAAAACCCCATCTCTACTGAAAATACAAAAATTAGCCAGGCGTGGTGGTGGGCACCTGTAATCCCAGCTACTTGGGAGACTGAGGCAGAAGAATTGCTTGAACCCGGGAGGCGGAGGTTGCAGTGAGCCAAGATCATACCATTGCACTCCAGCCTGGGTAACGAGAGCAAGACTCCATCTCAAAAAAAGAAGAAAAAGAAAAGAAAATACAAAAATTAGCCAGGCGTGGTGGCAGGCACCTGTAATTCCAG
This sequence comes from Homo sapiens, assembly GCF_000001405.40. NCBI lineage: Eukaryota > Metazoa > Chordata > Mammalia > Primates > Hominidae > Homo > Homo sapiens. The sequence continues at coordinate 97,485,259 of NC_000010.11, read as the reverse complement.
GTACTCGGGAGGCTGAGGCAGGAGAATCGCTTGAACCCAGGAGGTGGAGGTTGCAGCAAGCCGAGATCACACCATTGCACTCTAGCCTGGGTGACAAAGGCGAACTCCATCTCAAAAATAAATAAATAAATAAAATAAAGTTTTCATCATTCAGATTTTCACATTTTTTATTAAGTTTATGTCTAGGTCGCACGCAGTGGCTCACATCTGTAATCCCAGCACTTTGGGAGACTGAGATGGGAGGATCATTTGAGCCCATGAGTTCAAGACCAGCAACATGGTGAAACCCATCTCTACAAAGAAATACAAAATACTTAGCCAGGGGTAGTGGCACATGCCTTTGGTCCCAGCTACTGGGGAGGCTGAGGTGGGAGGATCACCTGAGCCTGGGAGGCTGTGATTATACCACTGCACTCCAGGGTTCAAGTGATTCTCCTGCCTCAGCCTTCTGAGTAGCTGGGACCACAGGCACATGCCACCACGCCTGGCTAATTTTTTGTATTTTTAATAGAGACAGGGTTTCACCGTGTTAGCCAGGATGGTCTCGATCTCCTGACCTCGTGATCTGCCCACCTCGCCTCCCAAAGTGCTGGGATTACAGACATGAGCCACCACACCCGGCCAAAACAAAAGTTTTTATGTAGTGTATTTTACCATGATTTTTAAAAATGAGTGAAAAAGTTTATATCCAGGTATTTTTTTGGTTTTTCTTTTTTCGCTATTATAAACAGGGTCTTTTTCCTTATATCATTTTACAGGCTATTGTGTATATGTATATATATGAAGGTTTTAAATTTCATAATATTTTGTATCCAGCTAATTTAACAAATTATTTTGTTTGTGATTTTTTTATTTCTCTTGGATTTTCAGGATATACGCTCATGTCATTCACAAATGATATATTTATTTTCTTTTCAATTTTTATACAAAGCTGCATATTTGAAGTGTTACAGCAATGCTGCTTCTCATCTAGGAGGGCTCTTGGCAAATATAGTGGGCCCCCAGGTACAAAGCCTAGGGCAGGCAGGAAACATTATAATTAGTGTTATTCAACCCTTTGGTAGGTTTTTTTTTTATTTTTCATATTTATTTATTTTATTTCCTGCAGATGTGAAATCTGGCAACTATACAGTGTTACAAGTTGTGGAAGCCCTTGGGTAAGAGCCTCTGCTATAGAATGTTCTTCTCCAACCCTGACTGTGTATTCTGAAAAGTTACTTTTGCGCATTGCTGCTTTCCTGGAGCCTGAATTTGTCTTGTAGCCCAGCAGCCCCCTTCCATATTAGTACCTCAGTCTAAGCCTATATGTTTGAATTGTTTCTCCTGAAAAAAGTTTCATGCTGTCTGGCTGAGGCTTCTTTAGTATTTGGGAGCACACAGCCTGTAGGCCACATCAACTCCTGGCACAGCCCATGGCTTTGGGATGAGGTACGTGGTTGAAGGCCATCAGCTGTTGTTGATTCCTTTGTGCATCTGTAGACCCACCTACCTCCATGGGATGCTAGCCTGCCTAGACCTGACTCAGAACAAGCTGTGGGCCCTGTGTGGGGAGTTCCCAGGAGGCTGACCCTGCTGCAGATCCCTACTAGGAGGAAAGGCTTTGGGAAACAGCTGATAAAGCAGTGTTACAGCTTGGGATTCTAAGCACTTAGAGGAAGTACGTGCTTGTAGTCTAATGCCTACTTTCCTCGTATTTCATAATTGGTATAGACCATTTAAATTGACAAGTCTTATTAGTAAGAGTTGTTAATTGTGACAGCATGTCTTCTAAAACAGAAAACTAGAAAACTGGGGGAAATTAAAAAACAAAGTCACTGTTACACATTTCTCCCACATAACAGACTATTTGACCTTTCTGCTCACATTGTGGTGGCCTTGGTCCATTAAAAAAAATATATACAGTATTGGCTGGGTGCAGTGGCTCATACCTGTGATCCCAGCACTTTGAGAGGCCGAAGAAGGTGGATTGCCTGAGCTCAGGAGTTTAAGACCAGCCTGGGCAACAAGGTGAAACCCTGTCTCTACCAAAAATACAAAAAATTAGCTAGGCGTGGTGGCATGCGCCTGTGGTCCCAGCTACCCGGAAGGCTGAGGTGGGAGGATCACTGGAGTCTGGGAGGTGGAGGTTGTGGTAAACAGGTCATGCCACTGCATTCCAACCCAGGTGACAGAGTGAGACCCCCATCAAAAAATATATATAGGCCAGGTGCGGTGGCTCATGCCTGTAATCCCAGCAGTTTGGGAGGCCGAGGTGGGCGGATCATGAGGTCAGGAGATCGAGACCATCCTGGCTAGCACGGTGAAACCCCATCTCTACTAAAAATACAAAAAATTAGCCGGGCATGGTGGCGGGCGCCTGTAGTTCCAGCTACTTGGGAGGCTGAGGTAGGAGGATGGGGTGAACCCGCGAGGCGGAGCTTGCAGTGAGCTGAGATTACGCCACTGCACTCCAGCCTGGGTGACAGAGTGAGAGTCCATCTCAAAAAATATATGTGTGTGTGTGTGTGTGTGTGTGTGTGTGTATATATATACACACACACACACACACACACAGCCTTATTGATGTATGATTCACATATCATAAAGTTCACCATTTTAAAATGTACAATTCTGTGGCTTGTAAAAGTATATTTACAGATTTGTGCAATTCTCAGCACAGTCATTTTGAGGACATTTTCATTACTCCAGAAAGAAACCCATGCCCATTAGCAGTCATTTCCCCTTCCCTCTTCTTCCCAACCCCCAGCAATCACTAATCTACTTTCTGTCTTCTATGGCTTTGCCTACTCTGGAAATGTCATATAAATGGAATCACACACGTGACCTTTGTTGCCAGCTTCTTTCACTTAGCATGTTTTTGGGGTTCATCCATGTTGCAGCACACATCAGTTCTGCATTTCTTTTCTTGCTGAATAATATTCCCGTTTTATGGATATGCATATTATTTAATCATTTATCAGTGGACGGACATCTGGATTGTTTCCACTTTTTGGCTATTCCTAATAATGCTGCTATGAGCATTTGTGTGCCTTGTTCCATTTTTAAATGCTCCAAATGCATAATTTTCTTTTTTTCTTTTTCTTTGAGACAGGGTCTCACTCTGTTAATCGAGCTAGAGTGCAGTGGAGCGATCATGGCCCACTGCAGCCTCGATCTCCTGGGCCCAAGCCATCCACCCACCTCAGCCTCCCAAGTAGCTGGGACTACAGGCTTGTGCCACCATGCCCAGCTAAGTTTTTGTATTTTTTGTAGAGACAGGGTCCCACTATGTTGCCCAGGCTGGTCACGACTGCCGGGCTCAAGTGATCCTCTCGTCTGTCTCCCAAAATTCTGGGATTACAGGTGTGAGCCACCACACCCAACCTGAATGCACAGTTTTCTACTTCCTGAGTAGAAACCTTTCTACAGGTTTTTATCCTGGGGATCCTGTTAAGAGTGACCTTATTTTTTTCCCCTTACTCTGAGTTATATACACTCTTACCCTTGAGGTTCAATACAACTGTCATGGCCAGAACTCTTCCACTTTCTGCTTGTTGCTGCTTAGATTATTTCTAGTATGTTTCAGTATAATCTCCGTAGAGCAATTTTGAGGATAAGTCACTTCCTTGTTGCTTCAGTCCAGCTTCTCCTATATCAATAATCCTACCTAGTTAACTAGTTAAAGCTATATTCTGGCCCTCTTACTTTGTAACCTTCCAGTTATAAAGTTTTGGTTTTTCATGTTTTCTTTTACTCTAGGAACTTGGTGGTGATTCTGAGCAATTTTTTTTCCTTAGCATTAATTTACAGAAATACACGTATTCTCCTTGTTTTGGTGGAAGCTGCAGCTGCCAATCATCTCTCAAACCCTGTGGGTAGCTGCTAAGCTGTATTTCAGAGGAATGTCACAATCATACCACTGGGGAGAAAGAGTAAGCACAGTGCTTATTAGGTGCCAAACTGGGGTACCTGGAGGCAGAAACCTCTGTTGGCTCTTGGTGTCACGTGTGCCTCTAAATGATGCCACTTCAGTCTGAGGATCGCTCTTAAGCCTTCTGTCCTTACTGGTATCTGTAATGCCGTTACCTCAGGAACACCTTCCTGGGCTGTTTTTACTCTTAACAGGGCTTGGCTCTGCTTCCATGCCCAGGGGGTGAGTGTGACTAATGTAAAATGTTTATTTCTTCAAACATTTGAACTGGGTAATTGCAGGTTCTCTCTATCCTGTTTTCCCCTAGGTCCTCTCTAGAGAATCCAGAACCCCGAACTCGGGCACGAGCAATCCAGCTTTTGTCACAGGTGCTACTCCACTGTCACACCTTGCTCCTGGAGAAGGAAGGTACTGGTGTCACTAATAGGAATGTCTTCCTGGATTGCTGAGCCCAGGTCTCCCATGTCTATTCAAGCCAACTTTACAGGCAGGGAGGGAGGGCTTAAAGTATCTATGAACTACTAATTCAAGGTCTTCATTCCTCACTGGTATATGTGGCAGAGATGATTAGAATTGAGACACAAGACACATGGATTTCAATATAAAACGTTAGCTGGGCATGGTGTTGGGCGCCTGCAGCTACTTGGGTGGCTGAGGCAGGAATCGCTTGAACCCAGGAGATGGAAGTTGCAGTGAGCCGAGATCACGCCACTGAACTCCAGCCTGGATGACAGAGCGGGACTCCATCTCAAAAAAGAAAGACACATGGATTTCAAATGTAGCCTTAGACTGTTTTTTCAGTGTATTTTTCCCACTCCGTAAAATGAACAGAGCAGTATTTCATAGGTAAAGATGAAAAGTAATGAAATATCGGCATGCTTTGAGGTCCTGAGGGGGAAAAAGGACAACAACTTATTTATCTTGTATAGCAGGGGTAGGCAAACTATAGCCTGGTTTTTTTGTTTTGTTTTTTTTGTTTTTTTGGTTTTAAGGAGCAGAGAGTTTAATAGGCAAGAAGGAAGGGAGGAGGAAGAAGCTCCCCTGTACAGAGACAGAGCGGGGCTCCAAAGCCAAGAGAGGGAACTCCGCCTGCCACAGATACCAGCTAGGTAATATATCCAGAAGCTGGAGGAGGCGGTGTCTGATTTGCATAGGGCTCGGGGGATTGGTTTGACTAGGCATGTCATTCACATAGCCGGCAAAAAAGCTGGCCCTCCTACCCGAGCCTTTTAATATGCAAATGCAGGGCACCATGATATTCTACACATGTGGGGATACATGGGGGCAGCCATGTTGCCAGGAAGGTGGGGAAAGGGCAGGAACGCCATGGGAATCGCCATATTTGGGTGGACCCAGTTTCTAATGGATTTCATTTGCATATCAAAGGTTGCGGCCTGGCACTAAGAGCCAGGGCTTTACAGGAAACTTTTCTGGAGATGCTTTTAAAAACAAAAACTTCCCAAGGACCCCTTTTCCTCTCTATTTGCCTAAAATAATTTCTTTCTTTTTTTTTTTTCTTAACTGTTCAAGGTTTATTGGGGGTTTTAGTTGGTATAACACTTGGATAGTTGGTTGCATTGTTTATATGTAGATGTTTTTACATTATATGGTAATGTACACTACTGATATAGTTCACAAAATAAGATCCTTTGGAAGAATTATGCACAAGACATATGATATTAGATTTATACACTGGATCCCAGGATGTGACTGATTGGGAAAAAATGTTGGACTAGGCATGTTCAGTGAAGGAGCCAGGAAGTTATATAACACACAGTAAACATCCACCTGGCTCAAGGGGCAAATGCAGCACGTAATAATTTCTTAATAACTCCTACAACATTCCCCCCTGTAGAGATGCCACACTAACTGCTGTTACGGGGTTTGGGGTGATGACTCCTGGCTACTTCCTACTGAAAAGGGGCGTCGAATGGGGAACAGCAGCAAGGGCTCCTCCTGGGGTTGATCTAAGGGTCCTCACAAGAATGGCGTGTCAATGTGAGGTTCAGTTTACAGTACCATTTGGAGTTTGATTGCTTCAGTCTGATGAACGAATTTCCTTTCCCAGCCAACACACCAAAATGATACGGCTCCAATGAGTGGAGGAACACCAGGGTTCTTGGTCCTCATGCTGGTTTAGATAAAACGACACCGACACACATGAAGTGGTTTTAAGTAGCGGAGAGTTTAATAGGCAAGAAGGGGCAAGAAGGAAGGGAGAAGGAAGAATCTTCCCTGTATAGAGGCAGAGGGAGGGAGGGCTCCAAAGCCAAGAGAGGGAACCCCTTTTATTTGTTTTTTGGAGACAGGGTCTCACTGTGTTGCTCAGGGTGGCCTTAAACCTCTGGGCTTAAATGATCGTCCCACCTCAGCCTCCCTATAGGCAAGCACCACATGCCCAACCTACAGCCTGTTTGGGGGTATATGTGTGTGGGTATTTGTGTTTAGTATAATATCATCTATATAAATTTAAAAATAGATACACAGAAAAAATAATTTATGTCACACATTAAAAAAAACACATCATACACCTGTTTTTATAAACTTTTATTGGAACATAGCTACACTCATTTATTTCCCTGTTGTCTATGCTACTTTTTTGTTAAAACAGCAGAGTTGAGTAGTTGGGATAGAGACCATACCCTGTAAGCCTATATTTACTGTCTGACCCTTTAGGAAAAAATTTGTGAACTCTAGTTCTGTAGAAAGGCAGTTTTGGGCTGAGAATGGGTTTTACTGTGGACCTGTATGAGAATGGATATTAAGAAATGTTCCCCTATTTTCCCGACTGATCAGGTGTCTACCTTCAAATGGGAAGGCACAGGACATGTCTCTTGGTGAAAGAGAAAATTTGTAGTGGAACCCAAACAGAAACAACTGTTATAGACTTAGGGAAGGAACAAAGCTCTTGGGCCCTTCTCGTGCCTATGTCAACTAATGGCTGAATCTGGTTTGTGCAGTGGTACACCTGATACTGTTCTATGAGAACCGGCTGAAGGACCATCATCTTGTGATCCCATCTGTCCTGCAGGGTTTGAAGGCACTTGTGAGTTTTCCTTCATTTCATTACATAACTTTGTTCAAGGGAGCCCTTGTCTAGTTCTCTCCTTGCGCTTTGGGTGTGATGGTTCACATGCTGAGGAGCAGGTGCCCAAGTGTGGGACTAAATTAGTGTTACCAGCTCTACTTCCGTTTTCCCTCTAGAGAGTAAAAGTGTACTTTGGGGGACTGGAAACCAGAGCCATCTGGAAAGAGCTGCAGAGAACTCATCAGCTTGAGAAAGAGTCTCACTATTAGTGCTTCTTCCTCAACCAGGATGCTGTGATTCTTACAGTAGCTAATTAGGCCTGTCGTAGGGTTGTGTCTTGGAGGCCATGCTGCAATTCCTTCGGTATTCACGTACCTTCTCCTCTCCCCCAGAGCCTGTGTGTGGCCCTGCCCCCAGGGCTGGCTGTTTCTGTGCTTAAAGCCATCTTCCAGGAAGTGCATGTACAGGTGAGGGATAACAGTCATGTTGGTATTCTCCTCTGTCTCTACCCCTTGACATAACTGGGATTCAATAGCAAAAATTATTGCCTTCTAAGTTCTGAATTCTTTTGGATCTTGTGAATGTTTTTATGCTCTTCTTCAGTATGTTTATATGCTCATCTTTGTTATTGGACAAGGAAAGGGGTGCATGCCATTAGATCTGACCTGTGTCCTCTTATACCTACAGAAAGTAAGGCATCCCTCTGTCAGGCAGGTTTGAATTATTGGCACCACTGCTGTGCTGCTGAGTCAATATCCATACCCTTTCTCTGTAGTTTCTCTTAGATTGATCTTATGCTGGTATAAAGAGCACTGTTCACTTAGAGATTATGAAGCAGGAACTAGCTGTGTCAGCTGAGGTATTCTTTGAGCATTTTCTTCACTTCTTTCTCCCCCACCCCCAAGTCCCTGCCACAGGTGGACCGACACACAGTCTACAATATCATCACCAATTTTATGCGAACCCGGGAAGAAGGTAAGAGACAGAGCTTTCTGGGAAATGTCAAAAGCAAGCACATCCTACTTTTTCCCCTATTAGTAGGACTCATTTTACCTGGGGTTATATAGAAGAGCTGGTATCCTGAGAGAGAATGATAAAGGGAAAGAGGGGGTCTGCTCCCTCCCAGTGAAGTAAAGAAAGGGTAGAGTTTGTTTGAGCCAGTGTTTTAAATTCTTGCCTCCACAGCAATGTGTATATTGTTGCACATCTCTTCACTGAGTACTTTCTTGGAATGGAAAAAGGGTCAGCCCTGAAGAGAAAGGGGAGGCAATGATAGCAGAGGGAGAACACAGGCTAGGAGAAAGCCCACACTTTCTGTGCTGTGGGACAGTATAGTAACCTTATTCTCTCCTTCCCAGAGCTAAAGAGCCTAGGAGCTGACTTCACCTTTGGCTTCATCCAGGTGATGGATGGGGAAAAGGATCCCCGTAATCTTCTGGTGGCCTTCCGCATCGTCCATGACCTCATCTCCAGGGACTATAGCCTGGGTATATCGTGGTAGCCATGATTAGCTCATTGGAGCTTTATCAGATGAGTGAAGCTGATAAACCAACCTCATTTTTTCTCTGTTGCCACAGGACCCTTTGTGGAGGAGTTGTTTGAAGTGACATCCTGTTATTTCCCTATCGATTTTACCCCTGTAAGTAGCACCTTCATTGTTTGATCATATATTTATTGAGTGTCTGCTATGTGCCAAGCCCTGTTCTGGGCACTGAGGGTACAGGTCACCAAAATAGACATCCCCGCCCTCATTATTTTATATTTTAATAAACTAGGAAATGGAAAAGCATTTGACATATGAGGAATGATTCAAAGCAGCATGTATTGGGGGGAATTCTTAAGCTCCTTAACACTGTATTTAGTGCTGAAGGCTACAGGATTGCAAAACACTGTCCCTGCCCTTGAAGGCTGAAACATTTAAGTAACAATAGGAGATTAGGTAGGAAAATGAGTAGTACTATAGCTGTTCAGAGAAGACAAAAGTTCAGTGTGAGCTAGAGTAGGCAGGAACTGACTTCACAGTTAAGATAGGATTTCAGCTGGTTTGTGAGGGATGCAGAAGATATGATTCTGGAGTTGGACAGGGCATCTCAGGCTATAGAAACAAAGTGACAAAACAAAGAAGGCACAATTGTGCACAGTGTACAGAAGGTATTTGCTCTGACCCTCTTGGGCCTTCCTCCCATTCTGCAGTTGAGTTCCCTTCTACTGCCAAATACTCAAGAGTTTCATCACCGTGTGGGTGTGTGTGCTGCAAGCATTAGTGGTTTGAAAGAAATAAAAGGCATTCTATTGCAGCATGCCAAACAGCATATTGACTCTCACTGCCTTTATAATGACACCACCATCTTTGCTGTAGGGAATTTCTTACCAGCTTATTTCAGTTGACATTATGTTACTGGGGACCACCTGTCTCCTGAAATGAATCTTTTTATCTCTTTCATAATCAGAATTCTTATTCTAACCCTATACCCTTGAAATCTTGAAAGATCCTGGTTTAGCTCCCACATTCTTCTGTTTTTACTTTGGTTTTTTTGGTGTGTGTGTTTCTTTTTTGTTTGTTTTGGTTTGGTTTTTGCTTTTTTGAGATGGAGTCTCGCTCTGTCTCCCAGGCTGGAGTGCAGTGGTGCGATCTCAACTCACTGCAACCTCTGCCTCCTGGGTTCAAGCAATTCTCTGCCTCGGCCTCCCAAGTAGCTGGGATTACAGGCGCCCGCCACCATGCCCGGCTAATTTTTTTTGTATTTTTAGTAGAAATGGGGTTTCACCATCTTGACCAGGCTGATATTGAACCCCTGACTTCGTGATCCAACTGCCTCGGCCTCCCAAAGTGCTGGGATTACAGGCGTGGGCCACCATGCCCAGCCTTTACTTTGTTTTATTTTGTGTTTTGTGTTGGTTTTGAAAAGATAATTCATTCACATGATTCAAAGTCCAAAAGGGTGAGAAATCTCCCTACCATCTTTTTTTCTCCATAATCAACCAAGTTATCAGTTATGTTTGTATCTTTACAGAGCTTTTTCATCTATATGTAAGCAAATGCTTTTACCACCACCCCCCTAAAATCAATGTGTGCACATGCGGGCATGTACACACACACACACACACACTTCTCCTGTACTTTGCTTTTTTCACTGAACACTATGTCTTGGAGAGTGTTCCACGTCAGTATATAAGTTAGCTCTTTCATTCTTTATGGCTGCATAATATTCCTTTGGCCGGAAATAATGAATAATTTCACTAGTCCTCTGTGGATTGTTGCTAATCTTTTGCTGTTATGAGCAGTGCTACAACTTTCATACATATGAATATAATGATAGAATAAATTCCTAAAAGAAATCGCTAGGTCAAAGAATATGTGCATTTATAATTTGGGGGAGAGGAACAGTATTTCATCCATTTTTTTGAAAGGTTATACAATGAGCATGATTCAGCATTTAAAGGGTAGATAATTAAACTTCTTTCATACCCCTTTACTGCTACTGTCCATTTTCCCATTAGAAACAATCACTGTTCACAGCTGTTTATTTTCACAGAGATAATCTAGGCAAAATAAACTTACAGATAATATTAGGAAGATTTCTCTCATTCAAGCAGATTTTTGTATGTTGTTCTGCACTGCAGTCTATCAGAAGCAGAAAGCTCTTATCAAGATATTAATTAAAACAGAGACACTTGGCTTTAGTGTAACTATTTGAGTTACAAATACTCTTTATTGTCTTACAAATCAGGGTTTTTATTGTTGTTGGTTCTGTTCTGTTTTGTTTTGTTTTTCAGACAGGGTCTCACTCTGTTGCCCAGGCTGGAGTGCAGTAACACAATCCTTGCTCACTGCAACCCCTGCCTCCGGGGTTCGAGTGATTGTTGTGCCTCAGCCACCTGAATAGCTGGGATTACAGTACGTGCCACCATGCCTGACTAATTTTTTTTTTATATTTTTTAGTAGAGATGGGGTTTTGCCATGTTGTCCAGGTTGGTCTCGAACTCCTCACCTCAACTGATCTACCTGCCTCGGCCTCCCAAAGTGCTGGGATTACACGTGTGAGCCACATATCCAGCCACAAATCAGTATTGTGTGCCATCATAGTGGATCTGATGAGCTTAAGGTTCAGTTTCTTCACTATGCTTATATGCTCACTCTAAGAAGAGGTTGGCAAACTTTTTCTTTCCCTTTTTTTTTTTTTTTTTTGAGGCAGGCTGGAGTGTAGTGGCACCATCACAGCTCACTGCAGCCTCCACCTCTCTGGACTCTGGTACTCTGGTGATCCTCCCACCCCTGCCTCCCGAGTAGCTGGAACCATAGGCACATGACACTACTCCCGACTAATTGTTGTATTTTTCTATAGAGACAGGATTTTGCCATGTTGCCCAGGCTGGTCTTGAATTCCTGGGCTCAAGCCATCCACCTGCCTCGACTTCCCAAAGTGTTGGGATTACAGGCATAAGCCACCATGCCTGGCCAACTTTTTCTATAAAAGGCCAGACAGTAGCTTTGTGGGTCATATGGTCTCCTCAACTCTGCTGTTACTGCACAAAAACAGCCTTAGACACAGGAACAGCTACAGTAGCTATATCCCAATAGAACTTTTGTTATCAACACTAAACTTTGAATTTCATATAATTTTCACTTGTCACAAGATATTCTTTTGGTTTGTTTCAAACATTAAAAATGTTAAAACCATTCTTAGCCAAACAATGTCAACAGGTTGATTTTTACTCCTAATGCAGAGTAGATATTGGTTCTTCCTTCACCGTCATCCTAGATTCCCTTATCCTTTTTCTTGGATCAGATCTCCTGTTTCCTGAGTTCACATATTCCTCATTTTGTGGTTTACCCCCTCAGTTTGATGGTGTACTTCCTTTAGTATTTTCCTGAGAGAATGTATGAAGAAGTGAGAATTTTTTAGATTTGTAACCCTTAAATGCCTTCAATCTTGTCTCTCATTTTTGACATTATGGGCATGTAATTCAAGAATAGAAATTCTAGGCCGGGCGCAGTGGCTCACACCTGTAATCTAAGCACTTTAAGAGGCCGAGGCGGGTGGATCACTTGAGGTCAGGAGTTCGAGACTAGCCTGACCAACATGGTGGAATCCCGTCTCTACTAGAAATACAAAAATTAGCTAGGCGTGGTAGCAGGCGCCTGTAATCTCAGCTACTTGGGAGGCTGAGGCAGGAGAATTGCTTGAACCTGGGAGGCGGAGGTTACAGTGAGCCGAGATCACGCCATTGCACTCCAGCTTAGGCAACAAGAGTAAAACTCCATCTCAAAAAAAAAAATAAATAAAAAGAGAATTCTAGCTGGATGCAGTTGCACATGTCTGCAGTCCCAGCTACTTGTGAGGCTGAGGCAGAACAATCACTTGAGGCCAGGAGTTTGAGGCTGTAGTGCACTATGATTGCACCTGAGAAAGAGGCCAGGTGCAGTAACTGACGCTTGTAATCCCGCTACTTTGGGAGGCTGAGGCAGGTGGATTGCTTGAGCTCAGGAGTTCAAGACCAGCCCGGGCACCATGGCAAAACCTTGTCTATAAGAAATACAAAAATTAACTGGGCGTGGTGGTCGAGTCTGTAGCCCCTGCTACTCGGGAGGTGGAGGTGGGAGGATGGCTTGGGCTGGGGAGGCAGAGGTTGCATTGAGCCAAGATCATGCCTCTGCACTCCAGCCTGGAAGACAGAGCCAGACTCAGTCACCAAAAAACCAAAAACAAAAACAAAAAAAAAATGGAAATTATTTTCTCCTAAGATTTTGAAGGCATTGCTACATTTAAATCTAGTTATTGGCTGGGCGTGGTGGCTCATGCCTGTAATCTCAACACTTCGAAAGGCCAAGGCAGGCGGATCACCTGAGGTCAGGAGTTCAAGACCAGCCTGGCTAACATGGTGAAACCCCATTTCTACTAAAAATACAAAAAAATTAGCCGGGCATGGTGGCGTGAGCCTGTAATCCCAGCCACTCGGGAGACAGGCAGGAGAATCGCTTGAATCCTGGAGGCAGAGGCTGCAGTGAGCCAAGATCGTGCCATTGCACTCCAGCTTGTGTAACAAGAGCAAAACTCCATCTCAAATAAATAAATAAGCCTAGTTATCTAGTTTTCATTTGCTGTGGAGAAGTCTGAATTTCTTCTGTTTCATAAACTTTTGTATTTACCATTTTTTTCTTCCTCTCTATAAACTGATGTTTGGTTCACCCCGATACATTGAAACTTCACAGTGATGTGCCTTAGTATTGGTCTATTTCATGTACTGTGTTGGGTACTTAGTAGGCCCTGTCAATCTGGTAACCCGTGTCCATTAGTCCTGTAAATTTTTCTTGAATTCTTTAATTGATGATTTCTTCCTCTCTCTTTTCTCTGTTCCTTCATTTTGGAACTCTCATTAATCTTCTGTTGGACCTCTGATTTTCTGACCTTTTGTTTTCTATTTTGTACCTCTGTCTTTTTGTTACTTTATAAGAGAATTCCACAGTTTTATCTTTTCTATCAAAGTCCAGTCATGAAAACAGAAACCAGGCCAGGTTCGGTGGCTTACGCCTGTAATCCCAGCACTTCGGGAGGCTGAGGTGGGTGGATCATTCGAGGTCAGGAGTTCCAGACCAGCCTGGCCAACATGATGAAACCCCATGTCTACAAAAAATATATAAAAATTAGCCAGGTGTGTTGGTGCGCCTGTAACCCCAGCTACTTGGGAGGTTGAGACATGAGAATCACTTGAACCTAGGAGGTGGAGGTTGCACTGAGCTAGGATCAAGCCACTGCAATCCAGCATGGGTGACAGAGTGAGACTCTGTCTCAAAAAAAAATAATAATAATAATAGTAAATCCCTTCTTTTACTATGTTTTTGGTGGAGTTTGCAAAGAGGAAAAGGAAAACCTGATATATGTTTTCAGTCTGTCGTCTTGGTACAGAAACCATCAAGGCTTTCTGTTTTCAGAATTACAGCTTTTTATAAGGGTGAAAAAAATGGAAATGTCCATCAACAAGGAATTATCTAGATAAACTGGTACAACCACAAAATGAAATCATAGCCACTAAAACTAATGCTATGAAAGAATAATACCATAAAAATGTTCTTAATATGTTAAGTGAAAAAAATTAAAAACCACATGTACAAAATGATTTTTAAGTATATATATATTTTATATGGAAACAGTATATACTAGCACATAGTAACAATATATATCAGCGAAGAAAGGAATACACCAGAAAGTTAAGCATGCTTATTTCTGAGTGGTGAAATGATAGAAAATGTGTAATCAGATTTTTTAAAATGCCTAAAGACAAAAGTTCCCAAGGAGTACCTAAGATCAAGCAAGTCTTCTTGCTGGGGCCTCATTATCTTACTATCTTCCCTGATTGGGTATGAGTATCACCCTGTTCTGCAGGGTTACCAGGTTCGAGCCTGTGTTCAAGGTGGTCTGAAATGTTACACAAACCCACAGCCCTTCTCCCTTTTCCAGCCACCTAATGATCCCCATGGTATCCAGAGAGAAGACCTCATCCTGAGTCTTCGCGCTGTGCTGGCTTCTACACCACGATTTGCTGAGGTGGGTCTAGCCAAGGTTAGGGTATATAGCCTCTGCCCATAGATGGCTCTGAAGAAAGAGCAGTAAAAGCATGGAGAAAAAAATATCTGGTATACATTTTAGGGCATGACACCCTGCAAGTGTCTTGTGTGGCAGGTATCTTCAGACCTTCGATGTAGAAAACTTTACCATCTCTTCATAATCCAGAGCTGGATTCAGTGGCACACACCTATAGTTCCAGCTACTCAGGAGGAGTCTGAGTGGAAAGGATCACTTAAACCCAGGAGTTCAAATCCAGCCTGGGCAACATAGGGAGACCTCGTCTCCGCTACACAAAAAAATAAATAAACCCAATCCCTATATGGTGCTGTCTTTTAAAATCCTGTAACTTTGTCAACTTGCCTGTTTTTGAGGTAGTGGGGCTCTGGTCACTGCTTGGCAGGAAGGTTAGCTTACATTCATAGCTCCTGACTTGAGTACAGCTCCTTGATGTAGTACCTGCTTTTAGGGACTGATGGCAAGGACAGGGTTGACCTTGATGTGACTGACACACCACCCATCTCAGGCTTAAGATCTTCCTTCTGTCCCACAGTTTCTGCTGCCCCTGTTGATTGAGAAAGTGGATTCTGAGGTTCTGAGTGCCAAGTTGGATTCTCTACAGACTCTGGTGAGTGATTTTTCTCCTTGCAGGACCCAGCTACCTTTTGACAAGTTAGGGGTCCTAAAGGATATAGATTCTAGGATAGCCAAGGAACAGTTCATGGGCCTCAGAAGAGGATACCCAGGATTTGGGCCTTTGTGTCGACCTGAAGCCCCCAGCTGCATATCGTCGTGTCCCATCCCCCATCCCATAGTAACTGAGGAAAGGCTGACCAGGACTCCCTCTTTAGGCTTCTATTTTATCAACCAGGGTTATCTCCTACTTCTCTGTTCCCTTAGTAGGACTGTTAAAAATCTTAACTGGTTTTTCTGCTGAGACCAGGGCTCCTTCAGGTGCCATTATGCTGAGGTACCTGCACATCCTAGGGTGTCTGAGTGTGTACATAACTGATAGCAGCGGTTTCCTTGGCAGAATGCTTGCTGTGCTGTGTATGGACAGAAGGAACTGAAGGACTTCCTCCCCAGCCTTTGGGCTTCTATCCGCAGAGAGGTGAGTGTCACTCAGATAAACTCACTACTGTTAACTTTCAATTGTCAGGCATGAGGGGAAATAATACATCCTGTCCTTTTCCCTCTGTCATCCCCAGGGCCAAGATATAATGCCTGGTTATTCAGGAGGCAAGTAGGGGGACATAATTCTAGTTGAATGACAAGAGAGAGAGTCCCTATGTGACGGTCAGCTGCTTGGTAAGAGCAGCTGATCACCTTTGCACATTACCCACTTCTTGTCCTTCTGTGGCAAGGAGTGCAGGTCATGGTGCCTTTGGCACCATGGTGAATAGAAAGGTGAGCAGAGCCACTGCTCAGAGTTGGCTTTTTGTTTCTCAGAAAGTATGTGTCTCTGTCCTGAGTGTGACTAAGGACTTGGTAAGAACACACCAATTGAGAAGACACTCAGTTGGGGTGTTAATTTCCATTTCTGTGTCCTAGAGGTTCTCACTCCCCTCTCCAACAAGGAAATAGGCAGTGGATTGGTGGGGTCTCATCTGGTGCAGGCTCACCTCAGTAGCCATGGGATCCCTCCCTGACAGGTGTTCCAGACGGCAAGTGAGCGGGTGGAGGCAGAGGGCCTGGCGGCCCTCCACTCCCTGACTGCGTGTTTGTCTCGCTCTGTGCTGAGGGCTGATGCTGAGGACCTCCTTGACTCCTTCCTTAGCAACATTCTACAGGGTAATGGGGCCGTGGCAGCCAGGAAGGGGAGTGAGCACAATAGAAACGACATTCCTTGCCTGGGTGCGGTGGCTCACGCCTGTAATCCCTGCACTTTAGGAGGCCGAGGCGGGTGGATCACCTGAGGTCAGGAGTTAAAGACCAGCCTGGCCAACATGGTGAAACCTCGTCTCTACTAAAAATACAAAAATTAGCCGGGCGTGGTGGTGGACGCCTGTAATCCCAGCTACTCGGGAGGCTGAGGCAGGAGAATCGCTTGAAAAGGCAGAGGTTGCGGTGAGCTGAGATTGCGCCACTGCACTCCAGCTTGGGCAACGAGAGCAAAACTCCATCTCTAAAAAAAAAACAAATGACATTCCTTAAGGGCCAGTGACCTTTATTGTTTAGTCCCAACATATTTGGTGATTTGGGGGCGATAGCCCTACTTTGAATTGAAAACAATTTGAGTGTTAACTGCTTGCAAACTGTCATGGGTCTCAGTCTCCAACCTCTGTGGACTGTAGGGGAGTCAGGCACCATTTGGCCTCCTCCCCAGCTCTGTGATGTGCTGCTTCTCTAGACTGCAGGCACCACCTGTGTGAACCGGACATGAAACTGGTGTGGCCTAGTGCCAAGCTGTTGCAGGCAGCTGCAGGTGCATCTGCCCGGGCCTGTGACTCTGTCACCAGCAATGTACTGCCTTTACTGCTGGAACAGTTCCACAAGCACAGTCAGGTAAGGGAGCAGAATCTTTGGGGGAAATGATGGGACCTGTGTGCTAGGTTCCCTTTCTCAGAGAGTGAGCTAAGTTTTAGCTTGGGCCAACATAGTAGACCTTGGGTTTTGCTCCCATTAGCTGCTGCTGCTGCTTCCCTTACTCACTTTTTCCCTGTCTCATACATAAAAGGATCATTCTCCCAAGACAGGAGGATAGCTTGAAGCCAGGAGTTCAAGATCAGCCTGGGCAACAAAGTGAGATCCCATCTCTAAAAAAAAAAAAATTTTTTTTAAATTAGCCAAGCAGGACATGCTGGTTCATGCCTGTAATCCCAGCACTTTAGGAGACCAAGGCAGGACAATCACTTGAGGCTAGGATTTAAAGACCAGCTTGGGCAACAAGACAAGACCACATCTCTACAAAAAAAAAAAAAAAAAATTAGCTGGATAAGGTGGCACGCATCTGTAGTCCCAGCTACTCAAGAGGCTGAGGCGAGAGAATCACTTGAACCTAGGAGGTCGGGGCTGCAGGGAGCTATAATCATGCTACTGTATTCCAGCCTGGCTGTGGCATAGCAAAACCCCCATCTCTTGGAAGAAAGAAAGAATTTTCCCTATATCCAGAGTAGCAGGATTGAAATCCTTTAAAATATTCTTTGACTCTAGTACCCCTTGAAACGTTACAGAGCAGCCAGCGGCGGACAATCCTTGAAATGCTCCTGGGTTTCTTGAAGCTGCAGCAGAAATGGAGCTATGAAGACAAAGGTGAGGTTGCCTTCCATTGCAGTGCTCTGGGGACTGTTGAACACTTCAGCCTATAAAGGATAGCAGGGCAAAGAGTGCTGTGGAAAAGTAGTCTAGAACAGTGGTCCTATTCTGAGGTTGTAGCACAAGAGAACACTTAACAGATGAGATGGATGAGATCTGTTTATTTTTCTCAGTGTGCTTTCTGGATACCCAATGGATTAAGCTCTTTAAATCTGCCCCAGGAGGCGGGGCATGGTGGCTCACACCTATAATCCCAGCACTTTGGTAGGCTAAGGCAGGCGGAAAACTTGAGGTTAGGAGTTCGAGACCAGCCTGGCCAATATGGTGAAACCCTGTCTCTACTAAAAATACAAAAATTAGCCAGGCCTGTTGGCACATGCCTGTAATTCCAGCTACTCGGGAGGCTGAGGCAGGAGAATGGCTTGAACCTGGGAGGCAGAGGCTGCAGTGATCCGAGATTACGCCACTGCACTCCAGCCTGGGCAACAGAGGCCTTGTCTCAAAAAAAAAATCTACCCCAGGTTGGCTGTGTATCACAGCTTAGTCAGGGATATGGAATGCAGTGGCTTCCTTCTAACCTGGCCTCTGTCTCTTCCCTAGATCAAAGGCCTCTGAATGGCTTCAAGGACCAGCTGTGCTCACTGGTATTCATGGCTCTAACAGACCCCAGCACCCAGCTTCAGCTTGTTGGCATCCGTACACTGACAGTCTTGGGTGCCCAGCCAGGTACATCTTAAGGGAAAGAGAAGAGGAAAATATTGGTCCTTTTCTTGTAAGACTGCCTTGGTGAAAAGCAGCCTTACTATCCTCTTCTTACTGCAACTCTGGATGATTTGGGATTTCTAATAAGAGCTTAGAAGGGTTGTGATGGCTGCAGGGGAAGAAAGATGAGATTCATGTTCCCTTCTAACTACAGATCTCCTATCTTATGAGGACTTGGAGCTGGCAGTGGGTCACCTGTACAGACTGAGCTTCCTGAAGGAGGATTCCCAGAGTTGGTGAGAATTTAAAGCAATGAGATAGAGCAAGCTGTTCCCTGCCTCTGTATTGGCAGCAAAAGATCAAGCTAGGACCAGGGCTCTGTGCTTCTGACCCTTGGCTCTCCTTAGGGGAGGTGAGCTCTGTGTTAGACTCTGGCTGCTAACCAGTTGGAGAGATGTAGGACTGCTCTCTTCTTAGGCTTTAAGAAGCCCTGTCCAACTCAGTGGTGTAGGTACTTGAGTTCTGCTCTTTAGCAAGGAGGCGTTGGGAGCTCACACTCCTGAATCTGCCTAATATCAGACGTAGGCAAGAGAGCTGTGAGCCCAGGCTCAGCCAATGCTTATCTGCTCTGCGCCTCCAGCAGGGTGGCAGCACTGGAAGCATCAGGAACCCTGGCTGCTCTCTACCCTGTGGCCTTCAGCAGCCACCTCGTACCCAAGCTCGCTGAGGAGCTGCGTGTAGGTATGTGTCTCTAATCCTCTGTGGCCCATCCCTTTCCAGCAAGGCTTTGGGGCCTTCGTGCTTCCTATCACACAGTAAACCTTTGTCTCATGGGTTGCTTTCAGGGGAGTCAAATTTGACTAACGGAGATGAGCCCACCCAATGCTCCCGGCATCTGTGCTGTCTGCAAGCCTTGTCAGCTGTATCAACACATCCCAGCATCGTCAAGGAGACACTGCCTCTGCTGCTGCAGCATCTCTGGCAAGTGAACAGAGGTAACTACTAGGAATAACCACCAACGGACTGGGCTGAATAGGGAGCTGTAGTCTCTAAGGCAGTGGTTCTAGCTGTAGCTATACATAAGAGTAACAGAATCAACTCTTTTAAAAGAAAAAAAAAATACTGATGCCTGCGTCCAACTGAATCAGTCTCTGAGGAGGGATGGGACTTAGGCAACAGTACTATTAAGAGTACCCGGCCAGGGCCGCTGCTCTTGCCTGTAATCTCAGCACTTTGGGAGGCCGAGGCCAGCAGATCACTTGAGGTCAGGAATTTGAGACCAACTTAGCCAACATGGAGAAACCCAGTCTCTACTAAAAATACAAAAAATTAGCTGGGCATGGTGGCATGCGCCTGTAATCCCAGCTACTGGGGAGGCTGAGGCAGGAGAATCTCTTGAACCCACAAGGCGGAGGTTGCAGCGAGCTGAGATTGCGCCACTGTACTCCAGCCTGGCCAGCCTGGGCAATAGAGTGAAACTCTATCTCAAAAGAAAAAAAGGGTTGGGCGCAGTGGCACATGCCTATAATCCCAGCACTTTGGGAGGCTGAGGCGGGTGGATCACAAGGTCAGGAGTTTGAGACCAGCCTGACCAACATGGTGCAATCCCGTCTCTACTAAAAATTATCTGGTCATGGTGGCAGGCGCCTGTAATCCCAGCTACTCAGGAGGCTGAGGCAGGATAATCGTTTGAACCTGGGAGGCGGAGGTTGCAGTGAGCCAAGATCATGCCATTGCACTCACACCTGGGCAAACAGGGTGAAACTCCATCTCAAAAAAGAAAAAAAAAAGTGCCGGGCTGGGTGTGGTGGCTCATGCCTGTAATCCCAGCACTTTGGGAGGCCAAGGCTGATGGATCACTTGAGCTCAAGAGTTTGAGACCTAACCAGCCGATGCAACATGGCGAAACCGCATCTCTACAAAAAATACAAAAATTAGCCAGGAGCAGTGGCATGCACCTGTAGTCCCAGCTACTTGGGAGGCTAAGGCAGGAGAATCACTTTGAGCCCGGGAGGCAGAGGTTGGAGCAAGCCGAGATCGCTCCATTGCACTCCAGCCTGACCTGGGCAACAGGAGTGAAGCCCTGTCTCCAAAAAAAAAAAAAAAAATTACCTAGGTAATTTTCATGTGGGATCTGAATTGAGAGGCATCACCCTAAGGCCGTGGTGCTCAAAAGATGGTCTGTTAACCAGCAGCATGGGTGACATCTGGGAGCTTGTTAGAAGTGCAGAATCTCAGGCCCTCACTGATCAGAATCTGCATTTTGACAGTGTACCCTGGTAACTCGTAGACTGTTGAGTTTGAGAAGCACTGCTCCAATGCAAAAGTGACAGCAGCCTGCCCTGTGGGTAGATTCAGGCCCACTGTGGTTGATCCAGCAGCTGTTACATAGTAGAATGAATACTAGACTTGGATTATAACTTGGGCTTGATTCCTGACTTTGCACTTCCTGTGACCCTGGAAAAGCCACTGATCATGTATTTCATTGTGCCTCCATGTCCTTCTCTATAGAGTGAGGGAAATGATACTTCTAAGGTTGTTATGAAAAATAAGGAGAGAATATATACAAGTGCTTCTGCTGCAGAGCCTGGGACAGAGCAAGTCTCAACTATGAAGTCTGAATAGATCAGAAAGAACAGCCAGGAGAATAAAGTGACTCAGCTTTTTAATAAGGCACTCTTGGTCCCTTCAGTCACTCTTCTTTGTTCCTCTCATCTGCTGTGTAATTGGAAACACCTGAAAGTGCTTTTAAGCAAACCTTACAGAGAACACTTTCTCATCAACAGGGAATATGGTTGCACAATCCAGTGACGTTATTGCTGTCTGTCAGAGCCTCAGACAGATGGCAGAAAAATGTCAGCAGGACCCTGAGAGTTGCTGGTATTTCCACCAGACAGCTATACCTTGCCTGCTTGCCTTGGCTGTGCAGGCCTCTATGCCAGGTAACTTTCCACCTCTCCTTCCTGGCCTTTGGGAACTTTGCCCTCTGCTGGTGTTGAACAGCACCACCCTCTGGGTATTGGTGGTACTGTATTTTGTACCATCAGAGGTTTATTTTCAATCCTTTGTCCTCAGAGTGAGATTTCACTTCATAGCAAAGGGTGCCACCCTGACCAGTGGCAGGAACCAAAATCCACTAGTGTTAGCAACATTCAAAAGAATGCACACCTTTTCCCCATGAAGTGCTATGTGATTAGTTTACTTAGAATTGGACTCTGGAGTCAAGCCCACCTGGTTGGGTTTTATCCTCAACTCTACCACTTGCTAACTTAGGTGAAGATATTCAGCCTTTCCACGCTTCAATTTCCTCACTTGTAAGATGGAGATAAAGAGTACCGTCTAGGCTGGCGCCATGGTTCACACCTGTAATCCCAGCACTTCAGGAGGCCAAGATGGGAGGATCACTTGAGTCCAGGAGTTTGAGACCAGCCTGGGCAACACAGGGGACCCTGTTTCTACAAATAGTCAGACATAGTGGTGCACACCTATAGTCCCAGCTGCTCAAGAGGCTGAGGTGGGAGGATCACCTGAGCCCAGGAGTTCAAGGCTGCAGTGAGGCATGATTGTGCCTCTGCACTCGAGCCTGGGTGACAGAGCGAGATCCTGTTCCTGTCTCAAAAAAAAAAAAAAAAAAAACTGTTTCACAGGGTAGTTGGTAAGGATTAAATAAGTTAGTGTATAGTACCTGCCACATAGGAAGTACTCAGTGTATGATAGTTGCTATAAATAATAAGGACCCATGAAGATAAATCTATGTTTTTAATTTTTTCAGAGACCAACATTACTATTTTTTTTTCCTTGCATCTCCAGGGACACCAGGGACAACATTTCTATTTCTTATGTTAAGAATGTTCATCTTAGCTATCCCTCTTTCCCACTGTTGGCCTAGTCTAAAGACTGTGCAGAGTTCTCAGGAGCGCTCTGTGGCCCCAGGTCAGACCACTCCTGTTTCTGGTGCCCTGATTCTCAGGACTATAGCACTACCAGAGACCAGATTAAGAACTGCTGTCGTGGCTAGAGTCAAGCCCCAGAGTCAGTGATGCTGACAGAACCCAATCATTCATTTCTTGAACCCGTCATGGTCTTGTGATTGTGTGCATGTGTGTGTGTTTTGCAGAGAAGGAGCCCTCAGTTCTGAGAAAAGTACTATTGGAGGATGAGGTGTTGGCTGCCATGGTGTCTGTCATTGGCACTGCTACAACCCACCTGAGCCCTGAGTAAGTATAATCATGGATGTGGCTTGAACCCAGGGAGAAGGATAGCATTCTTAGGAAGAAGCAACAGGTAGCTGCCTTGTCAGCTGTCCTTTTACCTATATGTAAATGTGGTGCAGTTAATCGTCTTGTAAGTTTTGTTGACAAAACAAAAGGAAGGGGCTCTTAGCACCATGGACTATGAGGGTGGGAAGCCAGGGCCAGTGGTTCTTAGCCGCAGATGTGCTTAAGAATTACCTGTAGAGCATTTTAAAATATACCTTGACTTCCCAGATGGGAACCTGAATGGAAATGATTACTGGCACATATGTGCCAAATTAATATTTGTTCAATGCATGAATGATCAGGGCATGTCCCATTGACGTGGTGATCCTAATTCAAACCCTAGGTTGAAAAGCACGTCTGTGGAGGAGAGGGCTGCTTTAGAATCCTAGCTCCTTGGTCATACCTAGTACTCTGCCCCCAGGTTAGCTGCCCAGAGTGTGACACACATTGTGCCCCTCTTCTTGGATGGCAACGTGTCCTTTCTGCCTGAAAACAGCTTCCCGAGCAGATTCCAGCCATTCCAGGTAACAGTCTTAGAACTTACATCCTTCAAGCTGGTTTTTTTTTAGGGCTAATCTGGAATGGGTAGAGGGGCAGACAAGCTTATTGCTGGCAGGCTTGATCGGGCTCTCCTTCCTTTATAGGATGGCTCCTCAGGGCAGAGGCGGCTGATTGCACTGCTTATGGCCTTTGTCTGCTCCCTGCCTCGAAATGTAAGTGAGCACATTTGGGAAGTACTGTTATTTAACCTTGACAAGGTGACTCCGGGCTGAAATTTGCCACAGGCTAAGCTGATCTTTTACTTCCCCCACCAGAGAAGTTAGTTCTCATCCGTCCCGGTCCCTGCTGCCACTATGTACTGGTTCTCTTGGAGTTCAAGTGTTCTCTGGGTCCATTACATGGCCAGGTTTTCTGTAGGTGGAAATCCCTCAGCTGAACCAACTCATGCGGGAGCTTTTGGAACTGAGCTGCTGCCACAGCTGCCCCTTTTCTTCCACCGCTGCTGCCAAGTGCTTTGCAGGACTCCTCAACAAGCACCCTGCAGGTACTGAGATCAGACTATGTAAGGAGCCTCCCAGAATCAACTACCCATGAAATCTTATAGCTCAGTACTCATTCTCTTTTTAAAAGGAGCTTGCTAATAACATTAACAGGGCTTCAACTGCTCAAGCACTGTCCTGGGACTGCCCGTGGGAAAAGCGTCAAGACCACAGTTGGGCAGAGCTTTATAGTACCTAAGAAGAGAAGGGAGCACAAAGAGTCTAGTTCTGCCGTCCTACTCCCTACAGTGGGGCTAGTGTGGATAATTCTTTATTGGAAGTAGATGACCCTCTCTTTTCAAATGGCAGCACCTCTGTATTATGAGAATACCAGGCTCTTATGCAGGTGTCCAATCATTTTGTCCACAGGCAAAAATGATATTTTCCCTTTCTAACAGCTTCTCAGGGAGCTCTGCACTTAAAGTGATTTGCATTTCATTGCTAAAGGGAAAATGTGTAGCCTTTATGTCAGCATTTCCTCTCTCCTTTTTAGGGCAGCAGCTGGATGAATTCCTACAGCTAGCTGTGGACAAAGTGGAGGCTGGCCTGGGCTCTGGGCCCTGTCGTAGTCAGGCCTTCACTCTTCTTCTCTGGGTAAGGAGTTGGAGTGGAGTCTGGTTAGCCAGAGAGGCAATTATGTCTGGTTAAATAAAATGTCCCTGTTTGACCCTAAACCATAAACATCTATGTCTCAGGGTTCTCGGGTTTGAGTGTCATTCCCCAATTGCTCTCTCTGTCTCCAATTACAGGTAACAAAGGCCCTAGTGCTCAGATACCATCCTCTCAGCTCCTGCCTTACAGCCCGGGTACGTCCTTTCTGGAGACAGAAGAACCCAGGACCTAAACAAACTTTCTGGTTGCTCCTATTCCTCCCAAGGACTTCCATCCTCCCCTGTGTGTTTTTTGTTTTCTTTTCTTTTTTCTTTTTGGAGACAGGGTCTTACTCTGTCACCCAGGCTGGAGTACAGTAGTGCAATCACAGCTCACTCCAGCCTCAACCTCCGTAGGCTCAAGTGATCCTCCCACTTCAGCCTCGCAAGTAGCTGGGACTACAGGGGCACCCCACCACACCCAACTAATGTTTGTATTTTTTGTAAGAACTGGGTTTGGCCATGTTGCCCAGACTCCTAGACTCAAGCAGTCCACCTGCCTTGGCCTCCCAAAGTGCTAGGATTACAGGCATGAGCCACCACACCCGGCCCCATCCTTATCTTTGGCACTTAAGATTCTTCTTCCCTGATGTACCTCAAAGGCTCTTTTTTCTCCAGCTCATGGGCCTCCTGAGTGACCCAGAATTAGGTCCAGCAGCAGCTGATGGCTTCTCTCTGCTCATGTCTGACTGCACTGATGTGCTGACTCGTGCTGGCCATGCCGAAGTGCGGATCATGTTCCGCCAGCGGTTCTTCACAGATAATGTGCCTGCTTTGGTCCAGGGCTTCCATGCTGCTCCCCAAGGTGAGGAGTCTGAAAGAAGGTCCCCACATATACACATCTCTCCTTTGCTTGGCCACATTCCCTAAGATAATTTAGGGCCCGCTTGCTTCTTTAGAGCTATATTGTGGTCTGTGCCTAGAAGACTAAACTTCTAGATTCTTGTCCCACTTCTTCCTTTCATGGGCGTATCTTGCTTATTCTGAGCGTGAAGGGCTCTTTCACCCGTTTGTAGGCTGATGTCTCAGCCTCACCACAGATTGGAAT
This sequence comes from Homo sapiens, assembly GCF_000001405.40. NCBI lineage: Eukaryota > Metazoa > Chordata > Mammalia > Primates > Hominidae > Homo > Homo sapiens. The sequence continues at coordinate 97,459,802 of NC_000010.11, read as the reverse complement.
TGATTTCTCAAGCTATATATCTAAGTCCAATTTCTCCCCTAAGCCTTTCCATTTTTTACAGATGTGAAGCCAAACTACTTGAAGGGTCTTTCTCATGTACTTAACAGGCTGCCCAAGCCTGTACTCTTGCCAGAGCTGCCCACGGTAAGTCCCACAGGCAGAGCTTCTAAGCAAAGGACAAAGCTATTCTTCCCCAGATGGGGCTAGAAAGGGGAGGGAACAAGAACCAGGATCTTCATGATGTGGCCATCCCCTACCTTGCCCATTGCCCCTTAGCTTCTTTCCTTGCTGCTGGAGGCCCTGTCCTGCCCTGACTGTGTGGTGCAGCTCTCCACCCTCAGCTGCCTTCAGCCTCTTCTACTGGAAGCACCCCAAGTCATGAGTCTTCACGTGGACACCCTCGTCACCAAGTTTCTGAACCTCAGCTCTAGCCCTTCCATGGTGCGTTGAGCCCCAGCAACTCTTAGGCACCAGCATCTCTCCCTGGGCATGCTCTCACCTCCTTGTGGTTGTGTTCCAGGCTGTCCGGATCGCCGCACTGCAGTGCATGCATGCTCTCACTCGCCTGCCCACCCCTGTGGTAAGTACCTCAGGTGTCCTTCCCTGGCCTGGGAACATCTCAAGAGACACATAAGTACCTTTTTGCCTTAGTCAGGTGGGCTTGGCCACCCTGGTGTGTAATTGAGATCTGAATTACAAGGTACAGATCTTGTAATTCTGGGCCCAAGGATTCTTTTCCTTGGGCCCAGAAGGTAACAGAAAGGCCATCCTGCCACTTAACATCCCTTGGAATCACTAAAGATGTTTTGCTTTCCTCAGAATATTAGTTGTACAGAATCAAAAAAGCGGTACTTTCAGTTGCCTTGGATGAGCAAGGTTGATTATATCCTCTGACTCCACAGCTGCTGCCGTACAAACCACAGGTGATTCGGGCCTTAGCCAAACCCCTGGATGACAAGAAGAGACTGGTGCGCAAGGAAGCAGTGTCAGCCAGAGGGGAGTGGTGAGTTTCTAGGTCGTGGGGAGAGATGGGACCAAGATGAGCCTCATCACTAATGCTGCCAACTTTCTTTTTGCCTACAGGTTTCTGTTGGGGAGCCCTGGCAGCTGAGCCCTCAGTCCTGGCCTAGACTGTTCTGACAATCTAACCTGGGATTACTAACTGTTGAGCCATCTTCCCCAAAGCAGGGAAACCACTGGTCTCTGACTGCCTTTCCCACAGACACAGCACAAATGCTAGGCCTCTGTTGCATGGCTGTACAAAGAACATAAGAGTCCATATTTCTAGTGGATTTGTAAAATAAGTGTGTGTGAGACACTTGCGTTTGAAGAAAGATCTAGGGTCCTGGGTCTCTTGCATTTATATGTCAGAAAAGGGGCGATATGCTGCTGAGGGGTGAGTGCATATGAGTGTGGCCCTGAGGACCAGGGCTGGCAGATGTTGTCTACCTGCTGAAGAATAAAGATTTCTTTTGGTAATGGGGCTGTCAGATATTTCCCCCACCCCACATATGCCTCATATAACCAGAGGCATCACTGGAATAACAATGACAGGGATTGGCCAAAAATTTTTCAGGGTAACCAGGACAGTAGCACATGCCTGTAACCCCAACACTTCAGGAGGCTGAGGCAGGCGGATCACTTGAGGCTAGGAGTTTGAGACTAGCCCTGGCAGTATAGCAAGAACCCATCTCTACAAATAATTAAAAAAAAAAAAAAATTAAGCTGGGCATGGTGGCTGACGCCTGTAATCCCAGCATTTTGGGAGGCCGAGGCGCATGGATCAGTGGAGGTCAGGAGTTCAAGACCAGACTGGCCAACATGGTGAAACCCCATCTCCACTAAAAATACAAAAATTAGCCAGGTGTGGTGGCATACGCCTTTAATCACAGCTACTTGGGAGGCTGAGACACAAGAATCACTTGAGCCGGGCGCGGTGGCTCACGCCTGTAAAGCTTGTAATCCCAGCACTTTGGGAGGCCGAGGCGGATGGATCACAAGGTCATGACATCGAGACCTCCTGGCTAACACAGTGAAACCCCGTCTCTACTAAAAATACAAAAATTAGCCGGGTGTGGTGGCGGGCGCCTGTAGTCCCAGCTACTCGGGAGGCTGAGGCAGGAGAATGGCGTGAACCCGGGAGGCGGAGCTTGCAGTGAGCCGAGATCACACCACTGCACTCCAGCCTGGGTGATATAGAGCGAGACTCCGTCTCAAAAAAAAAAAAAAAAAAAAATCACTTGAAACTGGGAGGCGGAGGTTGCAGTGAGTCAAGATCGCGCCACTGCATTACAGCCTGAGAGACAGAGTGAGACTCCATCTCCAAAAAAAAAAAAAATGTAGGAAGCATGACCAGAACACCTACTCACTAGGTCTTGACCCTGACTTTCCCCTTCCCTGCCCTATCGTGAGGCAGAGAGTGAGAAGCTACATATCTTTAAAAATCGAATACCTTTATTTGTGCTCCCTTAAGCAGCATGTGAGAAGTGGCAGTGACCTCAGCAGCAGGCCTGGTATCTTTGCCCTGTTGAGAAGCCAAGATCTCAGCTGTACTAGTCAGGTGTTTTTTCAGACAGCAAGTAGAAGAGGTGGTGGCCAACTCCAGTGCTGTATCCTGGAGGAGGTCCGGGTCAGCACTGGGCAAGGTAGGTAGCTAGCTGCCTGACCCCTAGTCTGGGGTTGGAACTTCTGTTTGCCTGAGTAAAGGGATGTCAGTCCTAAGATTTCTCCACATTGTGTCTTTCTTCTGCAGTGGTAAAAAGGCTGGTCCTTGAATTGTCCTGCATGGTACCCTAAGGCAGGCCCACTGGCTCTTTTTGATCAAGGATTCTGAGAAAAGCTGCCCTTGGAGGCCCTTGAAATAACATAGGGAGCAGAATGAGTGCTCGAGTCGTGGCTGACACAGTCCAGCTCACACTGCCATCACAGAGGCTGAGTGAGCAGTCACCCAGGGAGGGGGCTCCCAGCTCATTCCATTCCCATGGGGCAAGTGACTAGAAGGTAAGAGCACCCGAGTAAGCCAGTGCCTAGAAGAGAAGAGAGAAATGTCTCTGAGTTCAAGAATTCTTGGTCCTTCCCAATCATCATTCCTTAACAAGCATACATCAAGGTATCCTGAAGCTACCTCGGTGTCAATCATGAAAGTAACAAAAGTTCTAATTTCTGCTACCCAATTTTATCCAACAAATGTACCTTTTGGTCCTTTGAAGGCCTTTTAAGGTTTCGAGCTAAACTTCTAAAGGTCCACTGTAAGCACAGTGATAGGAGTGTCATGTACATGGGAAAGGGAGGAGGGAAGGCACGTCTGTTCATCTGATTGTTACCGCCTCAGTAACTGCCATTTGAAAAATTGTTTCCCCTTGTCTTGGGCTGAGAGAGCTAGCTCCAGTTACTGTCTTAGGGCCTCTATGACAAGTAGATTATTTTAATCTCACAAATTATTGGCTTGAACTCTAGACACTGCTCTCCAAGTGAGAGGTGACTGGTGGCCACCATATCCTACACCCAGAGGCCCCTTCCTGAGCACAGCTTTCCTAGGATTCCACTGTAGTCACGTTGAAGCCTCATCTGTTACTTAAAACCACACAGTATTGGCCTCAAGCCTTTCTGGTTCAAATGGACAATGATCTCTATTCCTAGAGTCTAGAACTGTGCTAACACAGTAGCCACTAGCCATATTCCAAGTGCTCACAGGCATAGAACATCTTTCTCATCACAGTGTTCTGTTGGACAGCATTAGTCTGTGTGTCTTACATTACCTTCCTGTATCCACACCCAGGAATACCTTCCAGTTGTCCAAGCAGCCGTAGTTGTAAGGATTCCTAAATACCTGGAGCCAAGAAAAACATGTTTCTTTGAACTTCTAATTTTTCAGACTAAATTGGCTAAGCTAAAGCTCAGATAGAGTAGTTCTGGCCTTTTACAATGCTTGCCCTAGTCAGCCCTGCCCATGGCCTCTGTTTACAGGAGAGCAAGTTCAGTTACCCACCTACCCACCCCGAGCCTTCAACCCTACTCACTCTGCCCTTGGCCTGTAGCCGACGTCTCTCCTTCTTGTTGATGTGCCTTTCGATGCTAGTCTCACCTCGACTGATGAGAACAGCATGCCATACAGTTAGGGCACCCAGGGCAAGTGCCACAGAACTAAGAAAAGAGGGGCGAAGACTGGTGGGTAGTTTAGAGAGGGCTGGAGGAAGTATGTCTGAAATTGAGCTAAGCAGTAACAACTGGTTTGGAACCTCTCTACCTAAGTCTTCCTCACCTCCCACCATATATCCTAGATAAACTTTTACTTCACTATGTCTATAAAGAGCATCAATGAAAAAGCATCAAAGTGGCCTAAGAATAAATGATGTGAAGCCAGGCATGGTAGCTCATGCCTAGTAGTCCCAGCAACTCAGGAGACTGAGATAGGAAGATCATTTGAGTCTAGCCTGGGCAACATAGCAAGACTCCATCTCTGTTGTTGTTAAGGGAAAAGAGAGTATGTGGAAAGGAGAATAGAGAAATAAGTCTGTATTGCTGAGAAAATGTTCTATATTTCCTAAAATACCCATGCTTGGGAGATAGTGGGAAGTAGTAAACACCCAGGGTTGGAATGGGATGGCATGAAATTCAAATTCCAGTGCTAATATTCCTACTAGCTGTGTATCATAGAACAAGTCACTTCACTTCACTGCCCCTTGGCCCCCAATTTTCAGTTTTCCTCATCTATAAATACAGTCACCCAGCCTTTAGACAGGTGCTAAGATTAAATAAGGAGTTTAACTTACTTTGGTTACATATCAAGCACATACTTGTATCTGTGTGCTTAGTAATAAGCAATGCCAATATCCTCAGTGCTCCCTGCCCTGAATGCTGAAGAAAGTGCTGGCTCTCTGCCAACCTAAGTTAGACTAGAGCAGTGGCAGTTCACTTAGGAATGGGTTTCTGCCTGCGTGTGGGCACCTAAAAAACTTTTTTTCTGAAGCTTCCCCTCCCTTAAAACTATCAAAAACAAATACCTGCACAGGAACCAGAGGTAGACAAGACTCTTGTGAGTCATCCTTTCTCGAAAGGAGAAGGTGGGTGGTGGGGTCTGGTGATAAGTCTAGAAAAAGAAAACAGCAAAGCTGGCTCATTTGCTCTGTGGGTCTCCAGCAACTGCCCCCAGCACCTATAGGCAGGAAATGATCCAAATCCAGGCAGAGAAAACAGGGTAAAGCCACAGAGGAGTTAGGGTAGCAGCCAAGATGGGTGGACCAAGCCCAGCGGCATCACCACATGGACAAACACTGGGCAGCAGAGCAGGGTCTGGACAGGATGGTGAAGCACAGGAGAAGCTGACCCTGGGCCTGTAGAGTGACAACACAAATGGGGCTCCAGGGGAAGCCACTCCAATCCCCAGCCAGAACTCCTTCACTGCACAGCTGCATCCCCAAGAGAGGAGACCAGACCATACCCAGAATGGACTGACTGGAGTGGGGAAAACCACTAGGGACTGTGAGCTCCACTAGGGACTGTGAAAGGGCAGCAGAAATACAATCAAGATGGGCTCAGCAGATTAGGGAGTCCTAAAAGGTACTGGGGGGGCAGGGATGATCCAGATGCAGATGGACCAGGAGCAAGGGATGATCAGACTGGCTCTGCCTGATCTCTGTCCCCTGGAACCCCATTACACAGACTAACATAGACTCCTTGCTGCTCAGGCCATCACCAAGGCAGATTGCTTGCTCGACCCAAAGAGAGGTGATGACGGGATAGATAGCCAAAACTGTCACATACCAGGGACTTCCAGCTTGCCTGTAGGCCACTTAGTCTACCCACCACAGCCAGCCTGCCTGAACACTCCTGATCTGGTCTAGAGTGGCCTCTCGGCAGCCTCTACAACTACATGGGCAGGTCGGCCCCAGATGCCTTAGCAACTCTATACCCCCAGGCCTGAGCAGCAGGAGGCAGTGGGGTGGGGACAGCCCACCTGGTTGGCAACCGCCTGTAGTTTGTTCTTGTCGAGCTGTTTCATTTTCTAAGGGGACGGAAAACAGTGCTGGTTATACTCTCAGGCCTCTAGGATGGGGTGCTACCAGCCCCATTCCTTAGGGACAGGTTCTACATCCCGAAGTTCTGCACTACTGAGCTGCCCTGTTCCTGATGAGCTCACCTCAATGGCAGCATAAGCCTCCCGGAAAAGGTCCCAACTTCCATAGCTGCAGTAGACACAGCCCAGAGTCATGAAAAAGCAGAAAGAGAAGAAGTACCGATGGTTATAGTGGCCCACACAATTGTTTAGCCAGGCTGGTTGGGAAATGATTAAGGACTAGAATCAAACACAATTTCAGGCGGTGTCCAGGCCCCTCAGGTTCATCCCTGGTTCCTGACAATATCACCCAAGCCTCAGGCTTCCAGTCACTAAGAACTACTTTCCAAAGGCAAGAAAATACAAGACTGTTCACACCCAAGGTTGAGGTGAAAATGCTCAAAGCTTTTCAGAGCATTCAGGTCCCACCAAGAAGTCACGGAAACTGAAATCCTTCAGTAAAATGAATCTGCCAATATTTCAGCCTAGCTGGAGTTAGCCAAACATCTGTGTGGAACAGCAGCTGGAGACCCACGGTTCTATCTGGCGTACACAGTAAACAACCACAGAAGCCCAAACATCTCTTTCCATCCAATAGCTGTTAGCATGAGAGTCTAGAAAAGAAAGAGGTGTTAAAAGATTCCCTGCTCCAAGAAGATCCGTCCTAGAGTGTGAGCTTCCTGCTCTCCCAGGAGATGGTCAGGCCCCACAACTCCTCAACTCCAGTGTTCTCTGCACGGTGATGCTAAAATGGTGGCCATTAACCCTGTACAGTGCTCTGGAGCTAAAGAAGGCCTCAGGCAGAAGAGAAAGCAAAAGGATACGGCAGTGGTGATCCATCTTCAGCACACACCTGTGAGGAAGGGACACAGGCTCTGTTACGGTGGCCAAAGTTCTTGAGATGTCAGTGCCAATCCTTCCCTACAAGGACCAGCATCCTGCTGAGGTGGAAAGGGCACAGACTTTGAAGACAGCCAGGCCTTGCTTCAAACCCAGCTCTGCAGTTTAATGGCTATAAGATATTGGACAAGGTAACTCATCTCTCCAAACCTCGGTTTTCACAAGTGGTAATAATGCCTAACTCACAGGACCATCCTAAGGATGAGGTGTCAGGAGAAGAGGGCACATCACCTGGGACACGATGGGTGATTCACCCATGTCTTAGCAAACTCAAGGTTAGGTTTTGCCCTAGGGCTACAGAAGGACCACAGCTGGGATTCCCAGAGAGCAAAGCCAAGACCCACCTGTTGCAGATGCTGCAGTGGTGTGTTCGGGCTGGCTTGGGGTAAATGCACTTCTTACAGATGGAGACGGTGGCGATATCATTCCTGCCCTGTGTGAAGGGAGAGCATAACGTGGCAGCACCAGTTCTGTCTCTCAAAACTATACCAAGATACTCTCCCCACTCCTGGGACCAGCTCCCATAGCCAGCAACTTCCCCCAGTGCTCCTGTGAGGACCCACCTGGGGTGGGTACCCAGGCGGAGTGGTGATGGCCTGGTAGTAGTGGAAGACAATCAGGATCAGATTCCAGTGGCTATAGAAGAAATGCCAGCAGAGTCGTGGCACTGAGTAGGTTCGGAGGATGAGAGGCAGGACACACAGGTAGGCGATAGCTACAATGGAGCCTGTCAGCACGATCACCAGGACCACGAACACCTGCCAACACCAGCAAGGTCAGGGAGACATGGCGCAAGAGCTATGCCCAAAGGAGACTCGGAGTTTCCCTGGGGGTGGGGGCCGGCCTCCAAAACCTGGGTTGGGTCTGTGAGAGACATGTCCCTCTGCTCCCCACAACACCCCTTTTCCTGCTCCCTGGACATCACTCACCACTCCAAACCAGCGGATCACGTTGTCTACCAGCCAGTAGACAGGCTCAAAGGCAGCATCAACAGCGGTGTCACTGCCCCCAAAGGAGTTGTAGAGCAGGGAGCGCAGGCAGACCTTGCCGTAGCGCCAGCGCTGTACTAGACCCCGGAGTAGAGGTGGACAGCGGCGCCTGTAACCCAGCAGCAGAAGGAGGCGGAGGCAGAGGCGGGCCGGGCCCAGCAGCAGGCTCCGCTGGCCTCGCATGGTTCCTACGAGAGCACACCATTGTGAGGATCTAGTCTGAGCCCTCCCTCCCTACCCCGCTAGTGGGAAGGCCTAGAGTACTCACTTGGAGGGCAAAGACCTAAGACTAAGACCCAGCTAGGCCAGTCACCAACTGTGAGAAGTAGGAAGGTTACTTCACTTTTCTACGGACTGACCAGTGCCAATGTTCCAACCAGATTAAGGGAGTAAAACTGATGGTTCTGAGCCTGCAGAAATTGTACTTAAATTACACCACATGGTTGCATAGCAAATCCAAGGTGATGCACACCTAAAGCAACAGGCCACAGGAAAGGGGTGAGAAAGGCCACTCCAAATCAAAGCAGTCTTAGGAGTTGTCTGTGTAGACAGACTTTTGGGTGGAGTGTGGCCAACATGGACAAAGCTGTCCACTGTGTCTCTGGGCATGGCCACTGTAGCAGAGATTGCCAGGGCTTCCTGACTGCCCTAGTGCATCAACCTACCTTCAGATGATTATTCCTCACCAAAGAACAGCCAATGGAAGAATGAGTACACAGAATGTGGATCCTGTACCGAGGTATTTCCTGGTGCTATTTAAGTCTTGGCAAAAGATACTCTTCTTCCTACTCCCTCTGGGCTGATGTCACAGGCTAGCCAACTCAACCTGGTAGCAGGAGATTCCCTGTCTCCTGTCAGGACAGCCAGCTACCCCTTGCATGACAGAAAATGCTTTGTCTCCAATTCCATTCCCAGCCCCACCCCAAGGAAATGGTAGCCAAGACAACTCCAGGTATTCTGAGCAGAACACAGGAAGGAGTCAATGGGAGGGGACCTCCATGTTGATTCATGAAGGCCTCGGGTCCTGACCTCTCTGATGGACTCCACTGCCCCAGTCTAATTAGACATTTAAGAACCTTCTCTGCAGCTGCTGCCTTAGCCCCAAGATACCCAACCAGACTTCCCAGTTCACTGCTTCTATGGCACCTCTGCCAGTGCCTCCATCTCCTCTATGCAGTTTCTACCTCATGCAACAGCCATGGGAAGAGATCGGCTGCCTGGGCAATGACCAGAACAGAAGACACAGATGCGCTAACAGATTCCTTCGATGACAGTTTCATCAGTTCTGCAGATTAAAGACTTTCACCAGAAAAAAAAATTACCTGATTTTGCCCTGAGGCAGCCAGGGAGGGCTTTGTCCTTGACAATCCCACTGACTTATTTAACAGGTAGCTCAAAACCCAACAGAAACTGGAGGAGGCTGCTCCACTGCAGGGATGGTTTCAATTCGGTAACTGGAGTATTGTACTCTCCTTGCACCCTGGCTCATCCCCACAAAAGACCTTTCAAAGAAAACACTTAATTACCTCCTTGCACAAGCCCTGTAAGCCCTAAGGTGAAAAGAAACTCAGCAGACAAGGTCCACAGAGAAGGAGAAGGCACAATTCAGTAGGGACCTACGCTCAGCACCAGGATAAAGAAACTGTCCATTCCTGCCACCTCCTAGGAAGCTAAAAGAATTAAGGGGAGGCCGGGCACGGTGGCTCACGCCTGTAATCCCAGCACTTTGGGAGGCCGAGGCGGGTGGATCATGAGGTCAGGAGATCGAGACCATCCTGGCTAACAAGGTGAAACCCCGTCTCTACTAAAAATACAAAAAATTAGCCGGGCGCGGTGGCGGGCGCCTGTAGTCCCAGCTACTCGGGAGGCTGAGGCAGGAGAATGGCGTGAACCCGGGAAGCGGAGCTTGCAGTGAGCCGAGATTGCGCCACTGCAGTCCGCAGTCCGGCCTGGGCGACAGAGCGAGACTCCGTCTCAAAAAAAAAAAAAAAAAAAAAGAATTAAGGGGAGTGTAGAAAAGAGAAAAAAAGGCCGGGCGCAGTGGCTCACGCCTGTACTCCCAACACTTTGGGAAGCCGAGGCAGGCGGATCACTTGAGGTCAGGAGTTTGAGACCAGCCTGGCCAACGTGGTGAAACACTGTCTCTACTGGAAATGCAAAAAAATAGCTGGGCATGGTGGCGCGTGCCTGTAATCCCTGCTACTTGGGAGCCTGAGGCAGGAGAATCGCTGAAACCCGGGAGGTGGAGGTTGCAGTGAGCCAAGATCGCGCCAGTGCACTCCAGCCTGGGAGACAGAGTGAGACTCCACCTCAAAAAAAATTAAAAGCTCACGCTCAAACTTCCACCCCTATTGTTTGGAAGCATGATTTGGCTTGTAGCATGAATTTTTAAAATAGTAGACACCCACAATCAAATGTAAGAGTGGGACAAAACAGATTACCCCACAACAAATCTAGGTGGCTTTTGGACTGTCCACACTGCTGTTCATTCCCTTTCTATAGGTCATGGAGAGTTTCCTATTTGCCAAAATACTTTTTGTAGCAATGGCATGCAAATCCAATGCACTCCTTGTTTGTAATAAACTCGAATTATATACTACCTCACACCTCTTCTAGTCTTAAAAAAAAAAAAAACTTCTATTCTCCACTTTTCAGATCATTCTTAAACATGTCCTAAATTCTTCAGCGCTGCAGGAAATGTCTGCCTCAAAGACCAGATTTACCCAATTCTTTAGGGTTCAATTCTGTCCCTAAGCAGTTCCGTAACCTCAGACAAATCATTCAACTCTACTGGGACTCAATCTCCTTGTGTTCACATTCAGTGAGGGAGTAGGATTAAATGCTAAGGTCCCTTCCAGCTCTAACCTTTTATGATTCTGTAACTATACAGATACAGTCAACCCCCATATCTGCGGAGGGATTGGTTCCAGTCCTCCCTTCAGATACCAAAATCCATGGATGCTCAAATCTGATATAAAATGGCATAGTGTTTGCATATAACCTATACGTATCTTCCCATATACTTTAAATCATTTCTAGATTACTCATAATACCTAATACAAAGTAAATGCTACACATAAACACTTTTTTTGTTTGTTTTTGAGATGAAGTCTCGCTCTGTTGCCCAGGCTGTAGTGCAGTGGCAAGATCTCGGCTCACTGCAACCTCCGCCTTCTGGGTTCAAGCAATTCTCCCTGCCTCAGCCTCCCAAGTAGCTGGGATTACAGGCACCTGCCACCTCGCCCAGCAAATGTTTGTATTTTTAGTAGAGACGGGGTTTCGCAATGTTGGCCAGGCTGGTCTTGAACTCCTGACCTCAGGTGATCTGTCTGCCTTGGCCTCCCAAAGTGCTGGGATTACAGGTGTGAGCGAACCACCATGCCCAGCTGCCCCCAAATATTTCCAATCCATGGTTGGATTGGATCAGCAATGTGAAACCCACAGGTATGAAGAGCAAACTTCTTTGGTAAGTGTAAATGAAATGTTTATAAAGCACTTAGCACAATACCCGGCTCATGGAAGTACTCAATAAATATTTGTTGAATGAATGACCTGGAGGGATGCAGAAGTGGAAAGCCTGGCCAGATGTCTATCTGTCCTACAAATACCAGCAAGGACACTCCTGCCAATGTGGTAACACTAAATAAGTGTCTGCTGTTATCATTCTTCCTGATTCATAAAGAGAGAAATACAAACTGTTATTAAAATCATGGCACTTAGGAGCTAGAAGTCGTTTTTGAAAACAAGCCCAACCAGAAATCAGCCCAACCGTGTAAACAGAAAGCTCCTAGACGCACAGATACAGATTTGGGTGAACAAAGTCTGAGGCTAGGGCCTCTCTCCATTAGCTAATGGGGTATGGGATGCCAGGAAAATTACATATGTAGTAAGTGGGCCGCAACTGAACACACAGACTTTTCTTTTTTTTTTTTTTTGAGATGGAGTTTCACTCTTGTTGCCCAGGCTGGAGTGCAATGGCACAATCTGGGCTCACCACAACCTCCGCCTCCTGGGTTCAAGCAATTCTCCTGCCTCAGCCTCCTGAGTGGCTGGGATTCCAGGCATGTGCCACCACGCCTGGCTAATTTTGTATTTTTTTAGTAGAGACCGGGTTTCTCCATGTTGGTCAGGCTGGTCTCAAACTCCCGACCTCAGGTGATGTGCTTGCCTCAGCCTCCCAAAGTGCTGGGATTGCAGGCGTGAGCCACCGCACCTGGCCCAGACTTTTCATCTCAAGAAATAGAAGTAAAGCAAAATTCAAAAAGATGTGTGTAGGGGAGAAGGGGCTAATCTCAGTGAACGGGAGGAAACAGAGCAAAGCGCAGCTTTACTACCACCCCAAGCACAAGCCCGAGTACTCTGATCCTTCAGTAATAGTCACAGGCCATACTGGTCATCTGCCACCAGACTGGAGGAGATTGCTGGCCACAACACTCCCCTCTTCCCATGGCTTTAAGTCACATCTGTTTCCCAATGGGAAAGTCGACTGAGGGGACAGGGAAGGACAGACGGCAAAGCCATCAGAAGTCAGGTGAACTGAGATCAAAGTCGTGGCGAATGTCATCTGGACAAAGACGCTGCTCTCAGGATGTTTGCAATCTCAAGTAGGAGATACCCAACATCAATAAAGAGTAGCATTTTATTCATGTGCAGACCTCCCTTCTGGGCTAACACGCTGAGAAGAAAAAGAGTAACAACTTTATTTTGGGGCTGCTTATCTTTTGATGACGGGCCCACACAACCAGAGTTCGGCTTTTTCAACCAGAGAAAGCTTACTGAAGTGGGGATGAGGGGCCGCGAAGAGGATCGGACCGCAGGACTGGAAGCTGCAGTTTAAAAAACCGGGAAAAGGCCGGAGGCAGTGGCTCATGCCTGTACTCCCTGCACTTTGGAAGGCCGAGGCGGGCGGATCAAGAGATCAAGACCATCCTGGCTAACATGGTGAAACCCCGTCACTACTAAAACTACAAAAATTAGCTGGGCGTGGTGGCGCGCGCCTGTAAGTCCCAGCTGCGCGGGAGGCTGAGGCAGGAGAATCGCTTGATGCCGGGAGGCGGAGGTTGCAGTGAACAGAGATCGCTCCACTGCACTCCAGCCTGGCGACAGAGCGAGACTCCTCAAAAACAAAACAAAAAAACCGGGAAAAGGTTTTATTTCTCAATGACAGCCGCGAGGTGAAACTGCGATGGACTGGAAGTCAAAAACCGTGGGTTCCAGTTTGGGCTCTATCTTAACTATCTTGATCATTTTGGACAAGTCAAACCCTGTCTCTGAATCTGAGGTTCCATATCTGTGAAACAGACGAGTTGGGTCGCTTGACCTCCTTCCCTCCTGCTCTGAGCGTAACGATTGCTCGGAAGGTGCGCTCGGGCTGAGGAGGGCACGGCCCCGCAGGGCGGGGCGAGGAGAGAGCAGGAACCCGCACTCAAGACAAGGCCCCAGGGCAGTGCCCTACCCAGAAAAAGGGACTAGGATGGGGAGCAAGGGCCGAGGCTTCGCCCTTACCTGCCGCCTGCCGACTCCCCAGTCAGCCAAACCGAGCCCCGTAGCCTCTGCCGCCGCTCACTGCCACCCCCTCCGACTCGGCGCCCCGGCCGGGCCCGGCTCAATCCAAACCACCATGGCCCGCCGCCCGCAGCGCCAGGCAGCGGACCCGGACCCGCCGCCAGCCCATCCTCAACCACACGCGCAGGCGCCAGCGTGGACCTCTGAAGTTCCGCCCCCGGATTTGTCCCGGGGTAACCTGGGAAATGGAGTTTACTCGCAAGGATAAAGAGTACCAATTGACACGTGTCTTACTGCGGAACTGTGCCTGGGTTTGGCCAATGAGAAATCGACTTCGTTTTCATCCTGGTTTTGGGACAGCGGCAATCATGGCGCCACCTGTGAGATACTGCATCCCCGGTAAGTGAGCGCTTCCCGTACAGAGTCCTGGATAGGGGCTGAAGCAAGAAGGCTAAACGGCCTACAGCTTCTGGGGGCCCGTGACCGATGCAGCATTTTTTCTGCAGGCGAACGTCTGTGTAACTTGGAGGAGGGCAGCCCGGGCAGCGGCACCTACACCCGCCACGGCTACATCTTTTCGTCGCTTGCCGGCTGTCTGATGAAGAGCAGCGAGAATGGCGCGGTAAAGGAAGCGGCATGCCATCTCCCCTCTGTTTTTCCCTTAGGCTGCCCTTGAGTTCCAGTCCTTAGGCATGGGCACTGCGGACGCGTCTTTAGTGCCTCAGTGGTACAATGTTGGTCTCTTAGTTTCTTCTAGCCGTATCGCCGCTGTGGTGCACTTAGCCACCACACACTAGTTGTGTTGATCTCGCTTGGTTGTGCTGCTGACCCTCGGGGAGGGAAGTTGGGACAAAAGCAGATGCGAACTCAGTATCCCATCCCAGCCCAGCTCAGCCCAGCAGTGAGTTGCATACTGTATGAATGTTGCTTACCTTTCCGACTTTATCTAGCGCCACTATCTCCACCTCACTGACGCAATCTAGTCATACTGTCTTTTCTGTGTTTAAAAGTTATAATCACAGTCTCTGCTTGCCCTTTAAAAATTTTTTATAACATACTAGCTTCTTTCAGTGTCGGTAATGCGCCAAGCTTTCTCCTGCTACAGAGCCTTTGTAACATGCCATCTATCTGGAACGCTTCTATCTTCCTAGGCCTATTTAATTCCTACCTCCTTTAGATAGCTTCTCTACTATCACCTCAGAGAAGTCCTTCTGGACCCACTAATTGAGGAAAGGAGTTTTGTGGGGTGTTTTGTTTTTGTTTGTTTTGTTAAAGACTCACAAAAAACTCTGTTCCTTTTCTTCCAAGCACTATGTCAGCATATGATGAGACACTCAGGTATATGTTTCCTACTAGACTTCTCCCCTGCTTAAATCTAAGTCCGTGAAAGCAGGCCCTACCACCATACCATCCGTATATAGCACAAGGCAGCTCCTCAATAAATGTTGAATGTGTGAGTAATACCTACCTTTCTAGTTTCAGAGATAGATCCAGGATTAGCTCAGGATCATATAAGCAATATTTGAAGGAGCACAATAGAAAGAGGATTCAGAATTAGAACAGTTACGTTCTGGCTAACTTGACTTTGATTCTGCTTTGAGTAAGTAACTTAAGCTGTCTGATTCAAGGGGCTTTCTATTCAGTCATTGTTGGGAATGTTCTTAACAGTCCTGAGTTTGTTCATTTCATAGATATCACTTGAGTATTTTCATGTGTCAGGCACAGCGCTGACTTGGTTTCTGCTATCAAAGGACACAGACACAAATTGTAAACAAATAAATGCTCAAATGAGCATATGGTTACATATGTGGTGGTGCTTTGAAAGAATATTACAGGGCACCTTGAGAACATGTAACAGGCAAACCCATCCTAGTCAGCAGAAGTGACATTTAAGCTGAATCATCTAAAGAGTAGGTAAGAGTCAGGTGGGTGGAGAGAGTGCAGCTCTGGCAGAAAGAATAGGTTGAAGAGAGATCTGAAAGTGGGAAGAATTTAGTAAGTTGGGGAAACTGAAAGAAGGCCAGGAGAGCTGAAGCATTGTGAGCAACGGAGAGATTGATAAAAGATGAGGCTCAAAATATCTGTCTTATACCAACAGCCAATACCATGCTCAAAGAGAAAACTCTGCAAGTATTCACTTAAAATAGAAGAAAACAAGCATAGCCGCTATTATGTAACATTTTTGTGGAAATTTCAGCCTGTGCAATAAAATAAGAAACAGAAGGAAGCAGTATAACTTTGGAGGAAAGAGTAAATTGTCGGCAGGGCGCAGTGGCTCACACCTGTAATCCCAGCACTTTGGGAAGCCAAGGCAGGTGGATCACCTGAGGTCAGGAGTTCGAGACCAGCCTGGCCAACATGGTGAAACCCCATCTCTACTAAAAATACAAAAAATTACCCGAGCATGGTGACAGGCTTCTGTAATCCCAGCTACTCGGGAGGCTGAGGCAGGAGAATCACTTGAACCCAGGAGGTGGAGGTTGCAGTGAACCAAGATGGCACCCTTGCACTCCATCCTAGGCAACAAGAGTGAAACTCCATTTCAAAAAAAAACAAAAAAAGTAAAATTGTCAATGATTATAGGCAATATAGTTGTATACCAAGAAATTCTGAGAGAATCACCAAAAAACTTATTAGAAGTTTAGAGATTTACTACAAAAAAAAGTAGCTGGGCATGGTGGCGGGTGCCTGTAGTCCCAGCTACTCGGGAGGCTGAGGCAGGAGAATGGCGTGAACCCGGGAAGTGGACCTTGCAGTGAGCCGAGATCGTGCCACTGCACTCCAGTCTAGGCGACAGAGCAAGACTCCGTCTCCAACAACAAAAAAAGAAGTTTAGAGATGTATGTCTTCTAGCAGCATTCTGTAGCCTCCTGGTCCTCCTATTTCCTAAAATTTCTAAGGCCTTCTGCTCTGGGCTATAAATGAATCCATACTCCAACTCTCACCTTTATACCAAGACATTCCTATATTACTCTCAAGCCACAAATGCCTTGACCCAAGGGTTAGTCAGGACATTTCAGTTTTTTGTTGTTCCCTCTGTAGCTTCCAGTGGTGTCTGTAGTGAGAGAAACAGAGTCCCAGTTACTGCCAGATGTGGGAGCTATTGTAACCTGTAAGGTAAGTTGGTCCTGACCTCCATGCTTAGAATGCCCATTCAATACTGAAATCATGACCATACCAGAACTGCAGTGTCCAGTATGATAGCCACAAGCTACATAAATTTATTTCTGGCAGGGCACAGTGGCTCACACTGGTAATTCTAGCACTTTAAGAGGCCGAGGCAGGAGGATTGCTTCAGCCCAGAGTTCAAGACCAGCCTGGGAAACATAGTGAAACCTCATCTCTACAAAAAGAATCAAAAATTGCCGGGCATGGTGGCTCATGCTTGTAATCCCAGCACTTTGGGAGGCCGAGGTGGGCAGATCACCTGTGGTCAGGAGTTCAAGACCAGCCTGGCCAATCATGGCCAACATGGTGAAACCCTGTCTCTACCAAAAATACAAAAATTAGCTTAGCGTGGTGGTGCATGCCTGTAATCCCAGCTACTCGGGAGGCTGAGGCAGGAGAAGTGCTTGAACCCAGGAGGTGGAGGTTGCAGTGAGCCTGCGTCACAGCAGTCCAGCCTGGGCAACAGAGTGAGACTCCGTCTCAAAAAAAAAGAAGAAGAAGAATAAAAAATTAGCCAGGCATGGTAGCACATGCTTGTGGTCCCAACTACTTGGGAGGCTGAAGCAGGAAGATCGCTTGGGCCCAGGGGGTTGAGGCTGCAGTGAGCCATGATCACTCCAGCTTGGGTAACAGGGCAAGACTCTGTCTCTCAAGAAAAAAATAAAATTGATTTCCTTAGTCACATTAGCCACATTTCAAGTACTCAATAGCCACTTGTGGCTAGTGGTTGCTATACTGGTCAGCACATGACTTTTCTGTCATCACAGAAAGTTTTACTGGACTGTGCAGGCTTACAGATTTCTAGGATAATAATCAAGGCAGCCAAGTTCAGGCATGCATAGTTCCTTCACTGAGCTGATTCCCTGAATACATAGTTCTACCTGTGTCTGGGAAACAGGGATGCCAGAGGATGATTAGGAGGCCTATTTTTGAACATCTGAAGCTGAGTTCTTTTTCTGCAGAGAAGCAAAAGACTTTATTTTTTGCCATTCCTGTTTTTTTTTTTTTGAGACAGGGCCTTGCTCTGTCACCCAGGCTGGAGTGCAGTGGCACGATCTCGGCTCACTGCAGCCTCTGGCCTCTTGGGTTCAAGCAATTCTACTGCCTCTGCCTCCCGAGTAGCTGGGATTATAGGCATGTGCTGCCACGCCTGGCTAATTTTTGTATTTTTAGTACAGGTGGGGTTTTACCATGTTGGCCAGGCTGGTCCTGAACTCCTGACCTCAAGTGATGCGCCCACCTCAGCCTCCCAAAGTGCTGGGATTACAGGCATGAGCCACTGTGTCCAGCCTCTTTTTTTTTTTTTTTTTTAATTGTTAGCCATCTATACTTTAAAAAGTCTATACCTCTCTGAAGGGCAAGTTGTGAAAAGATTTAAAAAAAAAAAAAAAAACCCAGCCGGATGCAGTGGCTTACACCTGTAATCCCAGCACTTTGGGAGGCTGAAGCAGGCGAATCACCTGAGATCAGGAGTTCGAGACCAGCCTGACCAACATGGAGAAACCCTGTCTCTACTAGAAATACAAAATTAGCTGGGCATGGTGGTGCATGCCTGTAATCCCAGCTATTCAGGAGGCTAAGGCAGGAGAATTATTTGAACCCAGGAGGCGGAGGTTGCGGTGAGCCAAGATCGCGCCATTGCACTCCAGCCTGGGCAACAAGAGTGAAACTCCGTCTCAAAAAAAAAAAAAAAAAAAAACCCATACCACCTTTGTTTCCCATAGTAACTCTACCAGGTGGCCAGAGTGGCTCTTATTCCTCTTTACATGTGTCACTTACGCAGAGAGAAGTAGGAGTTAATTTGTCTTAAATTCTCTACTTAGTAGGGTTGCTTGCACTGAAGCCCTAGTAATCCCCAGTTTATTGCTGCCTCCTTGAGCTGACAACTGCTTATACTCTGATGCTGATCTTTTCTCTATTCCGCAGGTCTCTAGCATCAATTCACGCTTTGCCAAAGTACACATCCTGTATGTGGGGTCCATGCCTCTTAAGAACTCTTTTCGAGGAACTATCCGGTAAGAAGTATCCTTTTCACATATACCTTAGCAACTGGAATAAGATTAGGATAGACTAGGACACCAGAATTTTGAGCAACAGTTACAATTCCTATTTTTCTTTTGCCCGTTTTTCTTTCTTCTTTGTGCTTTGATTCTCCCCTAGTAGTATCCAAAAAATACATGGATGATCTAGGACAAAAGGAAAATATTAACGAGAGGGTTTAAAAGTAAAGCAAAGGCTGGGCGCGGTGGCTCACGCCTGTTATCCTAGCACTTTGAGAAGCTGAGGCGGGTGGATCTCTTGAGATCAGGAGTTTGAGACCAGCCTAGCCAACATGGTGAAACCCCATCTCTGTAAAAAATACAAAAATTAGCCAGGCACAGTGGCTCACACCTGTAATCCTATCACTTTGGGAGGCTGAGGTGGGTGGATCACAAAGTCAGGGGTTTGAGACCAGCCTGGCCAGTGTGGTGAAACCCTGTCTCTACTAAAAATACAAAAACTAGCCGGACATGTTGGCGTGTGCCTGTAATCCCAGCTGCTCAGGAGGCTGAAGCCAAAGAATCGCTTGAACCCAGGAGGCAGAGGTTGCAGTGAGCCAAGATTGCGCCATTGCACTCCAGCCTGGGGGACAGAGCGAGACTCTGTCTTTAAAAAAAAAAAAAAAAAAAATTAGCTGGGCATGGTGGTGCGTGCCTGTACTCCCAGCTACTTGTGGAGCTGAAGCAGGAAGATCACTTGAGCCTAGGAGGCAGAGGTTGCAGTGAGCTGAGATTGCACCACTGCACTCTAGCCTGGGCAACAGAGTGAGACCCTGTCTCAAAAAACAAATAAATAAATAAAAGGTAAAGCAAAAAGAATTGAGTGAAGCTGAAGTTTAGCAGTGTCAGGATGACTCAAACCAAAGTAGAAGGCAGGCTGGGCGTGGTGGCTCATGCCTGTAATCCCAGCACTTTGGGAGGCCGAGG
This sequence comes from Homo sapiens, assembly GCF_000001405.40. Lineage (NCBI taxonomy): Eukaryota > Metazoa > Chordata > Mammalia > Primates > Hominidae > Homo > Homo sapiens. The sequence goes on along the minus strand of NC_000010.11, from coordinate 97,440,219 downwards.
CGGGCGGATCACCTGAGGTCGGGAGTTCGAGACCAGCCTGACCAACATGGAGAAACACCGTCTCTACTAAAAATACAAAATTAGCCAGGCGTGGTGGCACATGCCTATAATCCCAGCTACTAGGGAGGCTGAGGCAGGAGAATCACTTGAACCTGGGAGGCGGAGCTTGCGGTGAGCCAAGATCGTGCCATTGTACTCCAGCCTGGGCAACAAGAGTGAAACTCCGTCTCAAAAAAAAAAAAAAAAAAAGTAGAAGGCATTTTAGGAAGCACTTTAAAATTTAATATAGATTGAACTCAGAGGTTATAAAACATTGAAAAGATTTGTGGGTGAGATGGTGATTTCGTGTGGCTTCCTTGAGAAAGGACAAACATTTCTTGCCAGGCAGATAATCTAACTTTTGAGGCCCTTTCCAGCCTCAGGATTTGATGTGGTTCTGTAGTGCAGCAGTCCCCAACCTTTTTGGCACCAGGGACCAGTTTCTTGGAAGACAGTTTTTCCACAGACCATGGAGGGGGTGGTTGCAGAATGATTCAAGTGCATTACATTTATGGTGCACTTTATTTCTGTTATTATTACACTGTAATATATAATGAAATAATTATACAGCTCACCATAATATAGAATCAGCGGGAGCCCTGAGTTTGTTTCCCTGCAATTCGATGGTCCCATCTGGGGGTGATGGGAGACAGTGACAGATCATCAGGCATTAGATTCTCATAAGGAGTGGGCAGCCTAGCTCCCTCATATGTGCAGTTCACAATAGGGTTCATACTTCTATGAGAATCTAATGCCCACTTCGATCTGACAGGAGGCGGAGCTCAGGCAGTAATGTATGCGATTGGGAAGCAGCTGTAAATACAGATGAAGCTTGCCTGCCACTCACTTCCTTCTATGCAGCCCGGTTCCTCACAGGCCACCAGAAGTTGGGGGCCCTTGCTATAGTGCTTCTGTTCAAGCCCTGAGGCAACGAAATTCCTTATCCTTTCTTGCCAAATCCGATCTGCCTTTATCTAATCAGAGGTATTGATACTGCCTCTCCATGTGGTCTGAGGATGCTTCTCCACCCTGCTCCTCTGGGTAGCAGCTGTGTCCCATTTACAACTTGTTCTGTCTGTTCTTGTAGCTCTTTATTTACTAGGAATCTACAGAATAATTCTTTCTCACAGGCTGGGCAAGGTGACTCATGCCTGTAATCCCAGCACTTTGGGAAGCTGAGGCGGGTGGATCACCTGAGGTCAGGAGTTCAAGACCAGCCTGGCCAACATGGTGAAACCCCATCTCTACTAAAAATACAAAAAACTAGCTGGGCATGGCGGACGTGCCTGTAATTCCAGCTGCTTGAGAGGCTGAGGCACGAGAATTGCTTGAACCCAGGAGGCGGAGGTTGCAGTGAGCAAAATTGCGCCACTGTACTCCAGCCTGGGTGACAGAGGGAGACTCTGTCTCAAAAAAAAAAAAAAAAAAAATTCTTTCTCACAGGTAATTAATCTTTCTGTTAATTCTTTTTTTATAGCAAGGAAGATGTCCGAGCAACTGAAAAAGACAAGGTTGTTGGTTGGTTCTTTTTTTTTAATGGCTTTACGTATCTCAATCCCTTAAAAGTATTATCTCAGGCCAGGCATGGTCACACACACCCGTAATCCCAGTACTTTGGGAGGCTGAGGCGGGAGGATCACTTGAGTCCAGGACTTCAAGACCAGCCCTGGCAACATAGCGAGACCCTGTCTCTACAAAAATTTTAAAAATTCAAAAATTGGCCAGGCATGGTAGCTCATGCCTGTAGTCCCAGCTGCTTGAGAGGATGTGGCTGGAGGATTGCTTGAGCCCAGGAGTTTGAGGTTAAGTGGTGGCACGCACCTGTAGTCCTAGCTACTTGGGAGGCTGAGGCAGGAGGATCCCTTGGTCCAGCAGTCCAAGGCTGCAGTGAGCTACCATTGCATCACTGCACTCCAGCCTGGGTGACACAGTGGGATCCCACCTCTTAAAAAAAAAGAAAAAAGGGCCGGGTGCAGTGGATCACACCTGTAATCCCAGCTCTTTGGGAGGCCAAGGTGGGCGGATCACAAGGTCAGGAGTTCAAGACCAGCCTGACCAACATGGTGAAACCCCGTCTCTACTAAAAATATAAAAACTAGCCTGTGTCGTGCCATGCACCTATAATCCCAGCTACTCAGGAGGCTGAGGCAGGAGAATCGCTTGAACCCGGGAGGCAGAGGTTGCAGTGAGCCGAGATCGCACCACTGCACTCCAGTGTGGGCGACAGAGCGAGACTCCATCTCAAAAAAAAAAAATTTTCATTTGTATGATAATACTGTAGAAGCAATTAAAAGTTCTTGACTTGACATGAGTAATGATGATTTCTACCCTCCAGGATTAGAAAGTAGATTGGCTTTACCAGAAGCGTTCACAGTTTCATATAGACCCAGTCTAGAGCTTTCACTTAACATTCCTGTTCTTTCTTTACAGGTTGAAATTTATAAGAGTTTCCGCCCAGGTGACATTGTCTTGGCCAAAGTGGTATCCTTTATTCCCAGCAGACTTCTGGTCCTTTGTCAAAAGAAGAGAAGGAGGCCGGGTGTGGTGGCTCATGCCTGTAATCCCAGCACTTTCGGAGGCCAGGGCGGGTGGATCACCTGAGGTCAGGAGTTCGAGACCAGCCTGGACAACATGGTGAAACCCTGTCTCTACTAAAAATACAAAAATTAGCTGGGCGTGGTGGCACATGCCTGTAATCCCAGCTATTCGGGAAGCTGAGGCAGGAGAACCGCTTGAACCTGTGAGGCAGAGGTTGTGAACTGATATCACGCCACCGCACTCCAGCCTGGTTAACGGAGCAAGACTCCATCTCAGAAAAAAAAAAAGGTAGAAAAACAACTCAGGTGGCTAAGGTGGGGGAAGACTTCTAACTCCTCATTTTCCTTCACCGGTGTTATGTGACTAGATCTCCTTAGGTGATGCACAGTCCAACTACCTGCTAACCACCGCCGAGAACGAGCTGGGAGTGGTGGTAGCCCACAGTGAGTCAGGTGAGATGGCCTTGTTTCCACATCCTTACTTTCCCTGGATCTATGGTTTGGGATAAATCCATTGTTTTTCCTGGTTTCCCTTATCTGGGAAGCAGTATGGCTATAGATATTTCCCTCTGAGATTAGAATGATTATTTTTTTCTTTTTTGCTTGGTGCTGGTGGTGGTGGTTGTTTGAGACAGGGTCTCACTTTGTCGAGGAGGCTGGAGTGCAGTGGTGCCATCTCCACTCACCACAGCCTCCACCTCCTTGGTTCAAGCAATTCTTGTCACCCAAGTAGCTGGGATTACAGACACACGCCACCACACCTAGCTAATTTTTGTATTTTTAGTAGAGACAGGGTTTCGCCATGTTGGCCAGGCTGGTCTCAAACTCCTGGCCTCAAATGATCTGCCCGCCTTGGCCTCCCAAAGTGCTGGGATTACAGGTGTGAGCCACCACGCCCAGCCTGATTCTCCTTATATAAATCCAAGGAAACGGGACTCACTTCATAAGTCAGTAGAATGAACAAAGTTTTTTCTTTATGAGTTGAGGTTCAGTAGGAAGCTTGGTGGCACTTCAGCTTCATACCCAGCATAAAAGAGGAGTCGCAGGCAAATCTTTGGGGTCTGGGCTCCACCACCAGCTTTTCCCTTCCAGGTATCCAGATGGTTCCCATCAGCTGGTGTGAGATGCAGTGCCCTAAGACCCACACTAAAGAATTCCGGAAAGTAGCCCGAGTACAACCCGAATTCTTGCAGACCTAAGAAGCCACTTTTTACCCTATGGAAGGGGGTAAGCTGTTCCTGAGTATAACACCAAGATGCTGCTGTCTTTATTCAAACACCTGGCGTCGGCCAACAGCCACTTCCAGAAAAATCTTCCAGTTTACGCTGTAGATGGAACATGTTTCTGTGAACCTATCAGTGGATTTCATTCTCTTGAGTAATAAATCTTATCTTTTCAAGGCACCAACAAACAAAACTGTGATATTGGAAATAGCCTATCCCTCCTGACAGTCCTTATAAATACATATTTTTTGCTATGATAAAACTTTTTTACTAAAAGGATGTTATAGAGTCTGTTGTCTTAAGCAGAGAAAGACATCTAAATGGTGTCAGGACATTTCAGTACTTCTGCTTATTGAGTACTTACTGTGCTAGGCACTGAGTCAGGTGCTTTACATACGTCCCCTTCATTTAGGTACATTGTGATTTAATGAAAATTTGAGGACACGTGGTGATACAGATAGCATGTGAGGCAGGCATGGTGGCTCATGTTTGTAAATCCCAGCACTTTGGGAGGCCGAGTTGGGTTGAAGTCAGGAGTTTGAGACCAGCCTGGCCAACATGGTGAAACCCCATCTCTACTAAAAATACAAAAATTAGCCGGGCGTGGTGGCACATGCCTGTAATCCCAACTACTCAGGAAGCTGAGGCAGGAAGATCGCTTGAACCCTGGAGGCAGAGGTTGTAGTGAACCGAGATTGCACCACTGCACTCCAGCCTGGACAACAGAGCGAGACTCTGTCTCAAAATAAATAAATAAATAACATGTCTAAAAGTATTTGATACACATCACTGATATAGTGGGTACTCCAGGAAATGTTAAATCTGAATTGAAAAGTGGGACAGAGTACTGTCATATGAGGTGGCCAGGAAAGGATTAGTGACGTGAGATCAAAATAAATTAAAGAACATAAAAGTAAGTGAAGATATTCAAGGCAGAGAGACAAGCCCAGGCTAAATGCAGAAGCAGAAATGAAGGCGTAAGTTTGGGGATGAGGAAGGGATGAGAGTTAAGCATGGAGAGGTTGCCGACGAAATATGAGTCTGAGATGTCACTTCTTGAGATGTTATTCAGGAAGCCTGTGTCTTCAGTATTTAGTGACCGTGCGTAATGTGAGCTTTAGAATCAGCCCACCTTAGTTTCTATCCTCTACTTCCTAACCTTGAATATTAGGGTTTCTATAGTTGAAAATTTTAGAGATTGAGATCATTGTAGATCCACATCCAGGTTTTTGTTTTTATTCTTGTTTTTTTTTGAGACAGAGTCTCGCTGTCACCTAGGCTGGAGTGCAGTGGCGCGATCTCAACTCACTGCAGCCTCCACACCTTCCCAGTAGCTGGGACTACAGGCATGCGCCACCACGCCCAGCTAACCTTTGGTAGAGATGAGGTTTCACCATGTCGGCCAGGCTGGTCTTGAACTCCTGACCTCAGGTGATCCACTTGCCTTGGCCTCCCAAAGTGCTGGCCTCCCAAAGTGCTGGGCTTATAGGCATCAGCCACCATGCCTGGCCTTGGGTTTTTTGTTTTGTACATGCAATTTTTGAAGAGACAGGGCCTCAAAATGTCACCCAGGATGGAGTGCAGTGGTGCAGTCATAGCTCACTGTAGCCTCAAACTCCTGGGCTCAGGTGATTCCCCATCAATCCCCTGAGTAGCTGGGACTACAGGCATGTACCACCATGCCTGGCTAATTTTTCTTGTAGAGACCAGGTCTTGCTATGTTGCCTAGGCCAGTCTCGAATTCCTGGCCTCAAGTGATCCTCCTTCCTCAGCTTCCCAAAGTGCTGGGATTACAGGTGTGTACCACTGTGCTGGCCAAAATTACCAACTTCTGATCTAGAATTCTGCACAGGTTAGGAAAATAACATCCCACCAGGCTCTTGGAGACTGAAATTACTCAAAGTTATTGTGTAGGTCAAATGAAAATCTAAACTTGAAAAGCAAGATGCTTGAAAGTATTTAAATCTTTGGGTAAGAACCTTCATTTGTTTGCACTAGCAATATCCATCCCAGCCCCAGTACCAAGTGGTGTGATATTTGGTGCTTTTTACATGTTTCTTTGGGACTGTTTCCTCTTCTGTAAACAGGAGTTACCAGCCCTTTCATGGGTTAAGATGAGAGCTAACATATGTAATATCCCTCATCCAGTGGGTGGCACAGAGGAGCTTCATTAGGAGCTCAACAGATGGAGGGTGTTACTTGTTCCTACCAGAAGGGAAAGGGAATGTTCTTTCTCCAGCTTTATGGGATTTCTTGTAGTCCAGTGAACTTTTCAAAGGAGAAGGCAATTGTGTTTATAATGTAATTATACTCCTTTCCACTGCACTAAGTCACTTTTTGAGATCATCTTACAAGTTGGTAACAATAAACAGTTAAAAAAAAAAATTCTGAGGCCTGCACGGTGGCTCACACCTGTAATCCCAGCACTTTGGGAGGCCAAAACTGGCTCGAGACCAGCCTGGGCAACTTGGCAAAACCCCGTCTCTACTAAAAATACAGAAATTAAGCAAGCATGGTGGCACATGCCTGTGGTCCCAGCTACTCAGGAGGCTGAGGTGGGAGGCTTGCTTGAACACAGGAGGGGGAGGCTGCAGTGAGCTGAGATCATGCCACTGCACTCAAGCATGGGCGACGGAGCGAGGCTGTCTCAAAAAGAAAAAACAAAAAGCAGACTTTACTTACTCTAAAGAGGATATAATGGAGTTCAGAATGTGACTTTCCAATCAGGGGAGCACCAAGCAAGAGCTGCAGGGGGCAACGTGAATGGAGGGCTTGGCCAGGAGGGCCTCCCACCACCACCTCAGCTCACCAGGCTGACGTGAAAACCCCAAGGAGATGCGTCATTTTTTGACCAACCGTGTAAAGTTGTGACTGGATGTCCTAAAACAAACTGCCACACAAGGACTAGGGCAGTGAGAGACATTTCAAGTTAAATGCTAAAGTTTCCTCAGATAAGGTCTTCCACATCACACAAGAAGCTATTGCACATCACTCCTTTATTATACTGATATGGAAAAAGGATTTAGTACAGTTATGCTCAGATGAACACTGGACCCATGTGGCAGGGTCAAGCAACTAGAACATGATTCAGAAATCAGTGAAAGATACACTTGGACAGGACCAAGAGGCATTTCACTGCCATGAAACAAGGCAGGAAGGGATTCTAATACACACACCAGGAAGCACTCCTGCCCCTCAGAGGTCAAGGAGCTGATCCTATATTGGTATGAGGAATGGCTTATTTTCTGATGACCACATGTGGGACTATTTCAACCGCCACAAGAAACCCCAGAAGGGTTATTGTTTTGTATTATATATACTATACTTTTTTAATAAAAGTAAATTAACACATAACGAAATTCAGGATTGATCCCAACCTAGAGCCAGATCCTCTGGGGTCAGGGAGGAAACAGTTGTCACATCACCACGCAGGTTACATTCGTCTTCCACTGGAATGACTAGAGCCCCCAGGCAGTAGGCAGTGACCTGACTGCAGAAGAGCAGAGGACAGACTCCGCTCATGGGGACAGACAGGCTCTGTTGCTTCTCCTCACTGGTCATGGCTTAGCATGGTTCCTCCCCAAAGTCCTTAGTAAACAAAGCACTCGCAAAAACCCAAGTCACTACTTTTAAACTCTGTTGGATAAGGGGAGCTTTTCCATAGCTTAGACTGAGAACCTGTGCTCTAGAACTGCTATTCTGACTAGATTGTATGAAGGGAGTGGGTGCAGGCGACAAAATGGCTAAAATGAAAATGGGAGCCACTGGTCCCCGTCTGCAGCTACAACTCAAGATGTCTACAGATGTGGTCAGTGTGACATGTGCAGGTGGGAGGGGCAGAGGGACAAGACGGGCAGGGAGGGTGCTCCTGGGGACAGTATCCTCCCCGCCGGCCTTCACTTCTTGGCCTTGCCCTGGGCAGCCACAGCTTCCATGGCTTTGCGCACCGTCTCTTCATCCCCCAGAAACTGCATGGGCTTGATAGGCTTCAAGTTCTTGTCCAATTCATAGACAATGGGAATACCAGTCGGCAGGTTCAGCTCCATGATAGCCTCTTCAGAGAGACCTGAAAACATCCACCATCATCAGCCACACAAGACATAAATCCACATCACCCCTCCAGGTTTACTTTGTCCTCCAGGTGATAAAGGACTTTGACAGAAATTAAAATAAGACACCCTTTCTGATCTTTATAGTAGTTCTGAACCCAGGGAATGGCCCCCACCATACTTATTTCTCAGCCATTAAACTGAAAAGCAAGAAAAGGTATACAAGATAGACCACCAACAAACTACAGCAAGGTATATGGCCAGATATCTCTACCAAAGTGGGATCTAGAAGCCCACAGTGAAGCAAGACTACACATCTCAAATACCCTGTACAGCCCATCCAACCAAAAATCAGCACACGTGGGCCTCTAGGCCCTCGGGGATGAAGATGCAAATTGAGATTCATGTGTAAAGTTGTGCCTGGTTGTGACTAAGGAGAATTTTTTCTTTTATATATATTTGTTTTCCTTTTTTTTTTTTTTAAGAGACAAGGTCTTACTCTCTCACCCAGGCTAGAATGTAGTGGCACAATCATACCTCACTATAACCTCAAACTGCTGGGCTCAAGCGATCTCCCGCCTCAGCCTCCTGAGTAGCTGGGACTACAGATGAGCATCACCACATCAAGCTAATTTTTCATTTTTCTTTTGTACAGACAAGGTCTTGCTTTGTTGCTCAGGCTGGTTTTGAACTCCTGGCCTCCCAAGGTGCTGATAGTACAGGCATGAACCACTGTGCTTGGCCTTTTAAAATTTTGTAGAGATGCAGTCTTACTATGTTGCCCAGGCTGTCTCAAACTCCTGGCCTCAAGTGGTCCTCCTGCCTTGGCCTCCCAAAATGTTGCAATTACAGGCATGAGCCACTGTGCTTGGCAAGCTAAGGAGGATTTTCACTAGCAGTTTCATTTGACAATACCAATCTAGAGGTGAGCTTCTCAATCTTTAATGTGTATCCAAATCACCTGGGGAATAGATGCCGATTCTGAAACAGGTCTGGAGTGAGACCTGAGGTTCTGCATGTATAACAAGCTCCCAGGGGGTCCAGCTGTCACTATTCTGCAGATCACATTTTGAGAAACAAGGGTTGAGGGTGTTTTTTCACTAGAAGTCAATCTAGACCATCTCTAAAGCTGTTAACATGTCCAGCCCTTCCCTAGACTCCTTTTTACCAAGTCCCTGATTTGTGGCAGTTCTGCTTTATCCTTCCTTGAGGGCGCCTCTGAAAAAACATACATACCCTCCAGATGCTTGACAATGCCCCGGAGGCTGTTGCCATGGGCTGCAATCAGTACACGTTTCCCCTCCTTGATCTGGGGAACTATTTCTTCATTCCAGAAGGGCAGAGCTCTGGCAATAGTATCCTTCAGACTCTCACAGGAGGGTAGCTGATCTTCTGTGAGGTCTGCATACCTGCGATCCTAAGCAATAAAGAATCCAAGTTCACCACTTATTAAGAGTTACATCTGTTAAAAGACTTCATGATGTATCGATTTTGGCCCATTCACATTCACAGGGTTTTATAAAATCTGACTATGGAAACACAAAAAAGGAGATAGTAAACTATCAACCATATCTTCTAGTAAGTGAAGGTCATTCACTGGAGAAGGAAGGATTACAATTAACTATTTTATCATGAATTGTAAGTTCAGTGAGATTAGGCAGACACTACTAAAAGCCCCTGATCCTGGGCGGAGTGACCAAACCTCTGTTTGTCCATACCTTACTGATGTTGCTGTAGAAAGGATGGTCGGGCTCCATCGGAGGTGGTGGGACATCATAGGAGCGCCTCCAGATCTTCACCTGGGCCTCACCATGCTTTGCAGCAGTTTCTGCTTTATTGAGACCGGTTAGACCCCCATAGTGCCGCTCATTGAGGCGCCAAGTCCTCACCACTGGCAGCCACATCTGATCAATGGCATCTAGCACTGTCCAGAGGGTCCGGATCGCTCTCTTCTGCACTGAGGTGAAGCAGATGTCAAACTCATAGCCAGCATCTGGAAATCAGAAGTTCAAAGTGATAAGCTAACCAGGTCTACTCTGAGCCAAAATGTTCTTCAGTATCAATCTCCTGTACAAGTAGTCCAAATGACAATATTTGGCCAAAAAAGAAAATATTTGGCCAACTGTTTTGTTTATCCTTGCACTCTATCCAAGGTCACAGCTATTATGTGGGTTAAAACCTAGATTAAAACCCATGCTGTGGGACTCCAGAATCCAACTTTTCACCACCATCTCTAGCTATCCCCATTTTCCTAATTCCCAAGGATCCTGATGTTTGCATTTCAGTTAGAACTGTCACTTTTTCTTTTCTTTTTTTTTTTTTTTTTTTGAGACGGAGTCTCACTGTCACCCAGGCTGGAGTGCAGTGGCGTGGTCTCGGCTCACTGCAACCTCCGCCTCCCGGGTTCAAGCAATTCTTCTCCTCAGCCTCCCAAGTAAGCTGAGGATACAGGCGCACGCCACCATATCCAGCTAATTTTTGTATTTTTAGTAGAGACAAGGTTTCACCATGTTGCCCAGACTGGGAATTGTCACTTATAAAAGATATTTTACTAGAACTCTGAAGTAAGAAAATTAGGATTTAAATCCCAATCAGGACACAGGAAGAGCTCTTCCTGTACTGATAAAACTTCAGTTTGTTGTATGAAATTTTATTTTGTTTTTGTATTTGTTTGCAATTGTATTTGTCCATTGTATGAAATTGTATTCACTGTGGAGTATGGAAATCACATCACAAACTCTAATCCATGGTTTCTCTCTACTGTAGTCACAAAGTTCCAGCCTAATACCAAGTACCCTCAGAGTATACCTACTTAAATGTTAAACCAAGTTTAGGAGAAGCCACTCACTAAAGAAAGACCCAGTGCTGTGCACTATCTGATTCATCAATGAATCTGTCTTCCATACACAGTAGTTATTGTGGCAAGAGTTATGTTGGCCCAATGAATAGGTTCCAAGAAATCAGTCTTGGCCCGGCACGGTGGCTCACGTCTGTAATCCCAGCACTTTGGGAGGCCGAGGTGGGCAGATCACAAGGTCAGGAGATTGAGACCATCGTGGCTAACATGGTGAAACCCCGTCTCTACTAAAAATACAAAAAAATTAGCCGGGCATGGTGGCGGGCGCCTGTAGTCCCAGCTACTCAGGAGGCTGAGGCAGGAGAATGGCGTGAATCCGGGAGGCGGAGCTTGCAGTGAGCTGAGATCGCGCCACTGCACTCCAGTCTGGGCGATAGAGCGAGACTCTGTCGCACGCAAAAAAAAAAAAAAAAAAAAAAAAAGGAATCAGTCTTATTGATTTTGTTTCATTAAAGATTATTCACCCTCCCACCATAATGGGGAGATAGCCCTTTCCTTGATGACCAAGAAAACATTCCTGTTTTTCTCCATTAGGCTAGAAGGCCCTCTTAGAAATTCAGCACAAACTTGCCTGGATATTGCTTCATATTGGGGTTAGCAACAGTAATTAATAAAACATGAAGTGAATTTTTCTGCCAGTCATTCAAATGAGAATGAGGCCAAGAAGAACTCATTCTTACTGAGTGAGGGCTGGGGAGAACTAATCACCAGGAAAACTCACACCACCCACAAGAGAAAAAACAGGTCTCATCACTGAGCCGCCAGACAAGTCCTAGTAGACTCACTCACTGTCGCCTTCCTAACTGTAAGGAAAGGAATGGCTCCCCAACAAAAGGCTGAGACACCCGGAAGTGAATACCCACAGTGCAAGCCTCAGCTGGGGAGCTTCAGGCTGTTTCACTGCAATTATTTCCACTTGCAATGAGGCGGCTCACTTTGGACACATAAATAGGTCCTCAAGGAGAAAAGAAGTTCCGCTTAGGATTCTTAACAGAGAACCTGAAGAATCAGAGAATAAAGCCTCTTCCTTTAACTTGCCCATCAAACTAAAACATAGCCAGGGGCACTCACAGGGGTAGGAGTGGACAGTGTGGTGTGGACTCCATCCTCCCCCAGGCCATCCCTCTCTTAGCAGTAAGGATGCATGGGGAAACTCAGTTCTCACTAGCTTTCTCCAGAAATCAGATTCAAGGCTGTACAAACCCTATCACTTAAAGCACTGAGGAATTATTTATATATATGTATTCGACCTTTTAAACCGTTAAATCTTTTAATTTTCTATACTGTTAAATTTTTAATTTAATGCTAACATTTATTTTAAAACTGAAATAGGATCTGTTATTTTACAGAGATTACAAGTTTAACTATTTGATTAGTCTCAAACAGAGACAACATGGTTTAACGTGGACTAGTCATTGGGAAACTACCACGGACTGATACAGTTCTTCCTGCCACAGAGCTAAAGAAAATGGCCTCCTTTACCAGCACTTTCCATTTCCCAGCCTCTCCTAAAAGATGAGGTCACACCAGGCCATCTCAAACAATCACTCCCCTGCCCACCCCACCCCGCAGAGGTTTACATTTACCAGACTGTCCTGCGTTTTGCTTCATTTGAGAAGGATGGTACAGTGAAGGCAAGAAGCTAGGAGAGCAATCTGAGGCCAAATACCTGTGCCTCATCAATGACCCTTGTGAATGGCTGCTTCTTTGTCCAGAGGTTAGAAGGGAGCAAAGGAGGATCTGCCCCTATCATCAGCGGAAGCACCTCTTCAGTCCAGGGATTCTTGGCCGTGCCGGCAGCAGGGAATGCTTCCTTATTAGCATTCCAACACCACAAAGAGCAGACTGGGGCGGGAGCAAGCCTGGATAGGCAAGCATTATCTCACAGCCACTTCCACCTTTGCCCAGCGTCCTTAGCCAAAAGCCTACCAGTTCCTCACACCTACCTGTTACTTCACCCAGGACTAGGGCGAGGACACTGGACTAGGAATCAGATATGACCTTGGACAAGTCATCTTTCCAAATACTCACTTTTCCCAACTATAAAGGGGCCTTGGAAAGATGAGAAAGATAAAATCTTATCTACTTTATTGGGTAGAAGGAGCAACTCGAATCATTCATTCATTCACTCAAGTTACATCTACAGATGCGTTTTGGACACACTATTTGTGGAATGCTACTGAACAGCAAAGACCTGCACAACCACGCGGATTTCTTGGTGTTCTGAGGCTTGTTAGGCACCCCCAGGGCCTCCACCTACTGCTGGGGACGAGGCTGTGTGGCGTGTCGATCCGCTAGGATCCGTAGCCGCCTCTTGAGAGGCCTTGGTTACAGCTGCTTTAAGGCACAGGGCGTCCTCCAGGAGCACCAGACTGTACCAACCGCTTCTGGCGCTAAGGGAACCTGAAAAAGACCTGGCCGCCATAGATGGTTCCATTAGGGCAAACTGTCCACGACTTATTATTATTATTTTTTTTTTCTGGACAGAGTTTCGCTCTTGTTGCCCAGGCTGGAGTGCAATGGCGCGATCTCGGCTCATTGCAACCTCCGCCTCCCGGGTTCAAGCGATTCTCCTGCTTCAGCCTCCCGAGTAGCTGGGATTACAGGCGTGCGCCACCACGGCCGGCTAATTTTGTATTTTCAATAGAGACGGGGTTTCACCACGTTGATAAGGCTGGTCTCGAACATCCTGACCGCAAGTGATCCACCCGCCTCGGCCTCCCCACATGCTGGGATTACAGGCGTGAGCCACCACGCCCGGCCTGTCCCCGACATATTAAATGTTCAGACTAGAAAGGGAAAACTGCGAAGTGGTGTCGTGGGGAGCGCAAAGGGTTGCGGGGCGACCGCCCTGGGTCCTCCCCCTGGCACAGCCCCTCATGCTCCACGGCGTGACCTTGAACAAGTAGACTCTACCCTCTGCACTCATCTTCTCAACTACACACTAAACTGTTAAGAGAGATGCTGCCCAAGGTGCCGGCCCTCTCCGAGAGGGCGCAGACGCCAGCCAGGCGGCCTCCGAGGCCGGACACCCGGCCCTTCGCAGCCCACACCCGGCCCCTCCGCACCTCGTAGCGCCTGCCCGCCGCGCTTCGCCTCCTCGTGGCCCGCCGGGCTCAGGTCGGCGTCGTACCAGCCGCTGAAGCGGTTCTCCAGGTTCCATGCGCTCTCGCCGTGCCGGATCAGCACCAGTTTGTAGGCGGCCATGGCGGCGGGCTGGGGATGCGGCACCGACTGGGATTAGCAGATTCCGGAGTAGCAGCCCGCCCCGTCGGCCGCGCCTGCGCGCTCGCACCGCTCAGTCCGGCTCCCGCGCAAGTTCTCGCCCAAATCTTTCCACTCGCTCTGGACCGCTCTCCGCCCTCCAGGTGTGCGCATGCGCTGCATCCTGGCGCTGCGGCCCCCGACAGGAGGGGGCGCGCTTCGGCACGGCAGAGCGCATGCGTCCTCCCTCTCCAGTCCCGCGTCGGTCGCCGCAGTCACGGAGCGCACGTAAGCACGCGGAGGGCGGAGGGCGGAGGGCGGAGGGCGGAGGGCGGAGGGCGGAGGGCGGAGGGCGGAGGGCGGAGGGCGGAGGGCGGAGGGCGGCGGGCGGCGGGCGGCGGGTTGTGGGGGCGGCCCCAATTCGCTGGCTGCCGCGCTGCTCCGGAGCAGCTCGGCCAGATTAAGTGGCCCTTATCACTGGAACCGCTCCCATCCCCACGCAGAGATTGATTCACGGACCTGTGTTCGAGTCTTCACTCGTACATTCTACTTGCTTTGTGTCTTTGGGCAGGTCGGGAAACCTCTCAGCCTCATCTGTAAAATGTGATCATAAATACCGGGTACCTGGAAGTGCTCGGTAAATAGTAGTTTTTACTATTACTCTCTCATTTCAGCAGGACACTGATCTTTTTACTCCTAGTTTACACGTAAGGAAACTGCCCGTGACCCTGCTGGTTCCAAAGCCTGCTCTTTTTCCAGCGCGGGGCTCTTTATCCCGTCTCTGTCTACAATCTTTCACACACGTTAAGTCAGTGCTTTCTGGGCCTCCAACAAGAAAGCAAACGCTAGGACCCTTCAAATATTTCAGGAAGGGGCGAGTTCTAGTCACTGCCTGTTCTTCTCCGAGCCCCAATCAGCAATTTATTATTACAATTTTTTTTTTTTTTTTGAGACGGAGCTATCTCCCAGACTGGAGTGCAGTGGTGCGATCTCGGCTCACCGCAACCTCCGCCTCCCGGGTTTAAGCAATTCTGCTGCCTCAGCCTCCCGAGTAGCTGGGATTACAGGCAGCCGCCACCACGCCCGGCTGATTTTTGTACTTTTAGTAGAGACGGGGTTTCACCATGTTGTCCAGGCTGGTATCGAACTCCTGACCACAAGTGATACACCGGCCTCGGCCTCCCAAAGTGCTGGGATTACCAGCGTGAGCCACAGTGCCCGGCCTTCTTTTTCTTTTTTAAACAGAGTTTCCCCCTGTTCCCAAAGCAGAGTGCAGTAGCATGATCATAGCTCACTGCAGCAGCCTTGAAATCCTAGACTCAAGTGATCCTCCTGCTTCAGCCTCTTGAATAGCTGGGACTACAGGCATGCCACCAGGCCTGGCTAATTTTTTTTTTTTTTTTTTTTTTTTCTGTAGAGACAGATCTCACTATGTTGACCGGGCTGGTCTCAAACTCCTGGCCTCAAGCAGTCCTCCTGCAGCAACTTCACAGCAACACTGGAATGACAGGTGTGAGCCACTGTGGCAGGCCAATCTCCTGGTTGATTTCAATCTAGACACTTTAATGAGCACCAAACATGAGCCAGGCAGTGGACTAGACTCAAGGATGGGTTGAATGTGTTTCCTGTCCTTCAAGCAAGCAGAGGGCAAATAAGACCCATGTATTAGTAGCCAACAATAACATTGGGTGGCTCACGCCTGTAATCCCAGCACTTTGGGAGGCCAAGACTGGCGGATCATTTGAGGTCAGGAGTTCGAGACCAGCCTGACCAACATGGTGAAACCTCCACTCTACTAAAAGTACAAAAAAATTAGCCGGGCATGGTGGAGTGTGCCTGTAATCAGGAGGCTGAGGCAGGAGAATCACTTAAACCTGAGAGGCAGAGGTTGCAGTGAGCGGCGATCATGTACCAGTAAAGCACCTACTGCATGCCAGTTAGTGTTCTGAGTGCTTTGCAAATATTAACTCACTCAATCCTCGTATCTCCACAATGACCCTCTGAGGCAGGTTCTATCTTTTCCCACTTGCAGATGAGGAAATTTGCCCAAGGTGACAGAAATCAGGATTCAAGCCCAGGCTGCTGGCTCCCAAGACCATACTCTTTCTCCACTATTGTCTATGGCCTCCACATTTTTGTTGTATTTTTGGCATTTGTTGACTTTGAAGTGTGGGAAGGATTTGAGAGGCAGAGAAAAGGCACTTTGGGAACAACGTGAACCAAAACACGAGAGGTTTGCAGCTGCATAATCATAATAGCTCCTATTTGTGAGGGTTTAGTGCAACTAGCCTTTTAATGTATAATTTCAACCCCAGCAATTCATATTATGTAAGAATTTTTTTTTTTTTTTGAGATGGAGTTTCGCTCTGGTTGCCCAGGCTGGAGAGCAATGGCGCAATCTTGGCTCACCACAACCTCCGCCTCCTGGGTTCAAGCAATTCTTCTGCCCCAGCCTCCCGAGGAGCTGGGATTACAAGCATGTGCCACCACGCCTGGCTAATTTTGTATTTTTAGTAGACACGGGGTTTCTCCATGTTGGTCAGGCTGGTCTCAAACTCCGGACCTTAGGTGATCTGCCCGCCTCAGCCTCCCAAAGTGCTGGGATTATAGGCGTGAGCCACCATGCCCATCCTTATGTAAGAACTATTATAGCTCCGTTCCACAGATGAGGAAACCAGGGACCAGAGGAATTGTTGTGCAAAGTCACGGCTAGGAAGTGGAGGAGAAACCGGGACTCAAACCCAGGCCACCCAGTGGCCTAGTCTGCACTGTCACCACAGCACTCCACTGCTTCCCTCCTTTGTAGCTGGGAGAAGATGGAATTTAGTAACTGGAGAGGTGACTGGGATGAGGTGCAGCTCTAGAAGCTGCACCAGAACTCACAGGACCCCAGAGCTGCCAAGCTAGAATGCCCTCAAAGGGCTCGTGGTTCAAGCCCCAGAGGCGTCACCCCATGGGAGTTTCGCTGAGGAGCCTGTCTCATAGGTGGTTCTCCCTCTGATCTTTCCTGCTGTCCAGTCATCCTAATCTGTTGTTCAGGCACTCCCAGGGAGAGCTTTTTCAGCCTTAACCTTGGCTTTTTGTCCTGCCTTGGCCCAAATCCACACTCCTAGCCTGACTCCTACCGTGTTTTCTTCTCCTCCTCCTGCTCTCAAGACATTCAAGATTCTGTGCCCTTGTCACCTCGTCTCCTCACTGGGTTCTCTCATTTCTGCAATGAGTAAGAAATGTGAGTAGGAAGAAGATGCTCTCGGAAACTCAAGTTCAAATATTCCTGTTTCTGGTTAGCTCTGGGGCCTGCCATGAGTCACTCAACTTCTCATCCTGTTTTCCTGTCTGTAATCATATTCATACCCACCTAAGCAAAGCCTTTAGATGAGAAATAGATGAGATGATGAATGGAAACAACTAGTCATGAATTTTAAATATATTATTAATAATAATATATATATATATATATATTTTTTTTTTTGAGATGGAGTCTTGTTCTGTCACCCAGGCTGGAAGGCAATGGCATGATCTCAGCTCACTGAAACCTCCACCTCCTGGGTTCAAGCGATTCTCCTGCCACAGCCTCCTGAGGAGCTGGGATTATAGGTGCCTGTCACCACGCCTGGCTAATCTTTCTATTTTTGGTAGAGACAGGGTTTCACCATGTTGGCCAGGCTGGTCTCGAACTCCTGAGCTCAGGTGATCCTCCCGCCTCGGCCTTCCAAAGTACAGGGATTACAGGCGTGAGCCACTACGCCTGGCCAGTGGTATTATCAGCTAGTGATATTATATTAATAAATATTATTGTCCGGGCATGGTGGCTCATGCCTGTAATCCCAGCACTTTTGGAGGCCAAGGTGAGTGGATCACCTGAGGTCAGGATTTCGAGACCAGTCTGGCCAACATGGTGAAACTCCGTCTCTACTAAAAATACAAAAATTAGCCAGGCGTGGTGGCAGGCGCCTGTAATCCCAGCTACTTGCGAGGCTGAGGCAGGAGAATCGCTGGAACCTGGGAGGCAGAGGTTGCAGTGAGCCAAGATTGCGCCATTGCCCTCCAGCCGGGGCCGACAACAGTGAGACTCAGTCTCAAAATAAAAATAAAAATAAAAATAAGTATTATTAGCAGTGTGATTAAGAAGGCAAAAAAAGAATTAATGAGGCACCAATTCAGAAAGTGTGAGTGTGGTTGCCTGGTAGGGGAAGACTTGCCTGCCGGGGTCAGAGTTGGGCAATAACTGGGATTCTTTGGTTGGGAAGCCAAAAGCATCTGCACCACTGGCCTTGGAAAGGAACTTGGGAACCCTACTTTATTCCCTTCACCAAACCCCTCTGCCTCCAGAAGGAATCTTATACCTCCTTGGAATTCTGATGAACTCTGAAATGCCTCACTTCCTGAATATCTACCTGAGATTTATTTATTTATTTATTTATTTATTTATTTATTTATTTATTTATTTATTTTGAGATGGAGTCTCGCCCTGTCACCCAGGCTGGAGTGCAGTGGCGTGATCTCGGCTCACTGCAACCTCTGCCTCCTGGGTTCAAACCATTCTGCCTCTGCCTCCCAAGTAGCTGGGATTACAGGCGCCCACACCACGCCCAGCTAATTTCTGTATTTTTAGTAGCAACAGGGTTTCACCATGTTGGTCAGGCCGGTCTCAAACTCCTGACCTCGTGATCCACCCACCTCAGCCTCCCAAAGTGCTGGGATTTCAGGCATGAGCCACCACACCGGGCCTACCTGAGATTTATTATGCATGCCACTGAGCTACTCAACTGCAAACTCCTTGAGGATGGGCACTTCATCTTAACTGTTTCATACACCCCCACACACGAACCTGCACTTAGGATGATGCCTTTGCCCTTGGTAGACTCCCTGAGTCCCCAAGTGTCAGAGCTGGGAGAGACCTTGAGAATTCTCCACTACAAATCCCCACTCACCTCCTGCCACGCACGATTCACATTTTACAGATGAAAAAACTGAGAGGAACCATTCAAAAGGGCAGATGAGGCTGGTCCAAAGGTAGTGAGTTATCTCAACTGATTGTTCACAGTCAGTTACAGATCGAGCTCCTTGTTCTACCCTTTCCCACCTTCTCACTACTGCACTTTACTAGTCTTTTTAAAAAGTTTTTTTAATAAATAAAAGAGCAGATGAACAAGAGACTAGATTTATCAGAGGTGATCCACAGGGAAGGACTCCAAAGTCAGGGCTTCCTGCATCAGAACAGAAAGGCAGGCAGGGCACAGTGGCTCAAGCCTACAATCCCAGCACTTTGAGAGGCTGAAGTGAGAGGATGGCTTGAGCCCAGAAGTTCAAGGCCAGCCTGGGCAACATGGCAAATCCCCATCACTGCAACAAATACAAAAATGAGCTGGACGTAGTGGCATGTGCCTGTGGTCCCAGCTACTCGGGAGGCTGAGGTGGGAGGATTGCTTGAGCCTAGGAGGTTGAGTCTGCAGTGAGCCATGATTGCACCACTGCTCTTCAGCCTGGGTTACGGTGTGAGACCTTGTCTCAAAAAAAAAAAAAAAAAAAAAAAAATAGAGAGGGAGGGGCAGGAAAGGAAGATTGAGGAAGAGAATATGGGAAGTTATACCTGCCCCATTGCAAGGACCCCAAAGGCTTTGCAGCCAGAAGCCGGAATTCCTGGGCAGAGATAGGGATCCATTTAGTGCCAATCACAGCATTTTGAATCTGGGAAGAAGCTTAAAGCCTATCAAACCGAAGAAGTTTCTTGAATGCCAGTAAAGAGAGTAAACCACTGTTTTTTGCCCTCTACTAATTTTTTTTTTTAATCTTATCTCTACTGAATACAGGACAAAAAGACATTTGTCAGGGTTGATTCTTGGGCCTTCTGAAGTTCGGGGCACATGCAGGCGAGCATTACAGATCCTAAGAATAAATCAGCTGGGAGGGGCTTAGATCCCAGTGGGGTCCCAGCACGTCCTGTGCCCTCCCCACCCCTCCCAGCAAGCATCCTGAAGGACCCCCTATACAGCTCCTCACCAGGGCACTGCCGTCTTTTCCTACCCTGTAGGGAGTAAGTGGGGCCACTAAGTCCTGCTTGCTGCTAGGAGTGTGGGGGTGTCAGTGGAGGATCTGTACTCCATGCCCTCTTAGCAGGCATCCCCCCAGCCAAGGCGCTCATTAATGATGGACTCCAGTGAAGGAAATCATAACTGGGCCTTCATCTCTGCCTGAGGCCTCCAGCCAGCCCCTAAAGCCTGAACTCTCAGGACAGAAAGCCTCCCCTTGTAGAGCAGTGTTTGATTCCTCAGGCCCCAGGGAAATTTCCAGGACTCTTACAGCTTTCCAACAACAAGCTTGTTGGTCAAACTGTTACAAAAACTCAGATAAGGGTTAGGCATGGCGGCTCATGCCTATGATCCCAGCACTTTGAGAAGCCCTGGCAAGGGGATCAGTTGAGCCCAGGAGTTTGAGACCAGCCTGGGCAACGTGGCGAAAACCTGTGTCTACAATAAGATACAAAAATTAGCCGGGTGTGGTGGTGCACACCTGTAGTCCCAGCCACTAGGGAGGCTGAGGTGGGAGGATTGCTTGAGCCCCGCTAAGTTATGATTGCACTGCTGCACTCCAGTTTGGGTGACAGAGTGAGACCCTGTCTCAAAAAAAAAAGAAAAGAAAAAGAAAAAACACTGAGATAAAGAAGCTACCAGAAAAAACAAAACAAAACAAAACAAAAAACAATAAAGAAAAAGAAGAAGCCAACCAAGAGTCACAGCCCTTTTACCCTCCACTGCCCCTTAGGCTAATAAAGGCCTCTCCAGCCTTCCTTTCCCATTTATTTTTTTCCACAGAAGAACTCCACTGAACATTCATTGAAGGCCCAGATTTAGAGTGAGCGGGGCAAACCAAGTTTTGTGCTGGGTGGAAGGAGGGGCGGCTGCTGTTCAGCCCACAGGATTCCTGTGAGGACACCACATGTTCATAGTTGTTAAACCATCTTGCAAACTCATTGCCTGATGTTCAGATCTCCCGGCTCAGCTGGTGTCTGTGGAGTACAGGATTTATGTTTCAGAGAGGGCATGAGCCCAGATGATGCCTCAAGACTCAGGTTCTAGGAGAGAAAGCAGTGCTTCAGGGACTTTGACTGCCCCCGCCCGAAATGCAGTCGCCATCTGCAGGTAAACAGAGCTGGAGCTGGTGCTGCCGGAAAAGAAAGAGGAGGGCTCTCCGGCAGCCTGCGGCTTCCTCAAGGACTTCCCAGGCCAGGCGCTGTGGCTCACGCCTGTAATCCCAGCACTTTGGGAGGCCGAGGCGGGCAGATCATGAGGTCAGGAGATCGAGACCATCCTGGCTAACACAGTGAAACCCCATCTCTACTAAAAATACAAAAATTAGCCAGGCGTAGTGGCGGGCGCCTGTAGTCCCAGCTACTCAGGAGGCTGAGGCAGGAGAATGGCGTGAACCCAGGAGGCGGAGCTTGCAGTGAGCCGAGATCGCGCCACTGCACTCCAGCCTGGGTGACAGAGCGAGACTCCGTCTCAAAAAAAAAAAAAAAAAAGAACTTCCCTGACAGCACCCAGGTTTCCCTGATCCGCCCGCATTGTCAGACTTCTAAGGCCAGGCTTTAGTCCAAGCCTCTTTCTTTTTTAAATTTATGGCACTCTCAAAACCACCTGGTGTGCGTCAAGCCCTCTGCCACTAGACCCTGTGTGAAAACTGTAATGGTAAAATGCTCAAACCAGGGCAATAAGCACATTTTGACCCTTCTGCTTTCATTCACATAAAACTGATTTCTCAGTCTATATTAATCTTGGATCACATTTTTTTTTTTGAGACAAGGTCTCCCTGGGTTGCACAAGCCAGTTTTAAACTCCTGACCTCAAGCGATCCTCCTGCCTTGGCCTTCCAAAGCACTGTGTGAGCCACTGAGCCTGACCTCAAAATTGTACATTCAAAACAAGCTGACGTCCTGGGCACAGGAGGCACGTGCCTGTAGTCCCAGCTACTCAGGAGGCTAAAGCAGGAGGATGGCTTGAGGCCAGGAGTTTGAGGCTGCAATATGCTATGATCACACGTGTGAATAGCCACTGTACTCCAGCCTGGGCAATAAAGTGAGACCCTGTCTCTAAAAAAATTTAAAAAAAAAAGCTGGCAGAAACTTAGTTATTTGGGATTGATTTGCATCAAGTTTAGTGAATTGTTGGGAGATTAGCAGTGTGTTAGTCCAGTGTGGGGAAAAGAAAGAGAGATCAGATTGTTGCTGTGTCTGTGTAGAAAGAAGTAGACATAGGAGACTCCATTTTGTTTTGTACTAAGAAAAATTCTTCTGCCTTGAGATGCTGTTAATCTGTAACCTTACCCCCAACCCCGTGCTCTCTGAAACATGTGCTGTGTCAACTCAGGGTTAAATGGATTAAGGGCTGTGCAAGATGTGCTTTGTTAAACAGATGCTTGAAGGCAGCATGCTCGTTAAGAGTCACCACCACTCCCTAATCTCAAGTACCCAGGGACAGGCCAGGCACGGTGGCTCACGCCTGTAATCCCAGCACTTTGGGAGGCCAAGGCAGGCAGATCACGAGGTCAGGAGATCAAGACCATCCTGGCAAACACGGTGAAACCCCGTCTCTACTAAAAATACAAAAAATTAGCCGGGCGAGGTGGCGCACGCCTGTAGTCCCAGCTACTCGGGAGGCTGAGGCAGGAGAATGGCGTGAACCTGGGAGGCGGAGCTTGCAGTGAGCAGAGATCACGTCATTGCACTCCAGCCTGGGCGACAGAGCAAAACTCCCTCTCAAAAAAAAAAAAAAAAAATGAATCAAGTACCCAGGGACACAAACACTGCGGAAGGCTGCAGGGACCTCTGCCTAGGAAAGCCAGGTATTGTCCAAGGTTTCTCCCCATGTGATAGTCTGAAATATGGCCTCGTGGGAAGGGAAAGACCTGACCGTCCCCCAGCCCGACACCCGTAAAGGGTCTGTGCTGAGGAGGATTAGTGTAAGAAGAAGGAACGCCTCTTTGCAGTTGAGACAAGAGGAAGGCATCTGTCTCCTTCCCGTCCCTGGGCAATGGAATGTCTCGGTATAAAACCTGATTGTATGTTCCATCTACTTAGGGGGAAACCGCCTTAGGGCTGGAGATGGGACATGCGGGCAGCAATACTGCTCTTTAAGGCATTGAGATGTTTATGTGTATGCATATCTAAACCACAGCACTTAATTCTTTACCTTGTCTATGATGCAGAGACCTTTGTTCAGGTGTTTGTCTGCTGACCTCTCCACAATTATCCTATGACCCTGCCACGTCCCCCTCTCCGAGAAACACCCAAGAATGATCAATAAATACTAAGGGAACTCAGAGGCCGGCGGGATCCTCCATATGCTGAACGCTGGTCCCCTGGGCCCCCTTATTTCTTTCTCTATACTTTGTCTCTGTGTCTCTTTCTTTTCCAAGTCCACCTAACGAGAAACACCCACAGGTGTGAAGAGGCAACCCACCCCTTCAGTCCAGGATCTCCTAGAAGCAGTTGCCAAGACAGGATGTGCAGGAAATATATTAGAAGTGTCTGTGACAGGAAATGGGGCTGGGAGCACAGGTGTGATGCTGCGTAAGGGAAGGAGGAAGGAAGGTTTGGTGGGTGGCAGCGTCGTCTTAGATTGCAAATGCAATTCTGGGGAAAATTCAGCAAGCCTGTTGGGGGCTACTCCAGCCGAAGTTACCCTTCTTCAGAGGGGTCCTCAGGCTCCCAGGACCAGCCTGCCTTCACATCCTTGATACAGGGATGCTAAGTCATGACTGGATGCAGCCCATGGGCAGCACAGCATCTGAATGCTAGGAGGGGCCCTCAGCCAATCAGCTCTCTTCCCTGGGTATGGTGGCTTATGCCTGTAATCTTAGCACTTTGGGAGGCTGAGGCAGGTGGATCACTTGAGTCCAGGAGTTCAAGACCAGTCTGGGCAACACAGTGAGACCCTGTTTCTAAAAAAAAAAAAAAAAGAAAAGAAAAAGATAGGCCAGGCGCGGTAGCTCACGCCTGTAATCCCAGCACTTTGGGAGGCCGAGGTGAGCGGATCACAAGGTCAGGAGATCGAGTCCATCCTGGCTAACATGGTGAAACCCTTTCTCTACTAAAAATACAAAAATTAGCCAGGTGTGGTGGCGGGCGCCTGTAGTCCCAGCTACTTGGGAGGCTGAGGCAGGAGAATGGCGTGAACCTGGGAGGCGGAGCTTGCAGTGAGCCGAGATCACGCCACTGCACTCCAGCCTGGGCGAGAGTGCGAGACTCCATCTCAAAAAAGAAAAAAAAAGAAAAAGAAAAGAAAACATTATGCTGAGCCAAAGAAGCCAGTTACAAAAGACTGCATGGTTTATGATTTTACTTATATGAAATGTCCAGAATAGGCAAATCTATAGAGACAGAAAGTAGATTAGTGATTGCCAGGGGCTGGCAGGGTTGGGGGTGATAAATACAGGGTGTGGGGTTTCTTTTTGAGGTGCCAAAAAATGTTTTAAAGTTGACTGTGGTGATGTTGCACACATCTGTGAAGATACCAAAAACCACTGAATTGTACACTTTATTTTTTATTTTATTTTATTGAGACAGAGTCTCACTCTGTCACCCAGGCTGGAGTACGGTGTCACGATCTCAGCTCACTGCAACCTCCACCTCCTGGGTTCAAGTGATTCTCCTGCCTCAGCCTCCCGAGTAGCTGGGATTACAAATTTGTGCCACCATGCCTAGCTAATTTTTGTATTTTTAGTAGAGACAGGGTTTCACCATGTTGGCCAGGCTGGTCTTGAACTCCTGACCTTAGTTGATCCACCCACCTCGGCCTCTCAAAGTACTGGGATTATAGGCATGAGCCACCGCACCTGACCAAAAGTTTTAAACAATTATTTTAAAAAACAAACCCACCCGAGCCTACCTACCAGAAGCCTTTGCTCAATGGGAGTGAAGTGGGCGGGTAGCTCTGGTGGATCTAAGTGGCCACTGAGCTGCAGAAAAGCATCCGTCTGCTTTTACCCTAGTCCTGACAGAGCTCAGAACCTCCCATGGCAGCTCCAGGGATGGTTCTTAGGGTTGTGGTTGGGCAAACACATGTGGTTCCCACTAAGCCCAAGGAGAGACATAAAGGAGAGACCAAGGAGAGGCTTCTGTGGAGAAGGCAGGGGCAAAAGCTGGCTGTAAGGTCTGGCCAGCTGCACCACACTGCCCACCAGCACCTCATCTTCTCCTTTACGGAAGAAGTGACTGGGAGTCCGGGATCCTAGGTCTCATTTCTGATTTTTTTTTTTTTTTTTTGAGATAAGGTCTCACTGTGTCTTGTGGGTGGGAGTGCAGTGGTGTGATCATGACTCACCGCAGCCTGAGCTCAAACTCTTGAGCTCAATCCTCCCATCTCAGTCTCCCAAGTAGCTGAGACTACAAACATGTGCCATCACACCCCGCTAATTTTTTTTTTTTTAGACAGTCTTGCTCTGTAACACCCAGGCTAGAGTGCAGTGGCACGATCTCGGCTCACTGCAACCTCTGCCTCCCGGGTTGAAAGGATTCTCCTTTCTCAGCCTCCCGAGTAGTTGGGATTATAGGCACCCGCCATCATGCTCAGCTAATTTTTTGTATTTTTAGTAGAGACAGGGTTTCACCATGTTGGTCAGGCTGCTCTCGAACTCCTGACCTCAGATGATCCACCAGCCTCGGCCTCCCAAAGTGCTTGGATTACAGGCGTGAGCCACCGCGCCCGGGCTTTTTTATTTTTTTAAGAAATGGGGTCTCACTATGTTGGCCAGGCTGGTCTGAAGCTCCTAGGTTCAGGGGATCCTCCTGCTTTGACCTCCCAAAGTGCTGGGATCACAGGTGTGAGCCACTGCACCCAGCCCTAGGTCCCATTTCTGATTAGGTATGTTCCTTACAATGCAACTAACTTCCCTGATTCCCTGTGTTGGAAACACCTCAGCCACAGGATCTTGGAGAGGTGACAAACTGGACCTTTGAATACCTGGGCCAGGCAAGTATTCTGACCCTAGCCAGCCTGTGAACTTCCCTCCCCAGAGCCAACATGGTCCTTTATAAAAGAAAACAACCTCTGAGAGTGAATGTTTTGAGCTACAGTCACTTGAGGGGGAAAAAAAAGCTCATACCCACAGGAAAGACTGTTCTGCTGCCATGGCAACAAGTCACCACCATAACCAGTTTTAAGCCACTTAAAGACAATTCCTCTCCCTTCAGCTGAACAATTTTCCTCAGTGACCAGACATCTGACACCAGCCAATCGGTAACAGCCACACTGGTTGGCCAACCAATCCCTAAACACTACCTCCCTTGATATGTGCCCACCATTGATCTTCAACCTCCTAGCACCTTATATAAGATCAGTGCCCTGCTCCACTCACAGGGATTGCACCTAACAGGCCCAGCTCCACCTCCCTTAAGTAAGTACTGTAGTAAATGCAGCTTTTTGGTTCAGATGTTGAGAGATGGTCTTTTCTTTAGACACACTCGTATTCTGGAATCTTGCCTTCCTGGGAGCGATTGATTCTCACTTCCTCTGTGGTGTCATTGCCTCCATGCCTCTGAGCCTCGTATACCTGTACGCATCATATGCCTCTATGGTGTCACTGGGGAATGAGAAAAAGGCCAACTCCAGGCGTGGTGGCTCACGCCTGTAATCCCAGCACTTTAAGAGGCCGAGGTGGGCAGATCACCTGAGGTCAGGAGTTGGAGACCAGCCTGCCCAACATAGTGAAACCCTGTCTCTACTAAAATACTAAAATTAGCTGGGCGTGGGGGCGGGCACCTATAATCCCAGCTACTTGGGAGGCTGAGGCAGGAGAATTGCTTGAGCCTGGGAGGCAGAGGCTGCAGTGAGTTGAAACTGTGCTACTGCACTCCAGCCTGGGCTACAGAGCTAGACTCCGCCTAAAAAAAAATAAATAAATAAAATAAAATAAAATAAAATAAAAGGCCAACTCTTCTTCTCTACAAGGCACCAATGAAGACTGGATTTCAGACCCCTCATCTGGGAAACTAAGCAGTCCACATACTTCACAACTGTACACGGCAACCGTGCTCACCCCTCATAACCGCTAGCCTTCACGTGTCATTCTACCTCCCCGATACCTTCTCCAATCTGTCCTTCCCTCTTTGCCCCCGCTGCCACATTCTTAGTTTCAACCCTTATGGTTTCTTTCCTGTACTGATGCAGCAGTTTCCGACACATCAGTGACTCAGGTCTTGCCTGCATCTAGAGCAAACACATCGTGTTCTTACTTGCCCCTGTGCCTTTGTAGCTGCTGTGGCCTTGCTTGGCCTGAACAGCCACCCTCAGCTTCCTGGTCAACTCTAGCTCATGCTGTAGCACTCAGCTCCAACGTCACCTCACCTGAAAATTGGCCCTGACTCGCCTCTCAGACATGACTATAGTCTGCCAGGCTCTGGACTCCCATAGCTCCTGACCATACCTGGATGATGGCACTGATTGCCACAGGGATTGTTTACTGCCACCCCAACCAGCCTGTGAACTCTAGATGTGAGAGCTAGGCTGCTTTCATTGCTTGGTAACCAAATGGTTATAAAGAACAGGAATTGGGAGAGGAGTAAATTACAATTATAACTCCCCACTTAATGCTATTGGGAATCTTTCCCTAGCTTTGGTTTCCCCATTTTAAAATGTGGATAATAGGCCAGGTGCAGTGGCCCGTGACTGTAATCCCAGAACTTTGGGAGGCGAAGGCAGGAGGATCATGTGAGGCCAGGAGTTAGACACCAGACTGGATAACATAGTGAGACCCTGTCTCTAATTAAAAAAAGAAAAAAAGAAAAAATAATAATAGGCCAGGCGCGGTGGCTCACCCCTGTAATCCTAGCACTTTGGGAGACCGAGGCAGGCAGATTGCCTGAGGTCAGGAGTTTGAGACCAGTCTGGCCAACGTGGTGAAACCCGATCTCTACTAAAAATACAAAAAAATTAGCCAGATGTGGCGGCATGTGCCTGTGATCCCAGCTACTCAGGAGGCTGAGGCAGGGGAATTGCTTGAACCAGGGAGGTGGAGGTTGCAATGAGCCAAGATCATGCCACTGCACTCCAGCCTGGACGACAGAGCAAGACTCAGTCCCAAAAATAAATAAAAAATAATAATAATAAAATAAAATGTGCATAATAATAGCACCTACCCTATACAGTGGTTGCGAGGACTCAGTAGGATCACACATGTGAAGTGCCAGGTCTATAGAGGCTAATAAATGATAGTTCTTATTACCACAGAGAGCCCCTGACACAAAGGATACATCCATTAAATGCTATTTTCCTCTCCTCTTCTCTGCCACAATGCCCAATCTACTTGGCAGGATGGTATAGTGGTTGGATAAATGATGGACCAACATTTCTGTTATTTTCCTTGATTGCAACCTTCAAAAATTATTGTCCAGGCAAGATAGCTCACGCCTATAATCCCAACACTTTGGGAGGCTGAGGCAGGAGGATTGCTTGAGCCCAGAATATTGAGACCAGTCTGGGCAACATAAGGAGACCTTGTCTCTGCAAAAAATTTAAAAATTAGCTGGGCATGGTGGCATATGCCTGTAGTTCCAGCTACTTGGGAGGCTAAAGTGGGAGGATTGCTTGAGCTCAGGAGGTCAAGGCTGCAGTGAACCGTGATCGCATTCCAGCTTGCATGACTACTGCATTCCAGTCTGGTTGACAGACATAAAAGATATACCTTGGACAGCCCCTCTTAGACACCCTAAGAGCGTTATCTGAACCTCTCTTGTGCCCCTTGCTGAGCTCTGCATAAGTCATGTGTTCACTTGGCAAGCAGATGTATTGAGCCACACACTGTGGTAGGCTCTGATGGCGCCAGAGTAGACCAGACATGGTTCCTGTAATCAGGGGTTTCACAGTCAGATGGTCAGATGAGGGAGGCAGAGAAGCAAAATGCAATTCTATTAATTGAGCATCAGTGAACAATAAAGTTACCAGGGGCTTTAGAGAGCTCTGGGTACAACATCTTCAATGTACAAATAAGAAAACCGAAGAGTTTTGTGCTTGTCTTTTCACCATTCCCCCATAGGTTACTTTCTTTTTTTTTTTTTTTTTTTTTTTGAGACAGAGTATCTTGCTGTTGCCCAGGCTGGAGTGCAGTGGCGCGATCTTGGCTCACTGCAACCTCCACCTCCCAGGTTCAAGCAATTCTCATGCCTCAGCCTCCCAAGTAGCTGGGATTACAGGCGTGTGCCACCATGCCTGGCTAATTATCCCCTGTAGGCTTCTTTTTTTTTTTTCTTTTTTTGACGGAGTCTCGCTCTGTTGCCCAGGCTGGAGTGCAGTGGTGCCATCTCGGCACACTGCAAGCTCCGCCTCCCAGGTTCACTCCATTCTCCTGCCTCAGCCTCCCGACTAGCTGGGACTACAGGTGCCCGCCACCACGCCAGGCTAATTTTTTGTATTTTTAGTAGAGACAGAGTTTCACCATGTTAGTCAGGATGGTCTTGATCTCCTGACCTTGTGATCCACCCGCCTCAGCCTCCCAAAGTGCTGGGATTACAGGTGTGAGCCACCGCGCCCAGCCCTATCCCCTGTAGGTTTCTTAAGGCAGAGCAAGAGTCTTTTTCTTTTATTATTTATTTATTTTTTTTTTGAGACGGAGTTTTGCTCTGTTGCCCAGGCCGAAGTTCAGTGGCACAATCTCAGCTCATTACCATCTCCGCCTCCCAGGTTCAAATGATTCTCCTGCCTCAGCCTCCCGTGTAGCTGGGATTACAGGTGTGCGCCACCATGCCCAGCTAATTTTTGTATTTTTAGTAGATACAGGGTTTCACCATGTTGGCCAGGCTGGTCTTGAACTCCTGACCTCAGGTGATCCACCCGCCTCAGCCTCCCAAAGTGCTGGGATTACAGGCATGAGTCACCGCACCCGGCCAAGAGTCTTTTTAGATGGAGTTTCACTCTTGTTGCCCAGGCTGGAGTGCAATGGCGTGATCTCGACTCACTGCAACCTCAGCCTCCCGGGTTCAAGTGATTCTCCTGCCTCAGCCTCCCAAGTAGCTGGGACTACAGGCATATGCCACTATGCCTAGCTTATTTTGTATTTTTAGTGGAGATGGGGTTTCACCATGTTGGTCAGGCTGGTCAGGTGCCCGGCCCATAAGCTTCTTTAAATACTTTCATATGTGTGCTTAGCATAGTACCTTGCACATAATAGGTGATCAAGAAATAACTTTTGAGTATGTAACTGGGTTAAATTAATTAGAACCAGTCCTCCTAACACCCAGCTGAGATCCAGAGGCTGCTAGTTGCCTCCCCAATATCAATTCTTCCTTTCTCTCAATAGGCACAGGGGGTGAGCTGCAACTTACCCAACTAAAAGACTAAATTTCCCAGCCCCTTCTGCAGCTAAATTTGGCCAAATTACTAAATTCTAGTCAATCAAGTGGAACTGACTTAGCTGGAAGGTGCACCTTTTGGCTCTTCCTCCTTTCCTTCCTACACTAGGCCTCCACCTGGATCATGAGTGTGACAGCTGGAGCTCCTGCAGCCCATCTGTGGAGCACAAGGTGACAGTGAAAATGGAAGTCATACGTTATGGAGGTTGAAGCAGAAAAAGAGAGGGATCCCAGGATCCTGAAGATTCTGTGGAACTGCCATAGCAGCCTGGACTGCCCATTACCTCCTGATTTCCATTTCTTGAATGTGAGAGAATTAACCCTTGCCTGTTTAAGCCACTGTAGCAGTCTCTTATAGCAACTGAACACAATTCCTTACTGATATAGAGGCCCTGAGAAGAATGAAGAATTTGAAGTGGTAAATGGGGAACGGTTTAATTTTGGGGTAAGTGGAGAGAGAACAGTCCTCCCCATTGAGCAGAGTCCCCTGCCATGCCCAGATTCCAGTCTTCCTCAGCCTAGGAGGGGACATGCTTCCTCTCCAGCACACCAGGCTCTTTCCCCAAGAGTTATTCTAGAAAGCAAGCTCTTTTTGGCTTTTGGATTTTTTTTTTTTTTTTTTTTTTTTTTTTGAGACAAGGTCTCACTCTGTCACCCAGGCTGGAGTGCAGTGGCACAATCATGGCTCACTGCGGACTTGACCTCCTGCACCTCAGCCTCCCGAGTAGCTGCGACTGTAGGCGTACATCACCATGCCTGGCTATTTTTGTGTTTTTTGTAGAGTTGGGGTTTCTCCATGATGCACAGGCTGGTCTTGAACTTCTGGGCTCAAGCGATCCTCCCACTTTGGCCTCCCAAAGTGTTGGGATTACAGGCGTGAGCCACCACACCCAGCATCAAATGGAATTGTAATGCCCCAGGAGCTGAGGGACACTTGACCCCTGCAGCAGTGCTGTGCCAGGCACTGGGCTAAGGATTTCACATGCATTATCTCATTTTAGCCTCATAACAGCAGCCCCATTTTCAGATGAGAAGACTGTGGCTCACAGAGCTCAGCCGCCTGCCCCGGCTCACGCAGCTGGGATGTGGCTCCAAACCCAGGCTTCCTAAGTCCAAAGCC
Organism: Homo sapiens; assembly: GCF_000001405.40. NCBI lineage: Eukaryota > Metazoa > Chordata > Mammalia > Primates > Hominidae > Homo > Homo sapiens. The sequence continues at coordinate 97,408,848 of NC_000010.11, read as the reverse complement.
TGGGCTTCAACACAGCTCCAGCAGTTAGGAAAACCGTCCGGAGCAGCTGCAACAACAACGGGTTGGTCAAAATGCCCTGACCTTGAGCTCTAGGTTAAACACCCAGACCTCTGCTTCCTCTTTGTTTGAGGCAAGAGGCTAAGCCTCAATTTCCCTTTCTTCCTGCCCAGTGTCATAACAGATTACAACTTGCTGACCTAAAACTGGTTTTACTGCTCCGCATGGCCACAGAACTTTGGGTGTGGCAGCTCTGTTACCTCCACAGGAGCCTTGCAGACAGTTTTAAGAGCAGTGCAGGCCGGCACGATGGCTCACGCCTATAATCTCAGCACTTTGGGAGGCCAAGGCAGGCAGATCACCTGAGGTCGGGAGTTCGAGACCAGCCTGACTAACATGGAGAAACTCTGTCTCTACTAAAAATACAAAATTGGCCGGGCTTGGTGGCACATGCCTGTAATCCCAACTACTCAGGAAGCCTGAGGCAGGAGAATCGCTTGAACCCGGGAGGTGGAGGTTGCAGTGAGCCGAGATTGCACCATCGTACTCCAGCCTGGGCAACAAGAGCGAAACTCCGTCTCAAAACAGAAAAAAACAAAAAAAACAAGGGCAGTGCTATGGGGGGAGGGGGTTCATCCTGGGCTAAGCGTTGGATCTCCTGGCTTCTGCTCACTGTGTGACCTTGGGGGTGTCACTGAACCCCTTAGAACTATGTTTCCCCATCTGTGAAATGAGGACACCTGCTCTGTCCTCCTCACTTAGAGAATTAATGAAAAAGTATTTTGGAACTGAGGAAGAGTTTTTTTAGATGATAATAATAGCTCACATTTATTGCATGCTCACTGTGTACCAGGCAGCGTGCTCAGCACTTAAAATTCATTATCTTATTTAGTTCCCATAAATCAGACAGGTAGGCATTCTTATCATCTCCATTTTACAGATGTGGAAAACTGAGGCTCAGGGAAGAGTAAGGTGAGTTGTTCAAGGTCACAGAGCAAGTGGTGGTACTTGAATTCCAACCCAGAGAGTCTAACTGCAGGACCTATCCTACAGATGTGGTGGTCCTTATTAACCATATGTGGAGGGGCTGATCATGGATACAGCTAGAGCCTCTGGGTGGGAGTTACTGCTGGAATTCAGGGGTGGAGAGGTGAGCCCTGGGGTACCGGGTGGAAGAGATTGTGCTCAGGCCATTTGGATGCCTATCGTCCTCTCTTCTGGTAGAGCACGCCTCCTGGAGGAGGCTCTGAGCAGATGCCTCAGGATGGACGGCCAGCAGGTGACCTAGGGCCCCTCAATGCCCATACCAGGCTGACGATTTAGCCAGGGCTGTATTCAGTTACGACGCAGACTCGGTTTGGAGGCCAGCAGGTTTCTGTAGCCCAGGAAAAGGATGGGACATCTGCCACTACCCTTGGCCTCTGCATCTCCGCATCTGATTTGCAAAATCCCAGTCTACTAGTTGGTATTGCAGGCTCTCTATAGGGTTTTAGCCCTAACAGGTTGTTGGTAGCACTCCCTCTGGTGGCAAAGATGCACCACTGACCCCTCTGTAAAGCACAATACTACACATGTTTTGGAGTTGTCCGTAATTTGACACAGATACACAGTTTCTTTTATTTTTATTTATTTATTTATTTATTTTTGAGACGAAGTCGCACTCTGTTGCCCAGGCTGGGGTACAGTGGCACGATTTTGGCTCACTGCAACCTCTGCCTCCCGGGTTCAAACGATTCTCCTGCCTCAGCCCCCCAAGTAGCTGGGATTACAGGCGTGCACCATAACGCCTGGTTAATTTTTGTATTTTTAGTAGAGACGGGGTTTCGCTATGTTGGCCAGGCTGGTCTCGAACTCCTGACCTCAGGTGATCCACCTGCCTCGGCCTCCCAAAGTACTGGGATTACAGATGTAAGCTACCATGCCCAGCCACAGATACACAGTTTCATACTGAATCCTCACAGCAGCCCAGTGGGTTCAGAATTATTATCACAACTTTCAGCCAGGCACAGTGGTTCACACCTGGAATCCCAGCACTTTGGGAGGCCAAGGTGGGTGGATCACTTGAGGTCAGGAGTTTGAGAACAGCCTGGCCAACATGATGAAACCCCATCTCTACTAAAATTACAAAAAGTCATCTGGGCGTGGTGGCACATGCTTGTAATCCCAGCTACTTGGGAGCCTGAGGCAGGAGAATCGCTTGAACCCAGGCGGTGGAGGTTGCAGTGAGTCAAGATCGCGCCTCCGCACTCCAGCCTGAGCAATAGAGTGAGACTCCATCTCAGAAAAAAAAAAAGTAATTATTATCGTAACTTTAAATAATATGACACATTAGAATGTGTAAAAAAAATGTATAAATAAATAAATAAAGGGAAAAAAAGAACAAGAATCGGAGACTTAGAGAGGTTAAATCCCTTGCTTGGTTTATAGGTAAAGTATGTCCTGTCTTGAACCCACCACTTTACCTGCCTTCTTTCAGCAATTACCCCAAGTCTAGACCTCTGGTTGTGAGCACAGCTCGCTTATAACAGTTTCCACATTCTGCTTCCTTTTCCTCCCCCAGCCACCAGTTCCCTTTTCTCAGCCTTCCCACTGAGGTCTCAGCCTGTGACCCAGGCACAGGGCCCCACTGGAGGATGATAATGTCTTCAGAGACTTGGAAGGGCTGGGGCCTAGAGTCTGAACTGACTTCAGTCTTCTCTGCAGCGACGCTTTCTCACATTAACACACTTTATGCTCTCTCTGCTCTAGGTGAGAGGACCACTTTTTTTTGTTGTTTTTTGAGACAGAGTCTCACTCTGTCACCCAGGCTAGAGTGCAGTGGCTTAATCTCGAGTCACTGCAACCTCCGCCTCCCGGGTTCAAGCGATCCTCCCACCTCAGCCTCCGAGTAGCTGGGACTACAGGTGTCTGCCATCATGCCTGGCTAATTGTCATATTTTTTGTAGAGACGGGGTTTCACCATATTGCTCAGGCTGGTCTCGAACTCCTGGGCTCAAGTTATCTGCCTGCCTCAGCCACCCAGAGTGTTGGCATTACAGGCGTAAGCCACCGCCCCCGGCCCACTTTGTATTTTCAGTAAGCCCATGAAGTGTAATATACATGTAAGCAGGGCATGGTGGCTCACGCCTATAATCCCAGCACTTTGGGAGGCCAAGGCGAGCAGATCACTTGAAGCCAGGAGATCGAGATTTGTCTGGGCAACGATAGCAAGATTCTGTCTCTTTTTTTTTTTTTTGGAGAAGGAGTCTCGTTCTGCTGCCCAGGCTGGAGTGCAGTGGTACGATCTCAGCTCATTGCAACTTCCGCCTCCTGGGTTCACGCCATTCTCCTGCCTCAGCCTCCCGAGTAGCTGGGACTACAGGTGCCCGCCACCACGCCCAGCTAATTTTTTATATTTTTAGTAGAGACAGGGTTTCATTGTGTTAGCCAGGATGGTCTCGATCTCCTGACCTTGTGATCTGCCCGCCTCGGCCTCCCAGAGTGCTGAGATTACAGGCGTGAGCCACCGCGCCTGGCCAAGACTCTGTCTCTTAAAAAAAAAATTAGCTTGGTGTGGTGGGTATGTGTCTGTAGCCCCAGCTATTTGGGAGGCCAAAGCAGGAGGATGACTTGAATTCAGGAGTTTAAGGTTATAGTGAGCCATGATCATGCCACTGGACTCCAGCCTGGGTGACAGAGTGAGGCCCTAGCTTTAAAAAAAAAAAAAAATTAGCCAGGCATGGCAATGCATGCCTGTGGTTCCAGCTACTCGGGAGGCAGAAGTGGGAGGATTGCTTGAGCCTGGAGGTCAAGGCTGCAGTGAGCCATGATTGTGCCACTGCATTTCAACCTGAGTGACAGAGGAAGACTCTGTCTCAAAATAAATAAATAAATAATTAAATCATAAATAAATGGGATTATAACTATGTACTCTTGTGTCTGGAGTCTTTTACTCAACCTAGGTCATGCATGATATATGTAGCAGTAGTTCCTTCTCATTGCTATACAGAGTCAAATACTATAGTATTCCATTATATATCAATATGTCACAATTTATCCATTCTACTCTATCTCTCTGTCTGCCTGTCTGTCTTATCTATCTATCTATCTATCTATCTATTCTAGACACAGAGTCTCACTGTGTTGCCCAGGCTGCAGTGCAGTGGCATGATTATAGCTCACTCTAACCTTGAATTCTTGGGCTCAAGTGATCCTCCTGCCTTAGTTTCCCAAGTGGCTAGGACTACGGGTGCATGCCACCACATGTGGCTAATTTTTAATTTTTTTTTAGAGATGGGGTCTCACTATTTTGCCCAGATTGGTCTTGAACTGTTGGCCTCAAGCAATCCTCCTGCCTCAGCCTCCCAACGCACTAAGATTACAGGTGTGAACCAGTGCATCCAGCCTCATTCTACGGTTGATGGACATTTTATTATTTCCATTGTGAACATCCTCCTATATCTCTTTTTTGCATATAAGTAAACATCTCTGTTGAGTAAATATGCAGGAAGGTATTGCTGGGTCATGGAGCAAGACTGTATTCAGTTTTAGTAGATACTACCACACAGTTTTCCAAAATGGTTGTATCACTTTATACTCCAATGGCAGCATATGTTGCCAGTTTCTCCACATCCTTACCAACATTAGTATTGCTAGTCTTTTTAATTTTAGCCATTCTGGTGGGTGTGTAGTGGCATTTCATTGTGATTTTAATTTGTATTCCCATGTTGATAATGAAACTGGTATCTTTTCTGTTCTGGTCTGTTCTTTTTCTTTTTTTTTTCTTGAGACAAAGTCTCACTGTGTCACCCAGGCTGGAGTGCAGTGGTGCTATCATAGCTTACTACAACCTCAAACTCCTGGGCTTAAGAGATTCTCCTGTCACAGCTTCCCAGGTAGCTGGGACCATGGGTGCACGCCACTGCACCCCACTATTTTTCTTAGTTTTTGAGGAGACAGGTCTTGCTGTGTTGGCCAGGCTGGTCTCCAACTCCTGGGCTCAAGTGATCCTCCTGCCTCAGCCTCCTAAAGTGCCGGTATTACAGGCGTGAGCTAGCATGCCTGGCCTGTTTTTCATATATTTATTGGCCATTTGGATATTAATTTTTGTGAAGTGCCTGTTCATGACTTTTTTATTTTTTGTACAATACATCATGATGTTCAGCTGTTTGTGTCTTTTGCCATTCTTCTTTTTTTTTATTTTTGAGACACAGTCTCGCTGTGATGCCCAGGCTGGAGTGCAGTGGCACGATCTCAGCTCACTGTAACCTCCACCTCCAGGGTTCAAGTAATTCTCCTGCCTCAGCCTCACAAGTAGCTGGGACTACAGGTGCCCACCACCACGCCCAGCTTAATTTTTTTTGTATTTTAGTAGAGATGGGGTTTTTCACTATGTTGGCCAGGTCTTGAACTCCTGACCTCGTGATCTGCCCACCTTGGCCTCCCAAAATGCTGGGATTACAGGCGTGAGCCACCACACCCAGCCGCCCATTCTTTTTTTTTTTTTTTTTAATTTTTTTTCTTTTTTGAGACAGGGTCTCACACTGTCACCCAAGCTGGGGTGCAGTGGTGCAATCACGGCTCACTGCAGCCTTGACTTTCTCTGGGCTCCCACCTCAGCCTCCTGAGTAGCTGGACTACAGGTTCACACCACCATGCTCAGCTAATTTTTGTATGTTTTGTAGAGACTGGGTCTCATGATGTTGCTCAAGCTGGTCTTGAACTCCTGGGCTGGAGCAATCCTTCCTCCCCTCTACTCCCTGCCCCCCGGCCTCCTACGGTGTTGGAATTCCAGGCCAAGCATCAGCCACTGCACCCACCTGTCCCTTTTGCCCATTCTTTTTATTGGATTGTCTGCCTTGTTCTTATTGATTGGTAGGAATTCTTTATATATTATAGATGTACTTTGTTAGTTCTATATATCTTCTTCCAAAGAATGCTGCTAAAGGTTTAGAATAAAGCTGCTGGGCAAGAGGGAAGAGAAATGTGTCTTTTGTAAGGTTTGGGATCTGGTTGAAGGATTTTAAGGAGGGTCTCAGGGGAGTGGGGATAAACTGGATCGGTTGCTGGTTCTGAGGTGGAATTAGGAGAACTGGGAATTGGCCGGATGCCAGGTGCGGTGGCTCATGCCTGTAATCCCAGCACTTTGGGAGGTGGGCAGATCACCTGAGGAAAGGAGTTCGAGACCAACCTGGCCAACATGGTGAAACTCTGCGTGTACTGAAAATACAAAAAAAAAAATTAGCCGGGCGCGGTGGTGCATGCTTGTAATTTCAGCTACTTGGGAGGCTGAGGCAGGAGAACTGCTTGAACCTGAAATGTGGAGGTTGCAGTGAGCCGAGATCGTGCCACTGCACTCCAGCCTGGGCACCAGAGCAAGACTCTGTCTCAAAAAAAAAAAAAAAAAAGAGAGAGAGAGAGAGAAATTGGAGAACCAGGGATTAATTAGGGATGGAATGCTGTCATAAGGCAAGGTGGCTTAGCAACTGAGTATCTCCAGTAATAAATGAAAATAGCAAAGCTTGTCTAGAACACCACTGACTGCTTTTTTCTCTTTTCAAGTCAAGCTAATTTTCACACTTTCAAGTCTCCATAAGTTTTGACTTTTCTTTTTTTTCTTTTTTTCTTTTTTTGAGATGGAGTTTCACTCTTGTTGCCCAGGCTGGAGTGCAATGGCGTGATCTCAGCTCACCGCAACCTCTGCCTCCCAGGTTCAAGCGATTCTTCTGCCTCAGCCTCCCCAGTAGTTGGGATTACAGGCATGCGCGACCACGCCCGGCTTATTTTGTATTTTTAGTAGAGACAGGGTTTCTCCATGTTGGTCAGGCTGGTCTCGAACATCGTGACCTCAGGTGATCTGCCCGCCTCGGCCTCCCAGAGTGCTGGGATTACATATATACTTTTATATGAAGGTATATGACTTTCATATAAATGTGTTTCTATGCTTAATTTTGAAAATAGATTTTCAAATGTAATATAAATGTACTTTTTGTTGTTGTTTAACTGCAAAAGAACTCCAGTTTTTTGTTTGCTTTGTTTTGTTTTTTTGAGACAGTCTTACTCTGTTGTCCAGGCTGGAGTGCCGAGGCGTGATCTCGGCTTACTGCAAACTCCGCCTCCCGAGTTCAAGTGATTCTTGTGCCTCATCCTCCCGAGTAGTTGGGATTACAGGCGCGCGCCACCAAGCCCAGCTAATTTTTTTATTTTAGTAGAGACGGGGTTTCACCCTGGTGATCAGGCTGGTCTCAAACTCCTGACCTCAAATGATCCACCCGCCTCAGCCTCCCAAAGTATTGGGATTACAGGCATGAGCCACCACGCTCAGCCAAACTCCAGTTTTATAAGGCTTACGCCTGTGGCCCTGAAACCTGGTCCTGGCTGGAGTAAGAACCCCATAGAACCCTTAGCAACCTAACTTCCTCCCTAGCAACGGATCTCCTTGGAGCTCCTCCCCATCCGAAGCCAGGAGGAGGTGTAAAACCGGATGTTGACTGTTTTACCATAGTAATGCACACGAATCCGGAAGTGACGCCAGAAGAAGAGGAAGTGAAGGCTACAGGGTATCCACGTGGGTTCTGAGCGTGTTTCTACGTCCCTGGAAGCCGGTCATTTAAGCTCATTCCTCGCCACGGCTTAGTCAACATGGGTCGCTCGGGAAAGTTGCCTTCTGGTGTCTCAGCTAAGTTGAAGCGCTGGAAGAAAGGCCACAGCAGCGACAGCAACCCCGCCATCTGCCGCCACCGTCAGGCCGCCCGCAGCCGCTTCTTCAGCCGGCCGTCAGGTAGCTGGGTTGAGACCCGAGCGCAGCCGGGGGCGGGGTTCCAGGCAGACCTGGGTCCAGATGAGTCTGGGGCCTCTGGGAGAGTGCGGGGCCAGGCATTGGACCTTTCGTCTCTTAGGATGTCGGATCTGGAGCCCTCTCTGAAGGGCAGTCCTTCCAATTTAGCAGATACAGAAACTGAGGTCCGCAGTAGGGAAATGTCTTGTGTAAGGTACCGCGGGTGTCAGAGTTGAGACAGATGGCTTGGACCTTGGGTAGCTCTTTACAGAGCGCGTTCACCTTCATTTATTTTGCAGGCCCTCTGAATGTAGCTCCCAGCCGATTCCCAGTGGCGTTTATGCCGCTGCTACAGGGAAGCAGAAACTTTTACATGGAGGATTCCCTTTCTCCTTGGTTTTTCAAGTTTTTAGGCATACAGTGGTTTTATGAGACTGGCTGTGTTCAGAATTCAGCCTCTCGGGTTGGAGATTTGGCCTGGGCTGGTTTGTTTCCCAGGGGTTGTTCTGTTCTCTTGACCAAAAGGAGGCTTGGACCTTATCTTGTGCCTCTGGCTCTCAGGAAGGAGTGACCTGACAGTCGATGCTGTGAAGTTACATAATGAGCTGCAGTCAGGGTCCTTGCGCTTGGGCAAAAGCGAAGCCCCGGAGACGCCCATGGAAGAAGAGGCGGAGCTGGTTCTCACCGAGAAGTCCTCGGGTACCTTCCTGAGTGGCCTTTCCGACTGCACAAACGTCACCTTCAGCAAAGTACAGCGCTTCTGGGAGTCCAACTCGGCTGCCCACAAGGAGGTAGGGGCGAGGGTCGGGAGGGCCATAGGATAGTGAGGAGAGGCCAACTCATGCCTTTTCTTCAGCTCTGGCCGACAGGTCTCCGATGACAACAGCTGGTATTTCTGGATGATGCGTCATCGCTCCTCCCCTTTATGTCTCCTCCTAGGGCAGGTTCTACTTTCTGCTTTTTATAAGAACATCTCCTCTGCTTAAGTACTTGAGGGTAGAAATATTTTCCAAACATTTCTCTCCTCAGCTATACCTAACACAGCACTTTTACACAGAGTATTTTCAATAAACATATGTTGAGTAAATAAATGCTGAGTAACAGTGATTAGGAAACGTTTTATCTAGCAAGAACTAAATTTATTTACTTTAATTTAACTTAATTCATGTATTTATTTTGAGACAGAGTCTCGTTCTGTTGGCCAGGCTGGAGTGCAGTAGCGCAATCTTCACTCACTGCAACCTCCATCTCCCAGGCCCAAGCAATCCTCCTGCCTCAGCCTCCCAAGTAGCTGCCATTACAGGCATGTGCCACCACGCCCGGCTAATTTTTTTTTTTTTTTTTTTAGTATATTTAAATAGTGCATTATTCAAGTAGCTAATTTTTTGTGTGTGTGTATTTTTAGTAGAGACGGGGTTTCACCATGTTAGCCAGGCTGGTCTCAAACTCCTGAACTCAGGTAATCCGCCCACCTTGGCCTCCTAAAATGCTGGGATTACAGGCATGAGCCACCGTGCCTGGCCTTACTTTTATTATTTTATCTATACTATAAAGTTATATATATTTTTTGTTATTGAAATAAAAAATGTCAAAATTCTAAATGATATCAAAATGATATAAGAATAATATAATGTGATGGTAGATCCCCCAACTTGAATCATTCACAGAGCTCCTGTTAATGGGTCATTGTCTGTCTTCCTGGACCAGCTCTGTCCAATAGTAATCTAAATTCAAGCCACATATGTAATTTAAAAATGTTTAGTAGCCATATTAAAAACTGAAAGAAACAGGTAAAATAAATTCATCTTTTTATTTTTTTCTGGAGCCGGAGTTTCGCTCTTGTTGTCCAGGCTAGAGTGCAATGGCACGATCTCGGCTCACTGCAACCTCCGCCTCCTGGGTTCAGGTGATTCTCCTGCCTCAGCCTCCCGAGTAGCTGGGATTAGAGGCGTGCGCCACCATGCCCGGCTAATTTTCTGTTTTTAATAGAGACAGGGTTTCTCCATGTTGGTCAGGCTGGTCTCAAACTCCTGACCTCAGGTGATCCACCCGCCTCGGCCTCCTAAAGTGCTGGGATTACAGGTGTGAGCCACTGCGCCCGGCCCAAATTAATCTTAATAATGTACTTTATTTAACTCAGTATCTTTAAAATATTATCACTTCAATGTATAATCAGTATATTTTACTACAGCATTATTTTTATGATACCAAGTCTTCAAAATCTAGTGTATAATTTACCCATATACCCCTACTTAGATGCTAAATTTTCATTGGAAATACTTGATTTGTGTCTATTTAGAGTTCATAACATTTATGGTTGTACAAGTAGATTTGCCTACTATGAATTACTACGAACCTATTTGCCAGGTTGTTACAAATATATGTTTTCTAGTAAATAGATCAAATATTTTAAATTATGAGTAGTTGAAATTTAAAAACTAAATTTTCAGGCTGGACATAGTGGCTTACACCTGTAATCCTAGCACTTTGGGAGGCCGAGGTGGGCAGATCATTTGAGGTCAAGAGTTTGAGACCAGCCTGGCCAACATGGTGAAAACCCATCTCTACTAAAAAATTAGCCTGGCATGGTGGCATGCGCCTGTAATCCCAGCTACTTGGGAAGCTGAGGCACGAGAATCACTTGAACCCTGGAGGCAGAGGTTGCAGCGACCCAAGATCGCACCACTGCGCTTCAGCCTGGGTGACAGAACGAGACTCTGTCTCAAAAAAAAAAAAAAAAAAGGCCGGGCGCGGTGGCTCACGCCTGTAATCCCAGCACTTTGGGAGGCCGAGGCGGGTGGATCATGAGGTCAGGAGATCGAGACCATCCTGGCTAACAAGGTGAAACCCCGTCTCTACTAAAAATACAAAAAATTAGCCGGGCGCGGTGGCGGGCGCCTGTAGTCCCAGCTACTCGGGAGGCTGAGGCAGGAGAATGGCGTGAACCCGGGAAGCGGAGCTTGCAGTGAGCCGAGATTGCGCCACTGCAGTCCGCAGTCCGGCCTGGGCAACAGAGCGAGACTCCATCTCAAAAAAAAAAAAAAAAAAAAAAAAAATACGTATATATATATACATATATATATATATATGTATATATATATACGTATTTTTTTTTACCCAATTTTGTTATTTAGGTTTACCAAAATGTGATTAGTTTCTTTTCTTTTCTTTTCTTTTTTTTCAGACAGAGTCTCACTTTGTCACCCAGGTTAGAGTGCAGTGGCTGATCAGCCTTCCAATTCCCAAGTAGCTGGGACTACAGGGGAGTGCTACCATACCAAGCTAATTTTTGTATTTTTTGTAGAGATGGGGTTTGCCATATTGCCCAGATTGGTCTTGAACTCCTGGGCTCAAGGGATCTGCCCACCTGAGCCTCCCAAAGTGTTGGGATTACTGGTGTGAGCCATTGTGCCCTGCTTGATTAGTTTATTTTTTATCCACTGTTCTGCAACTTTTTCCCTACTGAACGATATTTATAAGTTAATATATAGTTGTTCTCATTCTTTTGAATAATGCACTATTTAAATTTTTCATTATTATATAATGATACAGTCAGGTCTCTATATTTGCGGGTTCTGCACCTGCAGATTCAACCAAGCATGGATTGAAAAATCTTTTTAAAATAATAATAATATACCAGGCGAGGTGGCTCACGCCTGTAATCCTAGCACTTTGGGAGGCCGAGGCGGGCAGATCACTTGAGGTCAGAAGTTCAAAACCAACCTGGCCAGCATGGTGAAACTCCATCCCTACTAAAAGTACAAAAAATTAGCCTAGCGTAGTGGCACATGCCTGTAATCCCAGCTACTCAGGAGGCTGAGGCAGGAGAATCGCTTGAACCCGGGAGGTGGAAGCTGCGGTTAGCAGAGAGTGCGCCACTGCATTCCACCCTGGGTGACAGAGTGAGACTCTGTCTCAAAAACAACAACAACAACAACAACAACAAAAATACAGTATAACAACTATTTATATAGCATTTACATTGTGTTAGGTGTTACCAGTAATCTAGAGATGATTTAAAGTATATGGGAGGCCAGGCATGGTGGCTTATGCCTGTAATCTCAGCACTTTGGGAGGCTAAGGAGGGCAGATCACTTGAGGCCAGGAGTTCAAAACCAGCTTGGTCAACATGGTAAAACCCCATCTCTACTAAAAATACAGAAATTAGCTGGGCATGGTGGTGCACACCTGTAATCCCAGCTACTTGGGAGGCTGAGGCAGGAGAATTGCTTGAACCCAGAGGCAGAGGTTGCAGTGAGCTGAGATCATGCCACTGCACTCTTGCCTAGCTAACAGTGAGACTCTATCTCAAAAAAAATAAATAAAGTATATGGGAAGATGTATATAGGTTATACACAAATACTACACCATTTTTTATAAGGGACCTGAGCATCCTCGGATTTTGGTATCTTTAGGGGTCCTGGAACCAATCCCCCCCTCGATAACTGCAGTACATTAGAGACAACTACAGTACATTATTAATCTCCTGTTGATGGCTTCTTGACCATTCCAATTTGTTGCTGCCATGAACATCCTTGTACATAAATATTTGCACACTCATCTCATGCAGGTATTTCTAGAAGGTTAGTACCTCATGGTGGAATTTTAGCAAGCATTTTCTGAGTCTTGTTATTTGCTGGGCCCCCTGGTATGGACCTAGGCCCTGAATGTTGCCTGTCTTGTCTGTCTCTGGGCTTTAACCAGAGATTAATCTGTGAAGGAGCAAGGAAAGGAGGTTCCCCTGGGGTGGGGTTAGGTCTAAAATAGTCACAGTGCTTTCTCCCTCCTGTGCAGATCTGTGCTGTTCTGGCTGCTGTCACTGAGGTGATTCGCTCCCAGGGAGGGAAGGAGACGGAGACTGAGTACTTCGCTGCTCTGGTGAGTGGGTGCCACTGGAGGGTGGGTGTTCAGAGCAGCAGGTTATGCAAGATTTAGCGAGAAGATGAGTGCCCCTGGCATGTGGGGGTAGAGAAGGACAACCTTGACCAGGTGAAAGTGCTTCAGTTATTCTCAGGTGGCTTAGGAAGGCTGGTGGTATTTGCTACCTTTTAATTTTCTCTTTTCTTTTCTTTCTTTCTTTGTTTCTTTTTTTTAAAGAGACAGGGTCTCACTATGTTGTCCAGGCTGGTTTCAAATTCCTGGGCTCAAACCGTCTTGTCATCTTGCGGTGGCCTCCCAAATTGTTGGGATTACAGGCATGAGCCACTGCAACTGGCTACTTATTACTTTTTTTTTTTTTTTTTTTGAGGCGGAGTCTCACACTGTCGCCCAGGCTGGAGTGCAATGGCATGTTCTCAACTTATTGCAACCTCTGCCTCCTGGGTTCATGTGATTCTCCTGCCTCAGCCTCCCGAGTAGCTGGGATTACAGGTGCACACCACCATACCCGGCTTATTTTTTGTATTTTTTAGTAGAGAAGAGGTTTTACTATGTTGGCCAGACTTGTCTCGAACTCCTGACCTCGTGATCTGCCTGCCTCAGCCTCCCAAAGTGCTGGGATTATAGGCCTGAGCCACCAGGCCTGGTCTACTTTTTTTTTTTTTTGAAACAGAGTCTCACTCCGTTGCCCAAGTTGGACTGCAGTGGCACGATCCCAGTTCACTGCAACCTCTGTCTCATGGTATCAAGCAATTCTCATGCCTCAGCCTCCTGAGTACCTGGGATTACAGGCGTGCGCCACCACACCTGGCTGATTTTTGTATTTTTAGTAGAGACAGGGTTTCACCATGTTGGCCCGGCTGGTCTCGAACTCGCAACCTCAGGTGATCCCCCCTACCTCAGCCTCCCAAAGTGCTGGAATTACAGGTGTGAGCCACCATGGCTGGCCTACTTATTACATTAAATAAATAAATATATTTGTGTATGTATGTATGTGTGTGTGTGTGTGTATATGTGTATATATATACTTTTTATTTTGTTTTTGGGTTTTTTTGTTGTTGTTTGTTTTGTTTTGGAGACAGGGTCTCACTTTGTTGCCCAGGCTGGAGTGCAGTGGTGTGATCATGGCTCACTGCAACCTCCACCTCCTGTGTTCAAGTGATGATCGTGCCTTAGCCTCCTGAGTAGTTGGAATTACAGGCGCCTGCCACCATGCCCAGCTAATTTTTGTATTTTTAGTAGAGACAGAGTTTCGTCATGTCGCCCAAGCTTGTCTTGAGCTCCTGAGCTGAATCAGTTCTCCCACTTTGGCCTCCCAAAGTGCTGGGATTACAGGCATGAGCCACCATGCCCAGCCTGGTTATTACATTTTTAAAGAATTGTTAAAACACACACAAAAAGAACATACAACAGAGACCAAGTGTGCATGCAAAGCCGAAAATATTTACTATCTGGTCCTTCGTAGAAAAAGTTTGCCAACCTCTGCTCTAGAATAATGAAATAAATTAGATGGCAGTATATGGTGTTTGGCTGGGTGTGGTGGCTCACGCCTTTAATCCTAGGACTTTGGGAGGCCAAGATCGGAGGAGTGCTTGAGGCTAGGAGTTCGACACCAGCCTGTGCAATATAGTGGGACCCTGTCTCTACAAAAAATAAAATAATTAGCCAAGCTTTGTGGCGCATGCCTGTAGTTCTAGCTGCTTGGGAAGTTGATGTGGGAGGATCTCTTGAGCTTTGAAGTTCAAGGTTACAGTGAGCTATGATTATACCACTGCACTCCAACCTGGGAGACCCTGTCTCTCAAAAAAACTATCTATCTATCTCTGTATATATATGCACATAAACATATATATAGTTTATTTATTTATTTTTTTTGAGACGGAGTCTCACTCTGTCACCCAGACTGGAGTGCAGTGGCACGATCTCAGCTCATTGCAAGCTCTGCCTCCTGGGTTCACGCCATTCTCCTGCCTCAGCCTCCCGAGTAGCTGGGACTACAGGCGCCCGCCACCATGCCTGGCTAATTTTTTGTATTTTTTAGTAGAGACGGTGTTTCACCGTGTTAGCCAGGATGGTCTCGGTCTCCTGACCTCGTGATCTGCCCTCCTCGGCCTCCCAAAGTGCTGGGATTACAGGCGTGAGCCACCACGCCCAGCCACATATATATAGTTTTAATTATGTGTCAGGCAGTATTTTATATATATTAATTCAATTAAACCTCACAACAACGTATAAGGTATGTAGCATTAGTATCCCTACTTTACAAATGAAGAAACTGAGTCACAGATAGGTTAAATTACTAGCCCAAAACCACACAATGCCAGAGTCAGGATCTGAACCTCTGATACCGTGGTTCTCAGTCACAACTGTTCTGCTGGGCACATGTTCCCCCACTCTCTTTCCTGTTTGCTCAGTGTAAGTTTTTATCCATTCAAACCCCCTCAATCTGGCCCTCAGATGACAACAATGGAAGCAGTGGAGTCCCCGGAGTCCCTGGCCGCCGTTGCTTACCTGCTGAACCTTGTCCTGAAGCGGTGAGTTCTGCCTCCTGTTTGAACCCCAAGGCTTTTTGTGGAGGGGAGAAGGGAATGTGGACAGGAGAAACAGGATCAGGGAATTGTTATTTAAAAAGATACTTGCTCTTCATGAACATTGTCTAGAGGCATGCAGAATGGGCCAGCATGTGACATACCGTCGTAGGCCTCTAGTGAGAAACTCTAACTAAACTAGGCTGTCCTGAACCCCTGGTAATAGAATCATTTACCTTTATGCCAAGAAGGTTGGGAAAGCACCAAAATCTTCACGTGGTGTGTGTCCAGGCAGACATTCAGGAGCTCGTGCTGTGAGATCTAAAGTTGTTATTTGATAGTCCAAAACAAAAGGCATGTCTATAGGGCCTGCAGTGCTTCCCTGGTTCCATGTGTGCTCAGTGTGTTCATGACAGAATCAAGTGTGCTTTCCTTATTGAGGAGCAGAAAATCATTGTGAAAGTGTTGAAGGCAAAAGCAGAGTCAGAAAGCTCTATTGAAAATGAAACTTTTTTGGCCTGGTGCGGTGGTTCACACCTATAATCCCAGCACTTTGGGTGGCCGAGGCAGGCAGATCAAGAGGTCAGGAGATCGAGACCATCCTGGCCAACATGGTGAAACCCCGCCTCTACTAAAAATATAAAAATTAGCTGGGTAGGCTACATGCTGTGGCTCACGCCTGTAATCCCAGCACTTTGGGAGGCTGAGGTGGGCAGATCGCCTGTAATCCCAGCACTTTGGGAGGCTGAGGTGGGCAGATCACCTGAGGTCAGGAGTTCGAGACCAAACTGGCCAACATGGTGAAACCCCGTCCCTACTAAAAACACAAAAATTAGCTGGGCATGGTGGCAGGTGCCTGTAATTCAGCTACTCGGGAGGCTGAGGCAGGAGAATTGCTTGAACCCAGTAGGCAGAGGTAGCAGTGAGCTGAGATCATGCCATTGCACTTACAGCCCTGTCAACAGTGCAAGACTCCGTCTCAAAAAAAAAAAAATAGAAAGAAAATGAAATTTGTTTTGAGTAATAAAAATTAAAAGTCATGGCTGGACGCAGTGGCTCATACCTGTAATCCCAGCACTTTTGGAGGCTGAGGCAGGAGGATTGCTTGCGGCCAGGAGTTGGAGACCAGCCTGGCCAACATGGTGAAACCCGATCTCTACTAAAAATACAAAATTAGCCAGGTGTAGTGGTACATGCCTGTAATCCCAGCTACTTGGGAGGCTGAGGCAGGAGAATCACTTGAACACAGAATGTGGAGGTTGCATTGAGCCAAGATCAAGCCACTGCAGTCCAGCCTGGGCAACAGAGTGAGACTCCATCTCAATAAATAAATAAGTAATAAAGTAAAAAATAAAAAACCTTGATTCTTTAAGATGAAAAAGTTCTTGAGATTGGTTGCACAACAATGTGAGTATACTTGGCTGGGTGTGGTGACACATACCTATAATCCCAGCACTTTGGGAGGCTGAGGCAGGTGGACTGTTGAGCCCAGGAGTTCGAAACCAGCCTGGGCAACATGGCAAAACCTTGTCTCTACAAAAAAATACAAAAATGAGCTAGGCGTGGTGGCATGCACCTGTAGTCCCAACTACTTGGGAGGTAGAGGTTGCAGTGAGCCTAATTGTGCCACTACACTCCAGCTTGGGTGACGAGTGAGACCCTGTCTCCAAAAAAAGAAAAAAAAAAAACCCACAACATGAATATACTTAACAGTACTGAATGATATACCGAAAAATATCGTTGAAATGGTGTGTTGTTTTTTTCCTTTTTGAGACAGAGTCTCGCTCTGTTGCCCAGGCTGGAGTGCAGTGGCGCCACCTCCTCCCACTGCAACTCCACCTCCTGGGTTCACACCGTTCTCGTGCCTCAGCCTGTCAAGTAGCTGGGACTACAGGCGCCCGCCACCACGTCTGGCTAATTGTTTGTATTTTTAGTAGAGACCGGGTTTCACTGTGTTAGCCAGGATGGTCTCGATCTCCTGACCTCATGATCCACCCGCCTCGGCCTCCCAAACTGCTGGGATTACAGGCGTGAGCCACTGCGTCCGGCCGAAATGATGTTTTATCTTATGTGTATTTTACCACAATTAGAAATTTATTTATTTATTTATTTATTTTTGAGACAGAGTTTCGCTCTTGTTGCCCAGGCTAGAGTGCAATGGTGCAATCTCAGCTCACCACACCCTCCACCTCCCGGGTTCAAGTGATTCTCCTGCCTTGGCCTCCCAAGTAGCTGGGATTACAGGCGGGCGCCATCACGCCCAGCTAATTTTGTATTTTTAGTAGATACAGGGTTTCTCCATGTTTGTCAGGCTGGTCTCAAACTCCCGACCTCAGGTTATCTGCCCACCTTGGCCTCCCATAGTGCTGGGATTACAGGCGTGAGCCACCATGCCTGGCCAGAAATTTTAAAATACAATTTAAAAGATACTTGTATATCAGGTGGCATTCTACAACATAAGGTCCTGGGTGACTGGGTCATTATACCAGGGAGTGTGAGTGTTGGCCCCCAGAAGGGGCATTCCTGGAGCAGTGAGTGGCAGAAGGGAGGGAAGGAGTAGTTGGCCCCAGGCTTTCTGGAGATGTGAACTGCCAGGGGAGGTGGAGAGAGGATTGGTGTCCTGAGTTTAGGAGTGGGTAGTGGGAAGGTGAGAGAGGCAGGGATCCCGGGTGGAAAGCACACTGAGCTGGCTGATAAGGTGGGTGCCTATTCTGACTTTGTTGCTCACTTTCTGAGTGACTGTGCCACCAGCGCCCCTTGCCCTGTCCTCCTTAGTACCACGAGGGGCTGCACCAGCTGCTCTTCAGGGACCCTCTGGGGTGACCATCTCTGTTCTTTCCCACAGTGTTCCCAGCCCTGTGCTTATTAAGAAGTTCTCTGATACCTCCAAAGCCTTCATGGATATCATGTCAGCTCAGGCCAGCAGCGGCTCCACCTCTGTCCTCCGATGGGTTAGTGTCTGGGGTTTAGTTTCTCATCTGGCGACTCCCAGAGCCTGTCTGATTTGGTGATGCTTAGATGTTCCCTGAGAGGGGTTTAGGCACCCTGGGGACCTCAGACAGATGCGATTTTCTGGAGTCAGTGAGAACCTGGGCTCTTTTCCCTCCTGGCCGAGGCTGGTGGCACTGAGGGACTCTGACTTTCTTCCAGGTCCTTTCCTGCCTGGCCACCCTTCTGCGGAAGCAAGACCTGGAGGCCTGGGGCTACCCCGTGACCCTTCAGGTGTACCATGGGCTGCTGAGCTTCACGGTGCATCCCAAGCCCAAGGTGAGACTACTAGCTCCCTAGAAAATGGGGCAAGGGGACAGCCACCACTCAGCCCAGTGCAGCCCAGACTTGGCTAGCTGAGTGGCACTGGGGAGCTTGCCCTGAGTACTGGCTTCTGCTTTCTGCTTCTGAGGCACCATGCATTTAGATGCAGAAGGCAGGGCGGCTCTTCCTCCTCCAGGAGGCTGTTCCCTGTCAGCCCTATCTGAGTCTCTGGTGCCTCATCAGCCATTGCCCTGTTGACGTGGACTCTCCCCATATGTCTATTTACCTCGGCAGGGAGGGTGGCATAGTTGGGGGAGTCACACAGACCTGAGTTGGATCCTGAATTCACTGCTCGAGGTGTGACCTTGGGCAAGTTACTTAATCTCTCTGAGCCTCAACTTCCTGACTATGAAATAGAGATAATTGGCTGAATGTGGTGGCTCACGCCTGTAATCCCAGCACTTTGGGAGGCCAAAGTGGGAGGATCATTTGAGGTCGGGAGTTTGAAACCAGCCTGGCCAACATAGTGAAACCTCGACTCTACTAAAAATATAAAAATTAGCCAGGTGTGGTGGTGGGTGCTTGTAATCCCAGCTACTCGGGAGGCTGAGGCAGGAGAATCGCTTGAACCCAGCAGGCAGAGGTTGCAGTGAGCCAAGATTGCACCACTGCACTCCAGCCTGGGCAACAGAACGAGACTCCATCTCAAAAGAAAAAAAAAGAAATAGAGATAATCACACCTACTTTGCTACAGAGTTGTGGGGAGACTCCAGTGTTCCCCACAGGCCTGGCGCACCTCCTGGCTCACGGCAGGTGCTTGGTGAGTGATGGTTCCCCACTGTTTCCTCTGGAAATTTAGGGCAGGAGGTGGTAACAATAACAGTCATGTAATCACTCCCAGTGCTAAGCACCGTCAGCCCAGATGGTCTCATGCCCCCTTCCCTCGGTGCTCACATGATCTTTTCCTCACCTTCAGCTCTCGCTGCAGTGGCACTTCACTGCGGTGACACTTTCCTGACCACTGTATAAAAAGTAGCAGCCCCTTGGCTGGGCGCGGTGGCTCACGGCTGTAATCCCAGCACTTTGGGAGGCCGAGGCGGGCGGATCACGAGGTCAGGAGATCGAGACCATCCTGGCTAACATAGTGAAACCCCGTCTCTACTAAAAATACAAAAAATTAGCCGGGTGTGGTGGCGGGCGCCTGTAGTCCCAGCTGCTCGGGAGGCGGAGGCAGGAGAATGGCGTGAACCTGGGAGGCGGAGCTTGCAGTGAGCCGAGATCCGCCACTGCACTCCGCCTGGGCTACAGAGCAAGACTCTGTCTCAAACAAACAACAACAACAAAAGTAGCAGCCCCTGCTTGGTTATCTGCAAAGTACTTTTTAACCTTCTGTTATGTATTTGTTTTCTGCCTCCCAGCTGGAAGGGGAGTTGCCTGCTGTTCAGTGCCAGTTTGCCAGGACCTAGAACAGTGCCTGGCTTGGTGGACACACAGTGTTTGCCGGATGATTAAGTGAATGAAGAAACCCCTGTTTTCAAGATGATATTGAAACTCAGAAATTAAGTAGTTGGGCTTGCTTAAGGCCATTTGGTGAGTTAGTTGTAGAGCAGGGATTTGAACTGAGGTTTGTCTTGCTTCACAGCTCAGGATTCTGTACACATGAAGGCCCTGGTGTAGCACTGGATCTATAGTAGTCAGATCATCATTGGATCTATATTTCAGCCAAAGCTAATTGGTTGGTGCTTGTGCCGGACACCCAAGATGCTGGTGGAACGCTGATCTGGCCTTGTCTCCTGCTCTCCTTGCCCCTCAGATCCGGAAGGCTGCCCAGCATGGAGTATGCTCAGTCCTCAAGGGCAGTGAATTCATGTTTGAAAAGGCCCCTGCCCATCATCCTGCTGCCATTTCCACTGCCAAGTTCTGCATCCAGGAGATTGAGAAGTCTGGAGGTGGGGAACCCAAATGGAGGGCAGGTGGATGGGAGGCAGTGGCTGGCAGAGCAGGACAGGGCCTGCGGTAGGGCGGGGCTGGTGTCTCAATTCCTCTTCTGTATACCAGGCTCCAAGGAGGCCACCACCACGCTGCACATGCTGACGCTGCTGAAGGACCTGCTGCCCTGCTTCCCGGAAGGCCTGGTGAAGAGCTGCAGTGAGACTCTCCTCAGGGTCATGACCTTGAGCCATGTGGTGAGCTCAGGCCCAAAAGCTGGAGAAAGGGGGACCTGCAGTGGTGGCATTTGGGGAACTCACTGGTCAGTCAAAATGCAGGGCCTGGGGTCTCCCTCCCTGACTGTGTTCTTAAGCTAAAACCAACAGCACTACGTTACTCTGTGGTGTTTGGCTAGGCCAGGCCATATCAGAGTCCCCTTCCAGATGGAAGCTGACCTCAGAGATCAGGTCAGAGTCAGGGTGGATCTGTAGTGGGCTGGTAAACCCTCCTTCTGCACCAGCTCTATGTACCCTATACCAATTTTTTTTTTTTTTTTTTTTTTTTTTTGAGACCGAGTTTTGCTCTTGTTGCACAGCTGGAGTGCAATGGCGCGATCTTGGCTCACTGCAACCTCTGGCTCCCGGGTTCAAGCGATTCTTCTGCCTCAGCCTCCCAAGTAGCTGGGATTACAGGCATGCACCACCACGCCCAGCTAATTTTTTGTATTTTTAGTAGAGATGGGGTTTCTCCATGTTGATCAGGCTGGTCTTGAACTCCCAACCTCAGGTGATCTGCCCGCCTCAACCTCCCAAAGTTCTGGGATTACAGGCGTGAGCCACTGCGCCCGGTCGAGTTTTTTTTTTTTAGCAGCTTTAAAGACACATGAAAAATGATTTCCTGTGTTTCTACCATTTCTAGCACAATTCTGTAAATCTTTATACAGTCAGCTCTTTGTATGTGTGGTTCCCACAGCCATAAATTCAACCAACCTTGGATTGAAAATATTTGGAAACTGGGCATGGCTGCACGCGCCTATAATCCCAGATGCTTGGGAGGTGGAAGTGGGAGGATTGCTTGAGCCCAGGAGGTTGAGGCTGTAGTGAGCCATGGTCATGCCACTGCACTCCAACTTGGGCAACAGAGCAAGAACCCCATGTCAAAAAAAAAAAAAAAGGAAAAAGAAAAAAAAGGAAAGAAAAAGAAAAGAAAATATTCAGGAAAAAGAAAATGGTTGGTTGCTTCTGTACTGAACATGTACAGTTTTTTTTCCTTGTCATTATTCCTTAGACAACAGAGTGTAGCAACTATTTACATAGCATTTATATTGTATTACGTATTATAAGTAATCCAGGTGATTTAAAGTGTATGGGAGGATGCGTGTAGGTTATATGGAAATACTACACCATTTAATATAGAGACTTGAGCATTGGTAGATTTTTATGTCCATGGGGGGTCCTGGAACCAATCCCCCACAGATACCCCCGCCAACTCACTGTGTGTTCTCTCTCTTTTTTTTTTTGTGATGGAGTCTCGCTCTGTCACCCAGGCTGGAGTGCAGTGGCGTGGTCTCGGCTCACTGCAAACTCCGCCTTCCGGGTTCACGCCATTCTCCTGCCTCAGCCTCCCGAGTAGCTGGGACTACAGGCGCCCGCCACCACACCTGACTAGTTTTTTGTATTTTTAGTAGACACGGGGTTTCACCGTGTTAGCCAGGATGCTCTCGATCTCCTGGCCTCGTGATCCACTCACCTCGGCCTCCCAAAGTGCTGGGATTACAGATGTGAGCCTCTGCACCCGGCCTTGTATATTCTCTTGTAGTGTTTATTTACATACATATTTTTAAAATTGTAAAATATAAATAATATGATCATTGTTTAAAAGGGAAAAACAATTCAGAAGTGTATAAAGTAAAAATCTCCTTCCCTCCAAATCCTGTTTCCTAAGGTAGACAGTGCAAATAACTTTCTGGGTATCCTTTCAGACATTTTCTCTTTGGATAAACAAATATACATGATAAAACATGTAAAGGCCAGGTGCAGTGGCTCACACCTGTAACCTTAGCACTTGGGAGGCTAAGGCAGGAGGCAAGGAATTTGAGACCAGCTTGGGCAACATAGTGAGACGAGACTCTGTCTTTATAAAAATTAAAAAATTGGCCAGGCACAGTGGCATGCACCTGTATTGGTCTCACCCCTGTATCCAGCAACGGAGCAAGATTCTGTCTCAAAAAAAAAAAAAAAAAAAATACAGCTGTAACAGACCGTTTATAGCCTGCTTTTTTGGCTGTTATGTTAAAACCATTTTGTTAATGTTTCTATCTTTGTTTAAGACATTTAAAGCTTTTTCAGTGGCTTCCATGTCTTACTAAGGTGGCAGTCCTCAGGGTGTCTCTGTGTGGGGGGCATGTGTGAGGTTCAGGGGGCCCTCAACTCCCTAGCACACAGGTGGAGTTGAGGGGTCCAGGGCCAGCCGTGGGCTTTGTAGTTCCTTTCTAAGCCTGTGTGTCCCCCTCCAGCTGGTGACAGCCTGTGCCATGCAGGCCTTTCACAGCCTCTTCCACGCCAGGCCTGGCCTGAGCACCCTGTCAGCAGAGCTCAACGCCCAGATCATCACGGTGAGGCCTGTTGGTGGGATGTGGGGGCATTAGGTCGGGGGTGGTGCCTTGGGAGGCTGTGCTGGGGGCACTGGCCCTGCGCCTTGTCTACAGAGTGAGGTTGGCTGGGCTGGGTTGTCCTAGTGGAAGAGGCCAGTAGAAGGGGAAGGAAGATTGGAGACCAGCCATCAAATTCACATCAGTGTCCCCAGGAGCTGGGACCTTGACCCTTGACCTAGTTAACTTTAATGAACTGTTTCAGCATGGTCTCGTGGTGCTCATAGATACCTTGAGCAGGGCTCTCGGCCTTAGAGGTCTGTGGATGGATATTGGGAGGGGGGATCAGATCCCCCAAATTGTTAGCAAAATGTACGTTTTTTTTTTTCAAAGAAGGCCTCTGGCTTTTGTCAGACTCACAAAGGAGTGTGTGACCCATGATACTCCGCTGCTCCTAGAGGCTGTTCTCCCAAAGAATTAGAGCTGGGAGGGCTTCATGGAGAAGGGAAAGGCAGGAGCTGGGAAAGCCAAGGGGGCTGTGAGTGCTAGGGTCACAAGCACTGTCCCCAGGACATTGCTGGTGCCAGGATGGGAAGGGGTCATCATCACTGGGCTATTGCAGACCCTGCATGCTCAGTCACCTGCTTATTCCCACTTTTAGGCCCTGTACGACTATGTTCCCAGTGAGAATGATTTACAACCCCTGCTAGCCTGGCTTAAGGTCATGGAGAAAGCCCACATCAACCTGGTGAGGTACGGATGAAGGAGGGGTGCTTAGGGCCTCTGTCCAGGCTGTTGAGGTGGGGGTGCTCAGGGCCTGTGTCCAGGCTGCCGAGGTGGGGGGTCCTCAGGGCCTTCATCCTGGCTGCCAAGGTTGGGGGGGTCCTTAGGGCCTGTGTCCAGGCTGCCAAGGTGGGGGTTCCTCAGGGCCTCTGTCCAGGCTGCTGAGGTGGGGGGTCCTCAGGGTCTTCATCCTGGCTGCCAAGGTTGGGGGGGTCCTTAGGGCCTGTGTCCAGGCTGCCAAGATTGGGGGTCCTCAGGGCCTCCGTCCCGGCTGAGGTTGCAGGGTCCTTAGGGTCTCCGTCCTAGCTGCTGAGGTTGCAGAGTTCTCAGAGCCTCTGTCCAGGCTGCCGAGATTGGGGGTCCTCAGGGTCTCCATCCTGGCTGCCGAGGTTGGGGGTCCTCAGGGTCTCCGTCCAGGCTGCTGAGGTTGGGAGTACTTAGGGCCTTCATCCTGGCTGCTGAGGTTATGGAGTTCTCAGAGCCTCTGTCCAGGCTGCCGAGATTGGGGGTCCTCAGGGTCTCCGTCCTGGCTGCCGAGGTTGGGGGTCCTCAGGGTCTCCGTCCAGGCAGCTGAGGTTGGGGGTACTTAAGGCCTTCATCCTGGCTGCTGAGGTTATGGAGTTCTCAGGGCCTCTGTCCAGGCTGCCAAAGTGGGGGAATCCTTAGGGCCTCCGTCCAGGCTGCCGAAGTTGGGGGTCCTCAGGGCTACCATCCTGGCTGCCAAGGTTGGGGGGTCTTTAGGACCTCTTGTCCAGGCTGCCAAGGTGGGGGGTCCTCAGGGCCTCCCTCCAGGCTGCAGAGGTTGGGGGTCCTCAGGGCCTCCGTCCTGGCTGCTGAGGTTGTGGAGTTCTCAGGGCCTCTGTCCTGGCTGCCAAGGTTCGGGGTGCTCAGGGCCTGCGTCTGGTTGCTGAGGTTGGGGGTGCTCAGAGCCCCATCCTGGCTGCTGAGGTTGGGGATGCTCAGGGCCTCTGGCCTGGCTGCTGAGGTTGGGGGTGCTCAGGGCCTCCGTCCTGGCTGCTGAGGTTGGGGGTGCTCAGGGCCTCCGTCCTGGCTGCCGGAGGTGGAGGGGACGTGAGCCGGAGACTGGAGAGGCTGTTCAGCCTCCTGGGGCCTGACGGCATCTCCATGTCAAGTGAGCTACAGAGCAGCTCTTGTTTTTGTGAGGCACGGGGTAGGACAGTGCAGCTCGTTCTGACAGGGTCTGATTCCTGCCAGAGCGTTTGCCAGCCAGCCGGGAGGAACAGCAAGGTGGGCTGCGAGCCCTGCGTCCCAGGTTGAGGCCTGAGTTTCACCCTGCCTCTTGCCGCTCCCTGGCTGTGTCTTCCTGTGCACTCAGTTTCCTGGCCATGGGATATCCTTTCTGTGGCTCCACTCCACTCTCGCCTGGACTGGCGGCTCCGTTCTCCAGGTTCCGTAGTCCCGTGAACCGACTTTCTGCTTTGTGTCTGCATACTTTCAGGGTTCAGGCTTGGCCACTTAATAGTAATTCCACTTTTCTGGAATAAGGCTGAGAAGAAACAGTATACAGTAACCAGTTGGTGACCTGCATGGAGGGAGGCAAGGGCCTCTTAGACCTCGTGGCTCTCTTTTGCTGGGTTTGTCTTCTCAGCTAAGGGTTCCAACGGCCTGCCCTCACCCAGGCAGCCTGCTGTCACCCAGGCGTGTGCCAAACACTGTTCATCTGTGTTTCCTTTCACTAGTCACAGCAACCCCATGAGGAAGGGTTTAGCCCCAATTTATAAGCCAGAAACAAAGGCTCTGTGAGTGAGCTAGTCACACAGCCCTGATGAGTAAGGCCAGGTCTCTGGCCCAGGTCTGCCCAGCCCACATTCTTTTTCCTGCATCAAACCGCCTTTACTGGGAGGTGTACAAAAATGGCAAAATCACCCCATTCACCACTTCTCATGCTTCAGCCCGCAGGAGCACACCCACAGTTAGGCCCCATTGTGCGTCCCGGGATGCTTATCATCGTACTCTAGGTAACATATAAAAACTGGAAGCAAGCTAAGTGTCCCACAGAGGGGTGAAATATAAACAATGAAGTACTGTGCAGCCATTAGAAACAATCAAAGTGGGCCTGGCACAGTGGCTCACGCTTATAATCCCAGCACTTTAGGAGACCGAGATGGGCAGATCACTTGAGGCCAGGAGTTTGAGACTAGCCTGGCCAAAATGGCGAAACCCCATCTTCACTAAAAATACAAAAATTATCTGGGTGTGGTGGTACACACCTGTAATCCCAGCTACTTGGGAGGCTGAGGCACGAGAATCGCTTGAACCTCTGGGGTGGAGGTTGCAGTAAACTGAGATCGCACCACTGTTCTCCAGCCTGGGTGACAGGGTGAGACCCTATCTCAAAAAAAAAAAAAAATAGAAACAGTCAAAGTGGTTGTATGTGCACTTATATGGAAAGAACTCCAAGATATATTGGAGAAAAAGCAAGACATAGAATAGCAGGTATGATGTGATTGTTTCTCTATGTATACTCTGGAACCACATTGCTAAGGGTGTGAATCCTGACCCCATTACCAAGCTGGGTGGCCTTGGGCAAGTTATTTGACTTCTCTGTGTCTTTCCTCATCTATAAAATGGAAAAATAATAGGATTTATCTCATTAGTTGTTACAAGGTTTAAATGAATGTATGTTATATCAGTGATTGGTATATGATAAGAGTTACATAAATGCTACCAGGCCAGGTGCAGTGGCTTATGCCTGTAATCACAGGGCTTTAGGAAGCCAAGGCAGGAGGATCACTTGAGGCCAGAAGGTCGAGACTAGCCTGGGAAACACAGTGAGATCCTGTCTCTACAAAAAATAAAAAGATTAGCTGAGCATGGTGGCATGTGCCTGTAGCCCCAGCTACTCAGGAGGCTGAGGTGGGAGGATCACTTGAGCCCAGGAGTTTGAGACTCCGTGAGCTATGATTGTACCACTGCAAAAAAAAAAAAGTTAGCAGAAGTTACTGTTTTCATGTTTGTGCATTTTAGAACTTCTGGAAGGGTATTTAAGAAACTTAACCTTGATTTTCCCCTGGAAGTACATATAAGGGTCAGGCCAGAAGGGTGAGTTAGGGAAGGCATGCCCTTCATTTTACACCTTGAAGACCTGTTTGAATTTTCTACCACATGTAGTTATTACTTGAACGATAGTGCCTTTTTAAAAACCACCCACCAGAAGGGCCCTACGGAGCCCTGCAGATCACTGGGTTTGTGACTGTTTTCAGAGCTGGGCCGTCTCAGCCCTGAGCCCTGGTTGCCCGGGTCCCCAGGGCTCAGGCCAGGCCCCACAGAAACCTTTTGTCTTGACAGGTTGCAGTGGGACCTGGGGCTAGGCCACCTCCCTCGCTTTTTTGGAACTGCGGTGACCTGCCTCCTTTCCCCACACTCGCAAGTGCTGACTGCTGCTACGCAGAGCCTCAAGGTACTGCAACTTTAGCTGAGGAAGCAGAGAGCACAGGGGGTTCTATGGGCTGCCCTGTCTTTCCCAGCACTGGCCCCAGGCTACCAGCTCGGGCCCAGAGAGGCCGCTCTCAAAATGGGAGATAGGTTTCTTCGAAGCTTTCTTAGACTCCCAGGAAACTGTTGCCTGGGAGGGGAGAGTGGTCCTGGGGGGCTGCCTTGGGCCCAGAAAGCCTGTGGCCTCTCTTCGCAGGAGATCCTGAAGGAATGCGTGGCTCCCCACATGGCTGACATTGGCTCCGTGACCTCCTCGGCCTCAGGCCCTGCCCAATCTGTTGCCAAGATGTTCAGGTGAGGATATGGGGTCCATGTTAGGAAGGGATGGTGGTACCTTGAGGAAAGTTCTATATAATACGAATGCTCCACTCTCCACCTACTGTGGGCCAGGCCTGCAGTGGCAGTGCTTTACGGGATTGCAGGCTGCTTACTGAACATCTGCCGGAGCAGCTACCGTGGACTTGAGCACCTGCCATGTTTTAGCCACACCTCACCTCTTGGTTTCCTAGAGGTTTCCCCATCTGAAGTTGGGTCAGATAACTACCTCATTGGTTTTTCTTTAAGCACTAGCATTATCTAAATTAAACTCTTAACATAGGGAGTGTGGGCATGTCACAAATGTTAGTTCTCTTCTGTTGTCTCTCCTGGGGCCCCATTCTTGCTGGCCAGCTAGCGTCTGTAGCTCAGGGTGCTGGCCGTTGACTTTCTCTGGTGGGGGGCACAGGGTGGTGTGACCGTGGCCCTGACTGTGCCGCCCCCTTGGCAGGGCAGTGGAGGAGGGCCTGACGTACAAATTCCATGCGGCCTGGAGCTCCGTGTTGCAGCTGCTGTGTGTCTTCTTCGAGGCGTGTGGGAGACAGGCCCACCCTGTGATGAGGAAGGTGAGTGGGGAGCGGCTGGGGCCAGGGCAGGAAGTGGTGCTGGCTCTTGGACTATGGGCTCCTGGAGGGCACGTGTCTCTGTTATCTCTGCACCCTGCTCCGCACCCCACCCTGACAGGGCCATAGCAGGTGCCCCATGCAGTATCCCCTGGAAGGTGACTGGGCCAACAAGGGAGGGGCAGGAAAAAGGGTGGCAGTCCCCCCACCTGCTCACTAGTCTTTGCTGGAGTTACTGGTTTTGAAACTTAGGGAGTCTATTTGCTTTCCCTTATCCCCACCCCTTATCTTTTAAATTTTAATTATCTAAGTTTCCTATAACCAGTGAGTATAGCATTGAAGTTCTAAACAGCCCTAGGTCCCACGGAGGTTCCTCCAGTCCAGGGTTAACCATTTAAGGATCAGGGATCACTCAGGGATCCTGAGCAGACCGTAGTCCAGGAGAGAGTGGGGGCCTGAGGACAGCCCCCAGACTGGTCCCGCATCAGCAGAGACAGCAGCTCCTGGCCTCGTGGGGCCTTCCTCACTGACTCCCTCCCATTGCTGGAAAAAAGGAACCCTGGTGGGAGGACAGGGTCTCCATCAAGAGGCCTGGCCTGAGCCCTGATAAATTAGGTTGACCAGTTTGGCTTTATACAAGAGGCCAGGCAGGGCCTTGAAAGTGTGGCTGGGGGAGGGCTGTGGCCATAGTGAACCCAGGGGTGCACCTCTGTCTCCTCAGCGCCTGCTGATTTGCTAATTGTTGCATGCAGACAAGATACATTTGTCCCATTTTCGAAGATAAATTGGAAATCTACATTTGTGTGTGAAACTTTCTAATTTTTACATGTTGTTAAATGTAACAGAATTTTGTAAAATCCTAGGCCCTGGGATTTTACAGTCACCAGTGGTTAATTGGGTTCTCAGTCTGTACCCTCTGGTGTAGCGTTGAACCCAGGCCCAGAATTCCAGCCTCATCGTTCAGCGGGGTCTTGTCATGGGTCCCTGCTTTCGAGCATGTCTTGATGTGTGGTCACTCATCTCTGCTGCAGTGCCTCCAGTCCCTGTGTGACCTGCGCCTCTCCCCTCATTTCCCCCACACGGCGGCTCTTGACCAGGCAGTGGGGGCTGCGGTGACCAGTATGGGACCTGAGGTGGTGCTGCAGGCTGTGCCTTTGGAAATTGATGGCTCTGAGTAAGTGTGGCCCTGGCTGGCTTCCTGACAAGCCCCAGGCTTGTTCTCTCCCCTGGAAAGGATGTCTGCTGCTGTGGGCTAAAGTCTGTGTCAGTGCAGGGCTCAGCAGGAGGGGCCAGAGGAGGTCTTACTCTGTCCTGGGCTCAGTATGCTATGCACTGCCCTCAGGGCTGTCCCCTCATCCTCATTGGGTTCTTCCCATTCTCTTCCCAGGGAGACTCTGGATTTCCCACGGAGCTGGCTGCTGCCTGTCATCCGAGACCATGTTCAGGAAACGCGACTTGGTTTTTTCACCACCTACTTCTTGCCCCTGGCTAACACCCTGAAGAGCAAAGGTAGGAGAGACCCTTGCCTGTGTGTGACCTGAGGCTCCCCACAGTCCTGGAACCTCCACAGAAGGGATTGGGAAGGGTGCTGAGTCCCACACACCCAGCCTTCAAGACGTTTGGCAACATCCCTCTGCCGAGCAGGTGGCCAGCCAGTGCTGGAGTGCCTGTCTCCCTCCCTGCTGCTCCAAGGCGAGGCCAGGTGGCCCTCCCTGTGGCAGAGCTTGCCCTGTGAGACAGGAGCTGCCTCCACATGGAGCTGCCCCAACTGGGCCTTGTTCTTCCCCTTTGGATCACAGAGAACAGCTGTGCCCCTTCTTCCTCATGCAAGCCCTTGAGATTGATTTTGTAAAAATTTGTGATATGTTTGTTTATATGTATATATACTTTTATATACTTCTAGGTGTATTTATTTATTTATTTATTTTATTATTATTATTTTTTGAGACGGAGTTTTGCTCTTGTTGCCCAGGCTGGAGCACAGTGGCGCAATCTCGGCTCACTGCAACCTCCGCCTTCCGGGTTCAAGTGATTCTCCTGCCTCAGCCTCCCGAGTAGCTGGGACTCCAGGCACCCACCACTGCACCTGGCTAATTTTTGTATTTTTAGTAGCGACAGGGTTTTGCCATGGCAGCCAGACTGGTCTCAAACTCCTGACCTCAGGTGATCTGCCTGCCTCGGCCTCCCAAAGTGCTGGGATTACAGATGTGAGCCACCGTGCCCAGCCAGGTGTATTTATATATATGAGTATATATGTATGTACACATACACAGTCACACGCCACATGACGTTTCAATGATGGTGGTCTCATAAGATGATAATACCGTATTTTACTGTACTTTTCAATGTTTACGTGTGTTTAGATATACACATACTTAGCATTGTATTACAGTTGCAGCACTCAGTACAGCAACATGCTGTCCAGGTTTGTAGCCTAGGAGCAATAGACTATACCACATAGCCCAGGTGTGTAGGGGCTGTGCCATCTAGGTTTTTGTAAATACACTCTATGCTGCTCACACAATAAAATCACCTACCGATGCATTTTTCAGAACGCACCCTGTCAAGCGATGCATGACTGTAGATCATATGTATGTATTTGAAAATGATTACCCCAGAGGTGTTCTTTCTTCAGGCTGCACATCCCCAGTCCCCTGCCCCTCTCCTTTCAGGCATAGTTTCTTATCCTTCGTGATCATGGTCTCCTCTCTCTATTTATCTTCTAGTTTACTCCTGACCTGTGTTAGGCAGACTCAGGCCTTAGGCAGACTCAGGCCTACGTGAGGATAGGCAGAGCATGGGGTTACATTGCTCAGCCTAGTGATGGCTTCAGAAGCTTTTCGTTTTCATTGGATTTTGTGGATTTTGAGGATGTAGGGCAGCATTGCTAAACTATTTCATCCGCTGTCTGTTTTTGTAAATAAATTTTCTTTTTTTTTCTTTTTTTTTTTTTTTTTGAGATGAAGTCTTGCTCTTGTCACCCAGGCTGGAGTGCAAAGGTGCGATCTCAGCTCACTGCAATCTCCGCCTCCTGGGTTCAAGAGAATCTCCTGCCTCAGCCTCCCAAGGAGCTGGGATTACAAGCACCTGCCACCACACCCAGCTAATTTTGTATTTTTAGTATAGATGGGGTTTCACCATGTTGGCCAGGCTGGTCTTGAACTCCTGACCTCAGGCGGTCCACCTGCCTCAGCCTCCCAAAGTGTTGGGATTACAGGCGTGAGCCACTGTGCCAAGCCTGTACATACAATTTTATTGAAACACAGACACATACACATTTATTCTTGTTCTGTCACCCAGGCTGGAGTGCAGTGGCACGATCTCAGTTCACTGCAACCTCTGCCTCCCAGATTCAAGCGATTCTCCTGCCTTAGCCTCCCAAGTAGGTAGGACTACAGGCATGTGCCACCACACCTGGCTCACTTTTTAAAAATTTCTTGTATTTTTAGTGCAGATGGGGTTTCACCATGTTGGCCAGGCTGGTCTCAAACACCTGACCTCAGAAAATCTACCTGCCTCGGCCTCCCAAAGTGCTGGGAGTACAGGCATGAGCCACCATGGCCAGCCTGTCACACTACTTTTTAATGACAGAGTTATTGTGATAGAAATCATACGTACCGTGGGCTGGGCACAGTGGCTCACACCTGTAATCCTAGCACTCGGGGAGGCCGAGGTGGGTGGATCACCTGAAGTCAGGAGCTTGAGACCAGCCTGGCCAACATGATGAAACCCCATCTCTACTAAAAGTACAAAAATTAGCCAGGCATGGTGGTAGGTGCCTATAATCCCACCTACTCGGGAGGCTGAGGCAGGAGAACGCTTGGACTCTGGGGGGCGGAGGTTGCAGTGAGCCAAGATCGCACCACTTCACTCCAGCCTGGGCAACACAGCGAGACTCTGTCTCAAAAAAAAAAAAAAAAGAAAAGAAAGAAATTGTATGGCCTGCCGAGCTTAAAGTACTGGTCCTTTTGCACAAAAAGTTGGCTGACTCCTGGTCTAGGGCAGTGGTTCTCAACAAGGAGGGTGATTTTGCTGCCTGTAGGACATTCAGCAATGCCTGGAGACATTTTTGGTTGTTACCGTTGGGGGATGGGTGCTCTGGCATCTAGTGGGTAGAGGCCAGGATGCTGCTAAGCACCCTGCAATGCACAGGACGACCTCACACAACAAAGAGTACTAGGCCCAAAATGTCCACATTGTCAAGATTGAGAAACCCTGCTCTAGGGCAGTTTCCTGATTTCACACATGATCTTGTAGAATATACAGGAAGTGCTTAAAGAAGAAAGTAAGGCCAAGCGCAGTGGCTCGTGCCTGTAATCTCAGCACTTTGGGAGGCTGAAGCGGGCAGATCATGAGGTCAGGAGTTCGAGACCAGCCTAAACAACATGGAGAAACCCCGTCTCTACTAAAAATACAAAAATTAGCTGGGCATGGTGGCACGCACCTGTAATCCCAGCTACTTGGGAGGCTGAGGCAGGACAATCGTTTGCACCCAGGAAGCAGAGGTTGCAGTGAGCCGAGATGACACCACTGCACTCCAGCCTGGGAGACAGAGCGAGACTTCATCTCAAAAAAAAAAAAAAAAAAAAGAAAGTAAAAGTCATTCAGTCTTCCCACCCAGAAATTGTTACTACTCAAGTTTTTAATGTATTTTCCTTTGCTTTGTTTGGGTCGGTTTGTTTGTTTGTTTGTTTGTTTTGAGACAGAGTCTTGCTCTGTTGCCCAAGCTGGAGTGCAGTGGTGCGATCTTGGCTCACTGCAACCTCCACCTCCCAGGTTTTCAAGCAATTCTGCCTCAGCCTCCTGAGTAGCTTCGTCTACAGGCGTGTACCATCACCCCTCGCTAATTTTTTTATTTTTAGTAGAGACAAGTTTTCGCCATGTTGGCCAGGCAGGTCTCGGACTCCTGACCTCAAGTGATCCACCCGCCTTGGCCTCCCAAAGTGCTGGGATTACAGGTGTGAGCCACCATGTCTGGCTGCATTTTTTTCTGTGTAAAAATAGTATTGTATTTCTACTCTGTTGGAATTAATGTGCACATATTAGTAACTTAAAGTTTTTCCTGATATTAAAAAGGAAAAATTTGTTCTATTTTCAATAGAAATATATGCCCATCAAAGAAAATACAGATGAACCCCCAAAATGAGGGTCATTACCATCATTAATGTTACCTATAAACCCTGGCATTATTCTTAAGGCTGATGTTATGTATTCCCTTTGTCCTGGTAATACTACACGCAGGTATCTGTCCTGAGAAGATAGACAAGTGCGTACTGATTTATGTTCCTAGCAAAGACGTGCCTGACAGTATTGGCTTATACTGGCAAAAACTGTAACACATCTAGTATCTTTCTCATTAGGGTTCCAGTTAAATTAGTTATGGTAAAGCCCTACTTTTGGCCAGATGCAGCAGCTTACGCCTGTAATCCCAACACTCTGAGAGTCTGAGGCAGAAGGATTGTGTGAGGCCAAGAGTTCAAGAACAGCCTGGGCAACATAGCAAGACCCTGTCTCTATAAAAATTTTTTTTTTTTTTTTTTAGTTAGCCAGGTGTGGTAGGCTCACCTGTAGTTCCAGCTACTTGGGAGACTGAGGAAAGAGGATTTCTTGAGCCCAGAAGTTCAAGGCCAGCCTGGGCAACAGAGTGAGACCTCCGTCTCTACAAAAATATTTTTTAAGTCCCACTTTGGGATATGATGTAGGCATTATAAAGAAAGAAAGAAACCACTAGGTAGGGACAGACAAGTTTAGCAGATGGTGAGTCGAACAGACACGGTTTATATCCCAACTCCGCCGCTCCACAGTTCGTGGCTTGGGGCAGGTTTTGTTTAATTTCCCAGGGTCTGCTCCTCATCTTAAAATGGGCAAGTTTTGTGAGGATTAAATGAAAAAGTCATGTGAAGTGCTCATTACAGACTACCACATAGTACTTGCTCAGTAAATGTTACCAGCTTTATTGTCAAGTAAACAAGGTTACAGAATGCTATATATATAGTATATTCCTCCCTATGGTTTTTTTTTTTTTTTTTTGAGACAGAGTCTCGCTCCGTCACCCAGGCTGTTGTGCAATAGCACGATCTCGGCTCACTGCAAGCTCCACCTCCCGGGTTCACTCCATTCTCCTGCCTCAGCCTCCCGAGTAGCTGGGACTACAGGTGCCTGCCACCACTCCCGGCTAATTTTTTGTATTTTTAGTAGAGACGGGGTTTCACCATGTTAGCCAGGATGGTCTCAATCTCCTGACCTCATGATCTGCCCGCCTCAGCCTCCCAAAGTGCTGGGATTACAGGTGTGAGCCACTGCACCCAGCCCCTGTTTATGTTTTACAAAGTGGGCATGTGGCTGGGTGCAGTGTTGCACACCTGTAATCCCAGCACTTTGGGAGGCCGAGGCACATGGATCGCTCAAACTTAGGAATTCGAGACCAGTCTGGGCAACATGGTGAAACCCTACGTCTACAAAAAGTTAGGTGGGTGTGGTGGCATGCACGCCTGTAGTCTGCTTCTTGGGAGGCTGAGGTAGGAGGATCGCGTGAGCCTGGGAGGTCAAGGCTGCAGTGAGCCCAGATTGCGCCACTGTATTCCAGCCTAGGCCACAAAGTGAGACCCTGTCTCAAACAAAACAAACAAACAAAAAAAATTGGGCATGTGTTTAAAGAAGTATAAAAAAGTAACAAGAAACAGAGGCTATCTCTGGGGGAGTAAGAGTATGGAGAGACGTTTGCTTTCTGTTTATTATAGGTTCATTTGAGTATTTTAGAATGAACAAGTATGATTTAATTCATGGAGATGGGGGGAAGTCACCCATATTCCTGTCCTCATCATTGGGCTTTTGGTTTGGTTTGGTAAATAAGGCTGTTGGCCAGGAGGGTGCTGGGCTCACACTCTGTCCCTCTGTCACACTGCAGCCATGGACCTGGCTCAGGCAGGCAGCACAGTGGAATCTAAGATCTACGACACACTCCAGTGGCAGGTAAGGGTCAGCTGGGGGAGGGCGTGGGGAGAAGCACACAGGGGCACAGGTGGCTGCGTGTCACCTTCCTTTATTGTCCCCTCCTTCTCCAGATGTGGACACTCCTGCCTGGGTTCTGCACAAGGCCTACAGATGTGGCCATCTCCTTCAAAGGGCTGGCACGGACGCTGGGCATGGCCATCAGCGAGCGTCCAGACCTGAGGGTCACCGTGTGCCAGGCCCTGCGCACCCTCATCACCAAGGGCTGCCAGGCAGGTACGTGTGGGCTGTGGGAGTGGGGGCTGGGGAGGATGACACAGGTCCCTGGCCCCATCCCCTGGCTTGCTACACTCCTTGCCAGGCAGAGCCACAGAAACTCACCTCTGGAGCTCATCCTTTGCTGCTTCTGCTGCAGACCCCAGGGGATAACTTTGCTGGCTCCCTGGGGTTGGAGCCATCGAGGACCATGGGCCACTGGGGCACCAGGCTCTCCATGCCCTGGCTCAGCTTCTGCCACAGAGAGCCCCAAACCCATGGATTCCAAGTCCTGCCAGCTCCCCCAAGAGAGGGCCTCTGGGCCACAGCCCCAGCAGCCACTGAGGCACAGTCAGCTCCTGTGCCTTTAGTGCAAACTTTGATCCTTTTACCAGAGGCTGACCGTGCTGAAGTGAGTCGCTTTGCCAAGAACTTTCTGCCGATCCTCTTCAACCTGTATGGGCAGCCCGTGGCAGCCGGGGACACTCCAGCCCCTCGCCGGGCTGTGCTGGAAACCATCAGAACTTACCTCACCATCACTGACACTCAGGTGAGCCACGGAAGGGAGGGAAGGAGGGAGGAGGGGAGCTCTCAGGTGGGCAGGGTCAGAGAGGCCGAGACCCTACCCACCAGGGCTCACGTGGGTCTCTGTGTTTTGGAGCACATACCAGCAGTCATGGCTTGGGCAGGGCTGGGGGCTGATGGGGAGGCCGCTCTGGGACTGCTGCCATTGCTGCTTTCTTTCGCTCCTCCCCAATGACTCTCTTCTCCTCATTCCCTCGGGGCCACAAGTTGGTGAACAGTCTCCTGGAAAAAGCCAGTGAGAAGGTGCTCGACCCTGCCAGCTCTGACTTTACCAGGTAACATGCTCAGGGCCTCCCACTTGAGCTGGAGCAGCCCAGGGAGCTGGAGGGTGCATCTGGCAGAAGCACTGTGGGTTCCCTCTTGCATTATTTAAGGAAGCCTTGAAGTATTAACTCTCCAGGCTGTGCTGAGAGGCTGTGCTGACTAGTTCCTTCTTCCTGGAGAGGCCATTTAGTCTGGTAGGGAGGAACAAGGACCCAGGAGATACACTGCCCAGGTTCTGATCCCAGCCCCGTCACTCATGGGCTGTGTGACCTTGGACAAATTACTTATCCATTCTGCCTCTAAGGCCTCATCTGTAAAATGGGCACGATAATAGTTCTTGCAACAAGGTTGCTATGAGGATTGAAGGAGTTAGCAGGTGTAAAACACCAGGAACGGTGACTGGTACATCATGAATGCTCAGTTAGGTACTAGCTATTATTATTGTTCATGAGCTCCTTCAAGCCCCTTGTCCTCACCCTGACTTCTCCCACCTCCCCATACCCAGTAGACGTAAGAACACTGGTAGTCTGCGCCCTTCTCCAGCTCCCCATCCCTCTCCTTGTCCTCCTGCCCCGAGCAGATTGTCTGTCCTGGACCTGGTCGTGGCCTTGGCTCCGTGTGCTGACGAAGCTGCCATCAGTAAGCTATACTCCACCATCCGGCCCTACCTAGAGGTGAGCCTCGGGGGCCAGGAGCGCCACACAGCCACGCTTGGGGGCAGATGGGCTGTGGGAAGGTGGGGCCTGTCTTCATGTCTTTGTCCCTTGCTGCTTCCCGAGATCAGGTCCCTGTCTGCTTTCTCCTGCAGTGGCTTCTCTTTGTGTCCTGTGTAGCCCATCTGTCTTGCAGGTCCCAAAGGGACTGAAATGCACAGCTGTGCTTAGGCCTTGCGTGCTGAGTGACTCTTGTAGAACCAAGGCCATGCTCCTTTGCCTGGCTCACTCCCCAGGCCCATCCCAGACCGGCCTGAGCTTTATCCCACCCAGTCCACTCTCTACTTCTGCTGCAGCCTCCTTCAGCTGCCTTAAGCCTCCCTGATATAACAGGCCCTGTCTGTGCCTTTGCAGGGTTTGGGTCCTCAGCTTGAAATGCCCTCTGCTGTGGCCAGCAACCCTGCAGATCTCAGCCCAGCAGTGACCCCCTGAAAGCTGCCCCCATTGCCACAGTTTAGTAGCAGTTACCTAACAGTGTGAGAAGTGCTCTGGGGCAGCACTGCAGGTGGACATGGAAATCCAGGGCCAGGCCACGTCACCTCAGGAAAGGTGTCCGGCGTTGGGGGTTGGGGGAGTGTGACAGAGAGCTGGTTTGGAGGAGCAAGGAGTTGTCAGTCTTGGAAGGAGAGAGAAGAGTGCTCCGGCTAGAAAGAGCAGCAGATGTGCAGGCCTTGGCGCGTGCCAGGCACCATGAGCTCAGGCCACTGGAGTGAGCACTGTCCAGAGCTGGGTGAGTGGAGTGGATTGGTGGGCCCCACGGCACACACCCCCAACCCCTGTGCCTCGCCCAGGAGTTAGCCACTCGCTGTCCACATTCCACTGGTCCTCTGTCAAGCCACATGAGCCCCCACGGACCCCTGCTCAGAATCCCTCCAGTGCTGGGGGATGCTCCGTGGATAGCATTGGACAGGGAGTGAGCCCCAGGCCTCCCTCACCGGTTCCTGTCTGCCAGAGCAAGGCCCACGGGGTGCAGAAGAAGGCCTACCGAGTGCTGGAGGAGGTGTGTGCCAGTCCTCAGGGCCCCGGGGCCCTCTTCGTGCAGAGCCACCTGGAGGACCTGAAGAAGACACTGCTGGACTCGCTGCGGAGCACCTCCTCACCCGCCAAGAGGGTGAGGGCTCTAGGGCCACCCGCTCTGCCGAGGGAGCCTGGGCAACACCAGGAAAGGAGCCACTGTTGAGGCTTGTTGGGTGGAGGTAGCATTGAGGGGTCCTGACTGGTAGCCCTTTGCCCACAGCCCCGTTTGAAGTGCCTCCTACACATCGTGAGGAAGCTCTCAGCTGAACACAAGGAGTTCATCACTGCCCTCATCCCAGAGGTGAGTGTGCGGGTGTGTTTTAGAGGGGGGTCCCTGGAATGTGGCTCTTAAGGGCCTCAGGATCCAGGGAGGGCAGTGATGGGAGTGGGAGGACTCGATTCGCTTCCCGGGCAGATGGCTCAGGGAGCAGATGCTGATGGAGTTGTCTTGGCCAGGTGATCCTGTGCACCAAGGAGGTGTCGGTGGGCGCACGGAAGAACGCTTTTGCACTGCTCGTGGAGATGGGCCATGCTTTCCTAAGGTTTGGCTCGAACCAGGAAGGTGAGGCCCAGGGGGCTGGGGGTGGACACTCTGCTCATAGACTGGGTGGGGGGAAGCACCCCTCAAAAAAGGTGGGGAGAGCTCTGTGCCCTGGCCCTGGGCAGGCTGCTCCTCTCTGGCCCTCAGCCCCCCTACCTGGTGGGTCCTTCCTGCTTGACCCACGTTGGTCTCTGTCCCCAGAGGCCCTGCAGTGCTACCTCGTCCTGATCTACCCTGGCCTGGTGGGCGCGGTGACCATGGTCAGCTGCAGCATCCTGGCCCTGACCCACCTCCTTTTCGAGTTTAAAGGTAAATGCTTATTTCCTAGAAGGCCTGAGAAGCCCTCAGATTAGGAAGATGCCCAAAAGGTCAGGATAAAGTGGCTCCTGGAACTGGGAAAAGGTGCCTGGAGGAAGTAAGAAAAGCCACACCCAGCCCAGTTTGCCTCCCTGTCTCCCTTCCTGCGGGTCGCTGCCTCCCGCCCTTGCGGCTATGCCAAGGCACCTTCCTCAGGTCTGTCCCCACGTGTGACTGTGCAGTCCAGTGGCCCTGCATCCCATTGTCAGAGTGGTTAGGAGGTGGTTAGGGCTGATGCCTGGATTTTAGTCCTAGTCCTGCCTCTTGGCAACCACATGAGACCTAGAACAGCTTGATTAGCCTCTTAGCACCTCAGTTTCTTATCTCTAAAATGGAAGCAAGAAATAGCACCCACCTCAGGGTGACGAAAGGACCCAAGACCACTCCATGGAGCGTGATTGGAACCATCCCGGGCATACGGAAAGGCTCTCAATGTCAGCTTTTACTGACACTTGAGTGGCTGTTTTCCAGTGGGGAAGGTTTGGGTCTGAGTGGGGTCCTGGGTGTCTTAGACAGTGACCCCCTCACTGCCACAGGTCTGATGGGGACCAGTACAGTGGAGCAGCTGCTGGAGAATGTGTGCCTGCTTCTGGCCTCCCGCACCCGTGACGTGGTCAAGTCTGCACTGGGCTTCATCAAGGTGGCAGTGACTGTCATGGACGTGGCGCACCTGGCCAAACATGTGCAGCTGGTGGTGAGTGTCCCCGTTCCCCTTAGCAGGTAGCAGGGTGGCCTCTGAGCTGTTGGCATGGACCTGGCAAGCTTCGAGGCCAGCAAGTTTCAAACTATTTTTTTTGTAGCCAGAGGTCATTAAGGAGCCCTAAAAGGGACCATAGGGGAATGCCTGTCAGGTGGAGGCGAGGAGGGGGCACACTGCCCAGGTGGCTTTCTTCACCCCAGAGCCCTACATGGAAAGCAACAGGGGCTCTTCAGGGCAAAGGCCCATGGGCAGGGCCACTCCTCATTTTACAGATGGAGAAACTGGGCCAGAGATTTTCCAGATCATGGGACTCAGACGCTGGGCTCTCCCTCCACAGGACCCCCTCATCTTGCCTTTTTTTTTTTCCCATCTTGCATTTTGACCTTGCTGGTTAGAGGCCATTCCTTTGGGTCCCCTGCTGGGCTGCAGAAGGATCTGAAGAGCCCCTTGGTATAGGGTCCCTGGCCCTCTCCTGCCCAAGAGAAGCCTTGCCCAGGCTGGCGTAGGCTTCCAGCCAAGCTGTGCACTGTACCTACTGCCTCAGTTTCCCATGTGTGACTGGCTTGAGTCACATCAGACCTCTGGGTCCCTCTTGCATATTTTCTTTGGGTCTGGCCTTGGGTTCAAGATAGGAAGGGACAGATGAGAATCAGCATGCCCTCCCGCTGCCCTCGGAGCCTGCAGCCTACTAGGGACCAAAGGTGGGGAGAACAGCTAGAGCAGTGATCCATCATGGAGTTATTCGAATTTATACAAGCCCTGGCCGGCTGCAGTGGCTCACACCTGTAACCCCACCACTTTGGGAGGCCAAGGCAGGCAGATCACTTGAGTTCAGGAGTTTGAGACCAGCCTGGCCAACATGGTGAAACCCCATCTCTACTAAAAATACAAAAATTAGCTGGGCGAGGTGGCAGGTGCCTGCAATCCCAGCTACTCGGGAGGCTGAGGCAGGAGAATCACTTGAACCTGGGAGGCGGATGTTGCAGTGAGCCAAGATTGCACCACTACACTCCAGCCTGGGTAACAGAGCAAGACTCTGTCTCAAAAAAAAGGGATTTATAGAAGCCCTTCCAAGAGTGGTTGGGGAGGCCAGGAGCGGTGGCTCACACCTATATTCCTAGCACTTTGGGATGCCAAGGTGGGTGGATCACTTGAGGTCAGGAATTCGAGACCAGCCTGGCCAACATGGTGAAGCCCCATCTCTACTAAAAAATACAAAAATTAGCCAGGCATGGTGGTGCGCGCCTGTAGTCCCAGCTGTTCATGTGGCTGAGGTGTGAGAATTGCTTGAACCTGGGAGGCGGAGGTTGCAGTGATCCGAGACCATGCCATTGCACTCCAGCCAGGGTGACAGAGCAAGACTCTGTCTCAAAAAAAAAAAAAAAAAAGCCAGGCACAGTGGCTCACACCTGTAATCCCAGTACTTTGGGAGGCCAAGGTGGGCGGATCGCCTGAGGTTGGGAGTTCAAGACCAGCCTGGCCAGTATGGTAAAACCCTGTCTGTACTAAAAATACAAAAATTAGCCAGGCGTGATAGCAGGCACCTGTAATCCCAGCTATTCAGGAAGCTGAGGCAGGAGAATTGCTTGAACCCAGGAGGTGGAGGTTGCAGTGAGCTGAGATCGTGCCATTGCACTCCAGCCTGGGCAACAGAGCGAGACTCCATCTCAAAAAAAAGGAGTAGACGTGGACCCTATCCCCTAGCCGGTTTGGGAGTCACTGGAGATAAGAAGATCTGCCACCTGCACATGTAACCCAAACTGGGCCAGATGAAGGCTTAAGAGGAATCCAGCCAGAGCAGAATGCAGTGAGATGGAAGGGACATAGGGGACCAAGAGAAATCTTGGGGTGCTAGGGGCAAAGCGGGAGCCGCAGCATTAGATGAGTCTGGGCTGAACTCCCACCTCTATGGCCATTTAGCAAACACTTTATCCTCTGTGCCGCCGTGTCCTCTTCTATAAATAGGGGGTGATAGCATGTATCTCAGGGGTAGTCCAAGGATTCAAGGAGAGGATATATGTCAAGTACCAAGTGCTGTTGAGAAGACTAAAGCTCTCATCCTGCGAGGGTGCTCAGGCCTGTGTCCTGAAGGAGGGTGCAGGGGAAAGATGGGGCCTGCCCACCCGAGGGAAGCATGACTGGGCCAGGGTGTGGGCCAGGAGCAGGGCCGCGCTAACCCTCCCCTCAGCTGGGCTTGATCATGCTGCGTCCCTGGGCTGGACAGCAGTAAAGGGGGCGCAGCATGGAAGGCTCGCCTCCCTGAAAGCCTGGTGCTCTGTCCGGCAGATGGAAGCCATTGGGAAGCTTTCAGATGACATGCGGCGGCACTTCCGCATGAAGCTTCGGAACCTGTTCACCAAGTTCATCCGCAAGTTTGGGTCTGTGCACTGAGCAGGGGCGGGGGTAGGGCAAGCGAGGGGCCGAGGATTTCCAGTCCTACCAGGGACACTACATCTGGGTCGTGCTGTCTGGCCAGTGCCTCTCACCAGCCCTTCCTTGCCACCTCCAGATTTGAGCTGGTGAAAAGGCTGTTGCCCGAGGAGTACCACAGAGTCCTGGTCAACATCCGGAAAGCTGAGGCCCGGGCCAAGAGGCACCGAGCCCTGAGCCAGGCTGCCGTGGAGGAGGAAGAAGAGGAGGAGGAGGAGGAGGAGCCCGCCCAGGGCAAAGGTGACAGGTGAGACCATGTTAGGGCCATGGGACCCGGTGTCCCCCCAACCCAAGGGCCTGCCCAGGCAATACCCGCTGACCCCCGCCTCTCCTGGGAGCACTCTGACTGGGGGCTTTTTGTCCTTAGCATTGAGGAGATTTTAGCTGACTCAGAGGACGAGGAGGACAATGAGGAGGAGGAAAGAAGCCGAGGCAAGGAGCAGCGGAAGCTGGCACGACAGAGGAGCCGGGCATGGCTGAAAGAGGGCGGTGGGGACGAGCCCCTCAACTTCCTGGATCCCAAGGTGGCCCAACGAGTCCTGGGTAAGCACAGGGCTGGCCAGTGCACTCAGAAAACAGACTTGCCATGGTGCCAGGTTCTCAGGTGGTGGGTAGGGGGTGGCATCCATGGCAGGCCCATGGACAGGGCTGAGAGGCGCCCGTTTGGGATCCCTGAGCCGGGCTTGTTGGTCATGATGAGGGTGAGTAGCATGGGACTGGCCTTCCACCTCCTCATGCCAAACTCTACACCCCAGCCACGCAGCCAGGGCCAGGCCGGGGCAGGAAGAAGGACCACGGCTTCAAGGTGAGCGCCGATGGCCGGCTGATCATAAGGGAGGAGGCAGACGGCAACAAGATGGAGGAAGAGGAAGGTGCCAAAGGTGGGCCCAACGCGCTTGTCCATTCATTCACCGTGTTCACTTATTCCTTCGGTGATCACTTGCTGAGGAAGCGTGGCTAAAAACAGACCAGAGAAACTCTTCTCTCGGCAGCTTCCTCAAACTTTTTGAGTTTCTCAAACTTTTTTTGAGAAACATTAAGAAATCTTTTTATGTTGTAACCGAGCCATTTATACAATACATATTTAACTTAAAGGAAACTATCGGAAATGGTACTTCCCCTTACTGTGTGTGATACGCTGTTAGTCTCTTCTGTTTTTCTCCTCCTCCTCCCCCTCCTCTTCCTTTCTCCTTTTCTTCCTTCCTCTTTTTTTTTTTTTTTTAATGCAAACTTGGCTAAGGCCCTGAAGATGATTTAGAGGCAGAAAGAGCCAGAGGCTGAAACCCTCCCAACTTCCCAATCCCAATGTCTCACATTGCCCGGGAGTCCCTCCGGTGTGGCATCTCGGAGCTCTCTTTAGTCTTTCCTGGCCCCTCTCCACATATCCAGCCATTAGCTAAGAAACACTTAGGTCTTCGCCAGGCGTGGTGGCTCACGCCTGTAATCCTAGCACTTTGGGAGGCCAAGGCGCGCAGATCAGGAGGTCAGGAGATCAAGACCATTCTGGCTAACACGGTTAAAACCCATCTCTACTGAAAACACAAAAAATTAGCTGGGCGTGGTCGCGGGCGCCTGT
This sequence comes from Homo sapiens, assembly GCF_000001405.40. Lineage (NCBI taxonomy): Eukaryota > Metazoa > Chordata > Mammalia > Primates > Hominidae > Homo > Homo sapiens. Next base: position 97,365,412 of record NC_000010.11, on the reverse strand, counting down.
AGTCCCAGCTACTCGGGAGGCTGAGGCAGGAGAATGGCGTGGACCCAGGAGGCAGAGCTTGCAGTGAGCCAAGATTGTGCCACTGCTCTCCAGCCTGGGTGACAGAGCGAAACTCTGTCTCAAAAAAAAAAAAAAAAAAACACCTAGGTCTTCAAGAACACACCTGTCATCCCTTTGTTTGGTTCCCAGTGCTGCGAGCTCTGGGCCCTTGTCTCACTGCACCTCCTAACTGGAGCCTCACTGCTCCACATGCACCCAACTCACCAGCCACACGACTGCAGCCGCTCGGTCAGCCTCTCCTTAGCTCCGTTTCCTTGCTTCAGAGTGGATATCATACAATCCTAATACCCACTTTTCCGGGTTGGAATGAAGATGAATCGGTGTAATGGGGACAGCGTATGTACTTGGTGTACATGTGCCTGTTATATTTCCGTGTCTAGTGTCTTCTCTGCTCCTCTCTCGCCCCTGTATACTTTCCCATCTCCTGTCCCCCTTGGTGCCCAGGCATTCCTGAGGCTGTCAGGACCCCTCCCCTCTCTCTCTGCCTTTCCAAACCCCCCTGCTCTTCAGGATTCAGCTCAAAGCTCCTTTTGTAGCCCTTCCTGGGCACCTCAGCCTTTAGGCCTGATTCCCCCAGAACTCCTGCCAAGCCCAGAGGAAACCCAGTCTTCAGCCCTTGGTCATGTGCTTTCTTTGGAGATAGAGTCTCGCTCTGTCACTCAGGCTGGAGTGCAGTGGCTCGATCTCGACTCACTGCAGTCTCCATGTCCTGAGTTTATGTGATTCTCCTGCCTCAGTCTCCCAAGTATCGGGGACTACAGGCGTGCGCCACCATGCCCAGCTAATTTTTGTATTTTTAGTAGTGATGGGGTTTTGCCATGTTGCAGACTGGTCTTGAACTCCTGACCTCAGGTGATCCTCCCTCCTCGGCCTCCCAGAGTGCTGGGATTACAGGTGTGAGCCACCACACATGGCCGGTCACGTGCTCTCTATCGTCTTTTGGTTGTTGATTGACTTTGCCTGAGTTTCTCTTCCCTCCAATTGGTCAGTTTCATACTTTATATTCCCACATGGAGCCCAGCACATACTGCATGGGGCAGAGATTTCAAACAGGAGAATGAAGCCTTCCTGGCACAGTGGGGGTGTGTATGGGGCTGCAGGAGCGCCTGACTCCCCCGGAAACCTGGGGCTTTCTTCAAATCTCAAACAGATGAAGGGTGGGTGAGTGGGAAAAGAAAAGTTTCAAACGAAGCCATATTCACCTCAAAAGTAGGATCACCGCTTCTTTGAGGGGCCGTTATCCCTAGGGCCTAGGGTGGGAAGGAGAAAGGGGCAGTGCTCAGGGGTCTCATCTCTTCTAGCAGAAGGATGATATTGGTCTGAGGAAGGCAATTTTCTGGGGCCGGAGTTGGTGGCCCCGCAGCCTGGTGAGCCAGGAGGGGGCAGAAGGAAAGGGTAGGTTTTGAGGAGCTCCCACAGCGCTCATGGGCCTCTCTTTTTTGGCTCCAGGCGAAGATGAAGAGATGGCTGACCCAATGGAAGATGTGATCATCAGGAATGTGAGTAGTTCCTGCAGATGGGGGGCTAGGGCTTCAGACCTAAGCCTGGGCTCCACAGCTTCTCACCCCCACCACACGTAGACATTGGAACTGCCCTGTTTCTGGAATGCTCGGTGCATCCTCACAGGTGTGCATAGCAGGCGGTCCAGAAGGTTGTGGGTGCCAGGCAGGACAGGGTGATGGTTGTCTAGTTAAAGGAGAAAGAAGGCAGAGACCCTTGTCTCTCTAGCGAGGGCATGTGCTATGCAGGGGCAAGGGCAGCAGCTTCCCTGTGTGCTCCTGCATGGGGTGGGGGCATCCACCGTAGGGGAGCATGGCTGTGTGCCCAGCACTGTGCTGAGGGCCCCACATAGCCTCACGAAGATAGGGACTCCGTTGTCCCAGTGACCAGAGGAGCGTACAGAGGTAAGTAGCCTGCCCAGGGTCACAGGACTCAGTCTGTGCAAACCAGGAATTTGAACCCTGGTTTTCCAGTCTCCTAAGCCCAGGAATTCAACCTCTTTGCCACCATTACCCCTGTTGACCTGGCAGTGCTGCCTGCCAGGATGGAAACAGCCTCTCAGCTGCCCCACCTGAACCAACAAGGGTGAAGTGGGCCCAACCCATCACCCAACACCTGTCAGTCTCAAGCTCAGTGGAACATTTCCATTCTGGAGCAGTTTCTTCCCTCTCTGCCCTTCCAGACTATGCCCCAGCCCATCCAGCCTTCCTGGGCACCACCCGTAGGTGACAGAGCCTACATCAGGGTATAGTGATATCGGTGGGGAAGCGGCAGACTCTGGGGTCCCATCTTGGCTTCAGCCTAACCTTTTAAAGCCTCAATTCCTGATCTGTAAAGTGGGGTTATAAATAGACCACCTGGTGGAGTCATTGGGACAGTTTGGTAAGATTGGGCGTGTAAAGTGCATTAGCATAGTGCCTGAAGTGTTACAGACTTCCCCCACATCCCCGTTTTCATTGGCGTCATGTTTGTCAATGTCTGCCCATATGCCTTGCCAAGTGTCCATCTGCCCAGTGTGGCCCGAGGAGGAGTTTGTTATTAGAGCATTGTGACAGCGCAGAATTCTGTTTGAAGAGCTGAGTACATATCCAGAGTCTTGGGTCAGAGAGTAGCTGAGGACCTGAGCAGCCTCTGATGCGGGAAGCCCCTCTGGGATGCCCTTGAGGAAAAGCAGTGGGGCTTCTGCTGAAAACCCTCCTGCCCCTCTCTGCGCCCAGGCAACCACTCCTGTGGGACAGCTTCACCTACTGGGAGTCCTTCCTCTGCTTGGTCTGACATGGGCCCCTCCGAGAGGCCACCCTCAGGCCAGTCTAGTCTCCCTCTCCAGGTGATGGCAGTCGTCTGCCAAACGTGTGTCTGGGCCCAGACTGCCTGGGCTCAAGTCTTTGTTTCTGTGTACAGTGCTTGCCACTTAGTGATGCAAAGTAAGCCATTGTGACTTGATTATTCACTTTTCCTGGAAATCTTTTTCCATTCAAAGCCTCCTGGGTTCCTTAAGCACATCTTCACATGTGGCTTTGCAGATCCTCGGCAGCCTACTCCTCTCCCTGGCCGGGGAGAACCGACCACGGCTTTCTAAGGATGTCCCCCACTGCCCCGGGCAGAGCGGGACTGAGCAGATGCCTTGTCTCCAGGCACTGAGAGGGCCCCAGGGCAGTTGCATTCTGTGGCTGGCTCCTGCCACTGAGACCCCCAGAGGGTTTCTTGCATGGCACTTAGTTCTAACTCTTTTTTTTTTTTTTTTTTTGAGATGAAGTCTCACTTTTTCGCCAGGCTGGAGTGTAGTGGCGCAATCTCGGCTCACTGCAACCTCCCCCTCCCAGGTTCAAGTGATTCTCCTGCCTCAGCCTCCTGAGTAGCTGGGATTACAGGTGCATGCTACCACGCCCAGCTAATTTTTGTATTTTTAGTGGAGATGGGGTTTCATCATGTTGGTCAGGCTGGTCTCGAACTCCTGACCTCGTGATCCACCCACCTCAGCCTCCCAAAGTGCCAGGATTACAGGCGTGAGCCACCGGGCCCGGCCAAGTTCTAACTCCTCGGCCAACCATTGTGGAAGCATGAAGTGCTGGGGTTCAAGTAGCTGCCTCCATTCAGGGCCAGCAGGCTGGGCTGTTGGCCAAGCACCAGCTGAACCAAGAGCCAGCTCAGCCATCATCCCCTACATTGCAGTCGGAGTCAGCTTCCTCCCGGTTCCTGTTTCTCCACTAGGAGCCCACTCAGCTGGGCTTCGGCCAGTGGACCTGGAGTCCCCCGTCTCCCAGGCACACCCTGTGTGTGCTGCAGCCTGTTCGCTCTGCCCAGGCCGATCCCTTTACCTGGCATACCTTTCCCCTGGTTGGCCTCTGGATCCCCTGGGTAGCTGGAGCCCTGGGAATCTGCAGTTTCTAGAGGTTTCTGGGGCACAGTGGCACAGACCACAGTGCAGGGACCAGCCTTGCCAGCTGGGGCCACCTCTGTTTGCCTGCCCTCCCTGCACAGCACGCCTCTGCCTGGCCTGGTTGTTGGTTCTAGGCTCACATCTGATGGGCTGGGGCCGCTGTCGGGCTCTCCCTCCTTCCCTTGGACTGCCTAACACAGTGCCAGGCGCACAGTAGGTGCTCTGTCACTTCCTGTTGAATATAATTGACGAGCTGACGTGTCTTACTGTCCATGATCATACCTGCTGGGATGGTAGCATTGTTGAGGATCAGTGATGACTGGCTTGAGCAGGGGTCTCCCACCCGCCTGAGAGCCCGTGGAGCACAGGAACTAGATCTTGTGCCCTGTGTCCCCAGGGCCTGGCACTTAGTAGGGGATCAGTAAGTGAGTGATTAATAGGGAGAGTGGGGTGGGGTTTGTGTGAAGCAAAGAACTGGTAAAGCTATTCTCTCTGAAGAGGCCAGGGACCTCATTTTCCCCATTAGGAAGGCTGGGTAAGCTGATGTCAGAAGCCCTCTGGGCAATTGCAGGCCTGGGTGGGGCCCAGAGTGGAAAGGAAGAGCAGGAACGGCCGCCACCAGCCCGGCAGTCAGGACATGGCCAGAGCTTCTCTTCTGCACTGCCTGGCTTTGTGATCTTGGACAGTTCCTTGCCCTCTCTGGGCCTTAGTTTCCCCATCTGTAAGTGAGAGGTGGGGTGCTTAGCAGAGGGCCTCTCCTGCTTGATGCAGGGTACTCTGCTGTTACTGTTGGCATTCCCGAGGGTGGGCACATCCCCTGGTTCACTCACTACCCACCTATTCTCTCTCTATAGAAAAAGCACCAGAAGCTCAAGCACCAGAAAGAGGCTGAGGAGGAGGAGCTGGAGATACCCCCTCAGTACCAAGGTGAGGCTTCCACTCCTCTCTCCTGGGACACATGGATCCCTGTCACCTGCATTAGGGAGGGGAGTCACAGGAAGGGGTGGCAGGGCCATGAGGGTGCACAGCCTGGTTGCACTCACTTGGCACCAACAGAGGTTGGCTGATATGACACTCAAGATGGGCCTGGAGTCTAAGGGGCCCTGGGGGTGTGAGAGAGCCTATGGGTTAGGAGATCTGTGCATGGAACCACCAGCCTTCTGAGGAGCCCTGAGCCACAGCTCCTTCCCACCCGCCCAGGCCTCCCAAGAGGCTTGAGTCTGTCCCTTCTGCGAGCTGCTTGCCTCTCTTGGTCACCCTAAGAGCACCAACCGAGTCAGGCTGGGTTTAGAGAAGCCACTTGGCCGGTGCCAGGGCTGGGAACTGGGAAGGTTGGTATTGGGTCTGGCCAGAGGGTTCCCCTCTATTTCTATCTCTGGGCCCACCAGCTGTTGCCCTCCTAGAGCAGCTGCTAGAAGTGCCAAGGTGGCTTCACCTCTGCTTCCTTCCTCCCAGGGTAGCCTTGCAGGACCCCTGCCCCCAAGCCCTTGCAGCAGAGCCCTTGCTTTGCATCTGGAGGTCCAGGGGCTCCTGTGGGAAGCCTCTGATTCCAGTAGCTGGTGTGTCCTCAGCCCTAGAGCATCATAACGCAGCTGCACAACCTCATGGCTCTTCCGCCTGTGGCACCCATGAGCCAGGGCCAGCTCACCTACTGTGCCCTGGGATGGAGTGATGCTGAGGCAGGAGTACCTGCCAATTGATGAGGCAGAGACCTGGGGTCAGGGCTGCTTGCCCAACCTCTGCTTAGCTGTTTGACCTTGGCCTGGTTACACTGTCTGTCTCTGAGCTTCTAGTTTCTCATCTGCAAAAACATGAGGAATGGGGGTGGTTCGTGTTGGTCGTCTCAGAGAGTCCTCCTGAGCTGGCATGGTAGGATTCCATCCACAACTTGTCGTTGAATGTTGAAGTCCAGGCTGGAGAAGACAGCTGACCTTGGGCAAGGATCTTGATCTCTCTAAGCCACAGTGTTCACATCTGTTACAATGGGTTAAATAGCTACCTGCTATCTCAGTGTTTGTGTGAAACCCAAATGAGATAAGAAGGGAAAGCCTAAAATGGCTTCTCTTACAGATGAGGTTAAGAGGCTTGCCTGAGGTTGGAGCTGTAAGTGGCAGAGCTGGGAGTTGAACCTGGCTGGCTGGCTGGCTGAATTCTGTCTGACTTTGGAGAATATGGGTTATTTTTTGTTAGTGTGTTAGCGGAGAATATATGTGTTCCCAGAGGTCTCTGGTAAGCTGTAAGGCTTCTGGGTCAGTCTGAGGAGCCCAGTGATCTAACTGTCAAATCACCAGACAGTCCCTCCTCGAGGAAGGTCTTTGTCCTGGTTTGATAGGGGACAGAGCCAAGTTCCTGGCCTTCACTCATCTGCTCCCTTGCAGCTCTCTCAGAGAGGGTGCCCATTGCCTTTCTGGAGGGGGCTGCCCTGGCTTTGCCTGACTCATGGTCCTGTGTTCTCCCCGTAGCTGGAGGCTCTGGCATTCATCGCCCTGTGGCCAAGAAGGCTATGCCTGGGGCTGAATACAAGGCCAAGGTAAGTGCTGCATGTAGGGCATGGGGTCTCCTGGCACTGGACAGGTGCCAGGGAGGGGCAAGGAGGAGCTGTGCCCATCACTGTCCTGAGAGGCACCTTCCTGGAACTCAACTGAGGCCAGGAAAGAAGAAGGGGTTCAGATGCTAAGACCTTGTGGCATCTGAAATGGGGGACCTTATTGAATGGCCTTCCAAGGATACAGGAGCTCTTTGGCACCACCTAAGGCAGAGGATGAAGGGAGGTTATGGGGCCTGTCAAGTCTAGGGCAGGGACAGAAGGGGAACCCCACCCTCCTAGCTGACTCTGTTTCTCTGGGCAAGCAGAAAGCAAAAGGTGATGTGAAGAAGAAAGGCCGGCCGGATCCCTATGCCTACATCCCCCTCAACAGAAGCAAGCTCAACCGCAGGTATGACGCTGTGCCAGGCAGGCTGGGGGCTGGAGGATGGGTGGGGATGAGGGAGCAGAGTGCTCTAAAGAAGGGAAGGCCTTATTAAACTCTCAGCTCAATTTGAGTCTCTTCCAGCTTTTTTTTTTAACATGCACCTATATCATGTAGCTGGTACCTACCTGTATTACTGACTTGAACTGCTTCTTTATTTTTTTATTTTTTTGAGACAGAGTCTTGCTCTGTCGCCAGGCTGGAGTGCAGTGGTGCGATCTTGGCTCACTGCAATCTCTGCCTCCCAGGTTCAAGCTAGTCTTCTGCCTCAGCCTCCCGAGTAGCTAGGACTACAGGCGCGTGCCACCATGCCCAGCTAATTTTTGTATTTTTAGTAGAGATGGGGTTTCACCGCGTTGGCTGGGATGGTCTCGATCTCTTGACCTCATGATCTGCATGCCTCAGCCTCCCAAAGTGCTGGGATCACAAGCACGAGCCACCGTGCCCCGCCCTGAACTGCTTCTTTAAACATGATATTATGTCATACAGATGTTTTCTGGTATTTACATACTCTACATAGTCATCTTTTTTTTTTTTTTTTGAGACGGAGTCTCGCTGTGTCACCCATGCTGGAGTGAGTGCAGTGGCACGATCTCGGCTTACTGCAAGCTCTGCCTCCCGGGTTCACGCCATACTCCTGCCTCAGCCTCCGGAGTAGCTGGGACTACAGGCACCCGCCACCACACCCGGCTAATTTTTTTGTATTTTTAGTAGAGACGGGGTTTCACTGTGTTACCCAGGATGGTCTTGATCCCCTGACCTTGTGATCTGCCCACCTCGGCCTCCCAAAGTGCTGGGATTACAGGCATGAGCCACCACGCCCAGCCATAGTCATCATTTTTAATAGCTTTGTATAATTTGCTTTTCTAATCCCTTTATTGGTAGGAAATTAGAGTTGTTTCCGACTTTGGCCCTTAAATTGGGTTATGTGTAGGACTGCTTTGGAAACTAATGTTACTAGGGAAATGGTGTTGTAAAGTTCTAGCTTCTGCGGGTTGTAAGTTACCTTTCAATGGAGGGATGGGTGGGCAGAGGGAGCTTTGACCTTCTCTGGACATACATTAGAGGAAAAATGGAAGGGAGGCCTGTTTCCAGGGGGATAATTGTGCCAAAGTGGAATGTCCAGGTCAGGACATGAGCCGTGTGGAAGCTGGAACCACGTGAGGTCTGCCTAGTTCATGTGCTGGCCACCACCTGGAGGCCCCCTTCTCATCCCTGCTGGCGCTGGGGGTGAGCCATCATTTGGCAACAGGAGGGGGCCTCCTATTCTCAGCCAGATGTGACCCTTCCGTTCCTTGGCCCTGCAGGAAGAAGATGAAGCTGCAGGGACAGTTCAAAGGCCTGGTGAAGGCTGCCCGGCGAGGTTCCCAGGTGGGACACAAAAACCGCAGAAAGGATCGTCGACCCTGAGGCCCAGGGCCCCTGGGCTGCCCTGTGGTCCAGTCTGAGGCCCTTTCAGCCCCCAGGCTGCCTTGCCACCAGCTCCAGGTGCTCAAGATTCTGGCAGAGCCTGGACTCAGGATGACTTGGAACTAGGGCTTGGCTCTCAGAAGTCCTGGATTTTGGAAACTCCAAATGGAATCACCCTTCAGAGACATCCCTGGTGCCTGGAGATGGGAATGTGGCCTCAGTGCCTCTGAGTAGGTGCCATGAGGCACCTTTGCTTTCTGCCCAGAGTGGCCATGAGCACCAGAACAGATGATCTCCATTTCCGCCAGCTGCCTGTAGCCACGTGGCATCCTGCCTGTGGTCTGGGTGAGATTTACTGTGACCAGATGTAGAATAAATGTGTCTCATCCTGCATTTTTTTTCTAGAAACTGTTTCATAGTCTGCCCCCTCCAGGGGTAAGAACAGTGTGCAGTTGTTGGCAGCAGTGGCCTGACCTCTTCCTGTCTAACTCCTTACATCCAGTCCAGGGCATATCATAAGGCTTTGCCCATAGGACAGGCTTTGGAACTTGCCCGGGAGCACCCACCTGTGTCAGGAGGGGCAGCGAATGCCCCAGGGCTGGTGTCGGGAGCTGCAGTTCAGCACCAGGGACTGCCCCAGCTGTCCTGGGCACAAGTCTCTCCAGCATCTTTGTTCATTGATTCAACAAAGTATTTGCTGAGCCCCTCTAAGTGCCCAGCATAGCCTTGTTCATTCACCTCCGTGTCTTCCCACATTCTTTTTTTCCCAGACAAGGGGATCTGTTTGTGTAATGTGATTCACTGGGCCAGCTTTGTTGGTCTGGAGCAGAGAAGGGCATGGCACAGAAGTCCTGAGGTCACTGTCCTGTCAGCCCAGGTCCCCTCATGTGGATACAATCCCACAGGCAGCCAGAAGCAAAGAACCCCAGCACTGTTCCCACACCCCAGTATGAGTGTGCTTTGTGCCCTAGCACCTGACTGATACATTCTTCCCATCTCAGATCCTCCCAACGTGAGGCGAGCACATGCACACATTCCTCGTTTCCATTCTAGTTTAAGGCACTTGGCTCTGATAATGGTCCCAGGAGGCCCTGTGCACCTCCTGGCAGCCTGTCCCACCACACTCTTCCACTCATTATCTAAGGGGACCCAAGTCTTAATTGGATCTGGCGCTCCCCAAATTAGGGCATTTCCTCCCAATGATTTGGGGCTAGGAAAAGCTGAAAGGAACCACACTCGGCCCAGAGGTGGCACTGTTTACATGCCTTGTTCACAGAAATCTAGAATTGGAGAGCAAGCAAGAAAGGTGGTCAGGAGTGGCTAGGAGAGATTTGCAGAGGGGATCTAACCATACTCCCCGTTGTTACACTTCTGGACACAAGTTGGGCCGAAGTAAGCCAAGCCCAGTCCTTCCTGTTTCCTTTCTCAGGAAATGTGACCACGTGCACTGGGAAGCTTTGTGTAAAGTAGATAGGGGTATGAGCCAATTGCCCAGCATTGGTGTTTTGTTTTTTGTTTGTTTGTTTGTTTTCACAGAGTCTTGCCCTGTCACCCAGGCTGGAATGCAATGGCGTGATCTCAGCTTACTGCAACCTCTGCCTCCCAGGTTCACACAATTCACCTGCCTCAGCCGCCTGAGTAGCTGTGATTACAGGCACCCGCCACCACGCCCAGCTAATTTTTGTATTTTTAGTAGAGACAGGGTTTCACCATGTTGGCCAGGCTGGTCTCGAACTCCTGACCTTGTGATCCGCCCACCTTGGCCTCCCAAAGTTCTGGGATTACAGGCGTGAGCCACTGCGCCCAGCTTATTGGTGTTGTTTGTTTGTTTTTTAAAAAAAGGCCAGGCACGGCTCATACCTGCAATCCCAGCACTTTGGGAGGCCGAGGCGGGTGGATCACCTGACCAACATGGAGAAACCCCATCTCTACTAAAAATACAAAATTAGCCAGGCATGGTGGTGCATGCCTGTAATCCCAGCTACTCGGGAGGCTGAGGCAGGAGAATCACTTGAACCCGGGAGGCAGGGGTTGGGGTGAGCTGAGATCGCATCATTGCACTCCAGCCTGGGCAACAAGAGTGAAACGCCATCTCAAAAAAAAAAAAAAAAGAAAGCGTGAAGCCAACCTCCTTGTTATATATAGCACATTTTCCAAGGAACTTTGTTTTCTTTTAAAGATGGGAAAGGCAGGTGACCTAGAAAGGTTGGTGTTAGTGATGTGCTGAATGCCATATTCTTTTGGAAGTAGACTTCAAATGCAAGTGATCTTGATGCAGAGGCAAGAATTAATCTTCACCCTGAAACTTCAGGTGTATTTTGAAAGTCAGTGTTCTTGAGGCCGGGCGCAATCACTCACACCTGTAATCTAGCACTTTGGGAGGCCAAGGCAGGTGGCTCACCTGAGGTCAGGAGTTCAAGACCAGCCTGGCCAACATGGTGAAACCCTGTCTCTACTAAAAATACAAAATTAGCTGGGTGTGGAGGCACACACTAGTCCCAGCTACTCGGGAGGCTGAGGCAGGAGAATTGCTTGAACCCGGGAGGCGGAGGTTGCAGTGAGCTGAGAGCGCGCCTTTGCACTCCAGCCTGGGTGACAAGAGCGAAACTCTGTCTCAAAAAAAAAAAAACAAAGTCAGTGTTGTTTCAACAGTGTGGCGAAAGAGAGTCTTAGGAGTGTTCATCAACAAAAGATTCATCCAATTTTAGGGTGAATAGGAAAGTTGAGAGCTCTCACTCTCCAGATTTTCAATTTGTGCTTTTGGGAATGTCAATCTGAGGCTTGCTTTTCTGGGGTCCATCCTCCACTCATTCTCAGAAATGGAAAACAGGTCCTACCCTGCTTGACTACGAAAACCGCAACCCTGCAGTTGGCCAAGGGAGTGGTCAAGCTTTGGGGATTTGCAAAGGCGGTCTAGTCATGTCCACATTGTGACACTTCTGGCCATGGGTGAGTCAGGTTAAACTGACCTTGCCCCTTCACTATTTCCCTTCTCGTGATTGTGGCAGAAGGCTTGGTGGGGACTGTCCTGGCAGTTCATTCCTGCCAGTGGCCATCTTTAGAGCTAGTCCTACTTACAGCATGATCAGTCCCAAGAAGGGTGTTTTTTCTGTACTGTTTGCAACATGTAACAAAATTGCTTATGAAGTTCAGGTAGCCTGTTTTCAGTCCTCAGAGTCCTTTCCCCATTTTTTCTTTCTTGGTTGCTTATGTTTCCTCAAAGGGTAATTTTAAAAATTAAAATCGTATATATTTCACTACAAAAGTGATAAAGATTCCCAGAACATTTGGAAAAAACAAAAGTAAAAGTAGGGGCTAAAATCCTTCCACCAAATTCTGTTATTACTAGTGCATTTCATTCTTTTTTTTCTTAATATACGTAGGGCTATTTTTTTTTTAATTAAGGAAAAAATGTAAGGCCAGGCACAATGGCTCACACCTGTAATCCCAACACTTTGGGAGGCTGAGGCGAGAGTATCGTTTATGCCCAGGAGTTTGAGACTGGCCTGGGCAATATAGTGAGTCCTTGTCTCTACAAAAAATTAGCCAAGCGTGATGGAGTACACCTGTAGTCCCAGGTCCTCCGGAGGCTGAGGTGGGAGAAGAGCTTGAGCCTGGGAAGCAGAGGTTGCAGTGAGCCGATATCATGTCACTATACTCCAGCCTGGGCAACAGAGTAAGACCCTATTTCAAAAAAAGGAAAAATGGGGCCAGGTACGGTGGCTCATGCCTGTAATCCCAGCACTTTCGGAGGCCAAAGCAGGTGGATCATCTGAGGTCAGGAGTTTGAGACCAGCCTGGCCAACATGGTGAAACCCCGTCTCTACTAAAAATACAAAAAAATTAGCTGGGCATGGTGGTGCGTGCCTGTAATCCCAGCTACTTGGGAGCCTGAGGCAAGAGAATTGCTTGAATTTGAGAGGCAGAGATCGCAGTGAGCCGAGATCACGGCACTGCACTCCAGCCTGGGCAACAGAGCAGGACTACATCTCAAAAAAAAAAATGTTTTAAAATGCAAGTTTACACTTTATATATATATATGTGTGTGTGTGTTTTGAGACAAGATCTTGCTCTGTCATCCAGGCTGGAGTGCAGTGGCACAGTTACAGCTCACTGCAGCCTCAAATTCCCTGGACACAAACAATCCTCCTGCTTCAGCCTCCTAAAGTGTTAGGATTACAGGCATGAGCCACCATGCCTGGACAATTTGTGTTCTAAATTTGCACTTGACTAAAGTTCTTACCGTATACTAATGTAAATGCTTCATAAAGATCATTTCCTTTTCTTTTCTTTTTTGAGACGGAGTATCACTCTTGTTGCCCAGGCTGGAGTGCAATGGCGCGATCTTGGCTCACTGCAATCTCTGCCTCCCAGGTTCAAGTGATTCTCCTGCCTCAGCCTCCCGAGTAGCTGGGATTATAGGTATGCACCACGACGCCCAGCTAATTTTTGTATTTTTAGTAGAGATGGGGTTTCTCCATGTTGGTCAGTCTGGTCTTGAACTCCCAACCTCAGGTGATCCGCCCACCTCGGCCTCCCCAAGTGCTAGGATTATAGGCATGAGCCACTGCACCCGGCTATAAACATCATTTTCAGTAGCTCAGCTTTAAACATCTGCCCAGCGGACATAGTTCAGTTTACAAAGCATCTTTGAGTCCATAAGTATGTTGTTCTTTGCTGTATGCAGGAATTTAATGCCATCACTAGATGCCAGACCGTGTGCAAAGGAGTATTTAGAAAATGCCGTGATGACTACTCTATGTTCTATTTTCGATATACATTATTGTGAATAGATAGATGACTGTACTCCAGAAAATAACCCTGATTTGGGACAATGTAAGCTGGTTTGCCATTTCCTGAAATTATGCTTGACGTAGCTACTGCCATTAGAAACACCAAGCTGTTAGAGGCCAGCTGAGTTATCCAAGGCCAGGGATGCAGTGGCACATTTCCTCCTCCCATTCCAAATCTCAATGATTCGTCATGGAAATGCCTGGATTTGGGTTTTGAGGCCGTGGTCAATCATCAGTAAATACTGACTAAGAACGTAGGTAGATGGTGTAGTGGCTTGCTGCTGCATACTCATTCCAGGGCTGAGGACTGGAGATCAGCTTTACAAGTCTAAAATTGGGATTGATGCTGGGTGCAGTGGCATGTGCCTCTAGACCCAGCTACTTGGAAGGCTGAGGTGGGAGGATCACTTGAGACCAGGAGGTTGAGGCTGCAATGCACTTTGGTCCAGCCTGTTATAGTCACTGCACTCCAGCCTGGAACTCTAAATAAATAAATAAGGATAAAATCAGGATTGATCAGGTTCAGAGAAGAAGATACAGATTCACATGAGACCTAGTCGAAATTATAATATATTAATTTATAATGAGAACTATAACTGCCCAAGATACTCAAGGTGACTGCTCAGCACATGCTCCCTTGCATAGGAAGCTGAAACCAGTGTGTTTTCTGTACTGGGGGCATAAAACAGGGCAAATGGAATCATGCAAGTGATATGTGAATAATATTGTCATTGGGGTGGGACAGTTTTGTCTCTGGGGATATATCTGCCTACAGGGGCCCATTCTCCTAGCAGCCTGTTGGGGCCCTGCCCCTCTATTTTGGTTGGCTGCAGAATGGAACAGATCCTTCCTCTCTGGTATCTTGTAGGGCCTTTGCAGCCATTTACCTGCTGTTCAGAAGCTGTTCTGAGATTTTTTTTTTTTTTTTTGAGGCAGAGTTTCGCTCTTGTTGCCCAGGCTGGAGGGCAGTGGCACGATCTTGGCTCGCTGCAACCTCCGCCTCCCAGGTTCAAGCGATTCTCCTGTCTCAGCCTCCCAAGTAGCTGGGATTTACAGATGCCTACCACCACTCCCGGCTAATTTTTTGTATTTTTAGTAGAGACGGGGTTTCAGCATGTTGGCCAGGCTGGTCTCGAACTCCTGACCTCAGGTGATCCACCCACGCCTCAGCCTCCCAAAGCGCTGGGATTAGAGGCGTGAGCCACCAGGCCCAGCCTGTTCTGAGATTTAGTAAGGCTTCCTTCACAGGCAGGCATGCCTGGATTGAATTTCCAAGGCCAGTTCTGGCTTTCACCAGAGAGACATCCTGTTCCTTCTGGGGCCTTGTTCAGATAACTAATCCTGTCCCTCGTGTAGACTTGAAGGGTTTAACTTCCAGAGGGCAGCCTGATTTCCAAATTCCAGGGATGTCACCCATCACCCATTACAGAGCTGATGATTTTAAGTCAGAATTTCAAAGAGGATGTGAGGCACTGATGACAGGCAGATGGATTTGCAACTGGTGCCAGGAATAACCTGTATAGCCCTCATGGTCCTCCACCAGTGAAGGTTCTGCAAGCTCTTGGAAGTCTTGGTTTTTTGTTTGTTTGCTTTTTTGAGACAGAGTCTCAATCTGTCACCCAGGCTGGAGTGCAGAGGCATGATCTCAGCTCACTACAACCTCTGGGTTCAAGCAATTCTCCTACCTCAGCCTCCCAAGTAGCCGGAATTACAGGTGCATGCTGCCACGCCTGACTAATTTCTGTACTTTTAGTAGAGATGGGGTTTCACCATGTTGGCCAAGCTGGTCTTGAACTCCTGACCTTAAGTGATCCGCCCGCCTCGGCCTCCCAAAGTACTGGGATTACAGGTGTGAGCCACCATGACCGGCCAGAAGTCTTGTTTTTAACCAGAACAGTTGCTATGCCATAGCTCTTGGACTTGAGGCCACTGAGCCTGAATTACATACACAGTAGATAACCTGAGACCAACCCTCAGTTGTAAATATGCTCATAAAAATGACAAGGCACAGTGTTGCCCTGAGCAGATTTTATGTGTATCGATTGGATCATTGTGTGATAATACTTATCTAAAAACGCCTTCATTCATCATTCCAGCAGCTAGTTCAACTCCTCGAAGAAGATGGGGTGCTCCAAAGCAAACACTCATAATTATCAACTAGCAAAGCTGACATCTAGTATTCTGAGAAAATTCCTCCCTGCTCACATGAGGACTATCACGTGGGTCCTGTAGGGGTTCCTCAGGATTTCACAAAGGGGTCTAGCGTCTGTTACATGCACAGTCACACCTGCCAGATTTGAATCTCCTGCACAGGTACGGTGGCAGTTACAATTGGAGCTTGTACGGAGCTCTCCAGCTTACCAAACACATTCACACCCACCATCTCTTTTGATCCTTGCAACAGTTGCCCTGTTTGCATTGTGATTATGGTTATCTTTATCATGATTCCCACTTCGCAGCTGAGAACTGAAAGGCAGAAAGGATGCATGGTTTGGGCAGAGTTATGCAGGTAGCAGAAGGTAGCACCCAGGTCTCTGGAGTTAAAGCCTATGCTGCTGCAGCCTGCTGAAATTAGCCCCCGGGGAGGGCACAGTGTTGCAAAGAGGCTTGGCTGTGAATTTCCAAATGCCATGTGAAGTTGGACACCAGCGTCTGTTCTCCCTCCCATTCATTACCCTGCAGGCTCTTTGCTCCCAAAGCTCTGCTACTCTGGGATAAAGACCAATTACAAAACAGGTCTGTTTATACTCAGTGAGAGGTGGGTGAGCTTGAACAGCGTGAACTTGACATGAAGGGAAGGGCTGGGCTGGGCTGGGCATTCCTTCGTGTCTCTTCCAAGGAGGGGGATGCAGCTGGCCTGCAAGTCTCTTTCCGCGATCTTCTTGCACATTTCTTTTTTTTTTTTTTTGAGACAGAGTCTCACTCTGTCACCCATGCCGGAGTGCAGTGGCGCGATCTTGGCTCACTGCAAGCTCCACCTCCTGGGTGCACGCTGTTCTCCTGCCTCAGCCTCCCGAGTAGCTGGGACTACAGGCACCTACCACCACGCCCGGCTAATTTTTTGTATTTTTAGTAGAGAGGGGGTTTCACCGTGTTAGCCAGGATGGCCTCGATCTACTGACCTCGTGATCCGCCCGCCTCGGCCTCCCAAAGTGCTGGGATTACAGGCATGAGCCACCGCGCCCGGCCTCTTCTTGCACATTTCTTATTCTCTCTCTCTCCCTTACACACACACACACACACACACACACACACTCTCTCTCTCTCTCTCTCTCTCTCTCTCTCTCATTGGGCATTTATTCTGAGCAAAGGACTTCCAAAAAGACATTTGGTGAGGGGTGAGAGATAGAGTAGTAAGCAATGCAGGCAGGATCCTTGCCTTCACTAAGTTTATGAGGAGCCAGAACAAATAAATAAAAAATTTAATAAAACACATGATTAGGATAGTGTTGGCCGGGCGCGGTGGCTCACGCCTGTAATCCCAGCACTTTGGGAGGCCGAGGCGGGCGGATCACGAGGTCAGGAGATCGAGACCATCCTGGCTAACACGGTGAAACCCCGTCTCTACTAAAAATACAAAAAATTAGCCGGGCGAGGTGGCGGGCGCCTGTAGTCCCAGCTACTCGGGAGGCTGAGGCAGGAGAATGGCGTGAACCCCAGGGGGCGGAGCCTGCAGTGAGCCGAGATTGCGCCACTGCACTCCAGCCTGGGCGACAGCGAGACTCCGTCTCAAAAAAAAAAAAAAAAAAAAAAAAAAAAAAAAAAAAGGATAGTGCTATGAAGGTTCGGCATGGATATCATGCTGGGTCCTGGTTTGGGCAAGTGAAGGGAGCCATAGCAGGAGGGCCTCTTGGAGTGGCATTTAGCTAAGACCTGGAGGATGAGTAGGCTTTAGGGTGGCAAACAACCAAGGCTCCTACATTTCCAGAAACCCGGGACCAAGGGCAGCAGTCACTTGCAGCTTGGAAGGTGGGCTGGGGCTGGACTCATGTGGAAGCTTTGTTTGCATACCAGGCTTACTGTTTCTACTTAGACTGTGTTTATGTGTGTGTGCAGTTGGGGTTGGGAGCATTGCTGTTAAAAGTGCCTCACTTTGGCTGGGAATGGTGACTCACGCCTGTAATCCCAGCACTTTGGGAGGCCAAGGCAGGCAGATCACCTGAGGTCAGGAGTTCAAGACAAGCCTGGCCAACATAGTGAAAACCCATCTCTACTAAAAATACAAAAATTAGCTGGGTGTGGTGGCGGGCACATGTAATGTGCTACTTGGGAGGCTGAGGCAGGAGAATTGGTTGAACCTGGGAGGCAGAGGTTGCAGTGAGCCGAGATTGTGCCATGACACTCCAGCCTGGGCGACAAGAGCGAAACTCCATCTCAAAAAAACAAAACAAAACAAAAAGTGCCTCACTTTGGGGCTGTGCTGCTACAGGCCAAGAAGGGGAAAAAGAATGTTCAGTAGCAGAGACCCTGGAGCGAAGAGTTTGGCTTCTTCAAAGAACTGACAGAAGGCCAAGGTTACCCAACCAGGGGTGCAAGGAGGAGAATGCTGGCAGACAGGGCTGAGAGGCTGGTGGCGGAGGTGGTTCTCACTGGGACTGGAATTATCCTCACTCAAATTAGAGGGGAGGGAGCACACAGGACACTGACCTGATCCAATTTTTTTTTTTTTTTTAAGATCACTGGCTGTTGTATGTATGGATGATGGATTAGAACAGGGCAAGAGGAAATGAAGTAACCTGCTGAGAAGCTGCTGTTATGATCCAGACAAGAGGGGCTGGTGCATTAGGATGGGGTGGGGGCAGTGCTGGACAGGGAGATAAGAAGTGGCTGTTGGCTGGGCGGGTGGCTCGCACCTGTAATCCCAACATTTTAGGAGGCCGAGGCAGGCCGATATCTTGAGGCTGGGAGTTGGAGACCAGCTTGGGAAATATGGCAAAACCCCTTATTTACAAAACATACAAAAATTAGCTGGGCATGACAGCACCCACCTGTATTCCCAGCCACTGGGGTGGCTGAGGTGGGAGGATCACCTGAGCCCAGGGAGGTTGAGGCTGCAGTGAGCTGTGATCCTGCCACTGCACTCCAGCTGCTTAGGCAACAGAGTGAGACACTGTCTCAAAAAAATTAAATATTAAAAAAAAGCCGGGTGCGGTGGCTCACGCCTGTAATCCCAGCAGTTTTGGAGCCCGAGGCAGGCAGATCACGAGGTCAAGAGATCGAGACCATCCTGGCCAACATGGTGAAACCCGTCTCTACTAAAAATACAGAAATTAGGCAGGTGTGTTGGTGGGCGCCTGTGATCCCAGCTACTTGGGAGGCTGAGGCAGGAGAATCGCTTGAACCTGGAGGCGGAGGTTGCAGTGAGCCGAGATCGTGCCACTGCACTCCAGCCTGGCAACAGAGTGAGACTCTGTCCCAAAAAAAATAAATAAATAAATAAGTGGGCCGGGCATGGTGCTCACACCTGTAATCCCAGCACTTTGGGGAGGCCGAGGCAGGCGGATCACGAGGTCAGGAGATCGAGACCATCCTGGCCAACATAGTGAAATCCTATCTCTACTAAAAATACAAAAATTAGCCAGGCATGGTGGCGCATGACTATAATCCCAGCTACTTGGAAGGCGGAGGCAGGAGAATCCCTTGAACCAGGGAGTTGGAGGTTGCAGTGAGCCAAGATCATGCCACAGCACTCTAGCCTGGCGACACAATGAGACTCTGTCTCAAATAAATAAATAAATAATAAATAAATAAATAAAATTTACAAATGGCTGTAAGTGGTATGTAAACTGAAACCTGAATTCAGTGCTGTTGGTGCAGGGATCCTCATCTTCTGCAGAGGGAAGACTACCCCTTATTTACTGGAACACCAAGGCTGGACACCATTCATTCAATCATCAACACATTTTTATTGTTGCCTCCTATGTGTCAGGCGCTGTCCTAGGCACCAAACAAAACAAGCAAATCCCAAGCTTTCATGGTGGGATCAAACAAAATCAATACCTTAATTGTAGGATATTAGATGGTGATGTGTGTTAAAGAGACATAGCAGTAAAGGGGCTGGGGGTGCTGGATGAGAGAGAGGGAAGGTTTCAATTTTTTTTTTCTTTGAGACAGAGTCTTGCTATTGCCCAAGCTGGAGTGCAGTGGCGCGATCTCAGCTCACTGCAACCTCTGCCTCCCAGGTTCAAGTGATTCTCCTGCCTCAGCCTCCCCAGTAGCTGGGGTTACAGATGCCCACCACTACACCCAGCTATTTTGTATTTTAGTAGAGATGGGGTTTCACTATGTTGGTCAGGCTGGTCTCAAACTCCACACCTCAAGTGATCCACCTGCCTTGACCTCCCAAAGTGCTGGGATTACAGGCGTGAGCCACCACTTCTGGCCAGGAAGCTTTCAACTTTAAATTGGGTGACCTGAGAAAGTGACTAAGACTTGAAAGAGGTGAGGAATAGAGCCTTTAGATAGCTCCTTGGATGGAGGAAGCAGCAAGTGCAAAGGCCCTGAGGCAGGCCTGTGCTTGGCGTGTTCAAGGAAAAGCAGCTGGAGCTGAGTGAGTGGGAGGGGTGTGGTAGGACATGGGCTTAGGATGAGGGCAGGGGCCAGATGCTGGGGTCTAAGGACTTTGCCTTTTCCTCCCAGTAGAAAAAGAATCCTCTTAGGCCAGGCACGGTGGCTCACGTCTGTAATCCCAGCACTTTGGGAGGCCAAAGCAGGTGGATCACCTGAGGTTAGGAGTTCGAGACCAGCCTGACCAACGTGGTGAAACCCTGTCTCTATTAAAATTACAAAAATCAGCTGAGTGTGGTGGCGAGCGCCTGTAATCCCAGCTACTCGGGAAGCTGAGGCAGGAGAATCGTTTGAACCCGGGAGGCAGAGGTTGCAGTGAGCTGAGATCATGCCACTGCACTCCAGCCTGGGCAACAGAGTGAGACTCCATCTCAAAAAAAAAAAAAAGAAAGAAAAAGAAGCCTCTGACCGGCTAGGTGCAGTGGCTCATGCCTATAATCCCAGCACTTTGGGAGGTTGAGGTGGGTGGATCACGAGGTCAGAAGTTCAAGACCAGCCTGGCCAAGATGGTGAAACCCTGTCTCTACTAAAATACAAAAATTAGCAGGGCCTGGTGGCGGGCGCCTGTATTCCCAGCTACTCGGGAGGCTGAGGCAGGAGAACTGCTTGAACTCAGAAGGCAGAGGTTGCAGTGAGCCGAGATCGCAGCACTGCACTCCAGCCTAGGCGACAAAGCAAGACTCCTTCTCAAAAAGAAAAAGAAGCCTCTGGAAGGTTGTGAACATGGGGTCACATTATCTGACTTGGGTTTTTCTAAAGTCACTGGGTTGCTGTGTGGAAAATAGTCTGCAGAGGGGCAAAGGCAGAAGCAGGGAGACCAGTTAGAAGATTAGTAGTGCAATCATCCAAGGGAGAGATGAGGGGGGCTTGAGCCAGGAGGCTCGCAGTGGGGTGCTGGCAGGTGGTTGGATTCTGGATATATCTTGAAGGTAGTGACCGTGGGATTTGCTGAAAGATTGGCTGTGGAGTGTAAGAGGAAAGGGAGGAATCAAGGATGACTCCAAGCCCGAGCTACTAGATTCATGGACTGGTCATTAACTGAGATGGGGAAGACTGCAGATGGAGCATTTAGGGGCAAGGAAGTCAGGGGTTCAGTTGCAGACACGCTGAGGTGGAGATGGCTGTTAGGCATCCCAGTGGAGATGGAGCCGCCAGAGTGGCTGGGGAGAGCTCCAGGCAGGGCGAGTACATGAGGGAGGCGTGTGTGTGTGTCAAGCAAATATATTGGGAGATTGACAAGTGGATGAGTGTAGACAGAGAAGAGAACACAAGGCCTAAGCTTGGGATTCTCCACCATTAAGAGCAGACAGAGGAGGACTAATTGGTGAGGTAGAAAAGACAAACCAGGCCGGGTGCAGTAGCTCACACCGGTAATCCCAGCACTTTGGGAGGCCGAGGAAGGTGGATCACTTGAGGTCAGGAGTTTGAGACCAGCCTGGCCAACATGGTGAAACCCCATCTCTACTAAAAATACAAAAATTATCTGGCGTGGTGGCAGGTGCCTGTAGACCCAGCTACTCAGGAGGCTGAGGCAGGAGAATCGCTTGAACCCAGAAGGCAAAGGTTGCAGTGAGCCAAGATCACGCTACTGCACTCCAGCTGGGCCACAGAGTGAAACTCTGTCTCAAAAAAAAAAATTGCTGAAAAGTATCCCATTGTCTGCAGATACACACTTGTTTGTTTGTTTGTTGAGACGGAGACTCATGGGATTACAGGCGTGAGCCACCACACCTGGTCTTAATTTTTTTTTTTTTCTGAGACAGAATCTAGCTCTGTCACCCAGGCTGGGGTGCAATGTCACAATCTCGGCTCACTGCAACCTCCACCTCCTCAAGCTATCCTCCTGCCTCAGCTTCCTGAGTAGCTGGGATTACAGGCACATGCCACCACATGCGGCAATTTTTTTTTTTTTTTAGTGGAGATGGGGTTTCGCCATGTTGGCCAGGCTGGTCTCGAACTCCTGATCTCAGGAGATCCACTCACCTCAGCCTCCCAAAATGCTGGGATTACAGGCATGAGCCACTGCACCTAGCCCCACATTTTCTTTCTTTTCCTTTCTTTACTTTACTTTTTTTTTTTTTTTTTGAGACAGAGTCTCACTGTCACCAGGCTGGAGTGCAGTGGTGTGATCTCGGCTCACCACAACCTCCGACTCCCTGGTTCAAGCGATTCTCCTGCCTCAGCCTCCTGAGTAGCTGGGATTACAGGCACACGCCACAACGCCCAGCTAATTTTTGTATTTTTAGTAGAGACGGGGTTACACCATGTTGGCCAGGATGGTCTCGATCTCCTCACCTCATGATCCACTTGCCTCAGCCTCCCAAAGTGCTGGGATTACAGGTGTGAGCCATCGCGCCCAGCCCCAGCCCCACATTTTTAAATCCATTTGCTAGTTGGACCTCTGGATTGTTTCCCAGTTTTGAACTATATCTAATGCTGCTATGAACATTCTCGTGTAAGTCTTTGTGTGGATGTATATTTTCATTTCCCTTGAGCAGAGTCCTAAGAGTGGAATTACTGGGTCATATAGTAAGTTTATGCTTATTTAATCTTTTAATAAATTGCCAAACTGTTTTCCAAAGTATCTGCACCATTTTACATTCTCATCAGAAACGTAGGAGGGGTTCCATTTCTCCACATTGTTGCCAACAGTTGGTATTGTCCTTTTTAATAGCCTTCTAGTGGGTGTACACTGGAATCTCATTATAATCTAATTTGCATTTCCCCAAGGACTAATGATATTGAGCATCTTCTTGTGTACTTGTTAGTACATAGGTAAGAATGAACTTAGCGTCCTCCAGTCTGCATTTCCAAATGGGCAGGCAGGTGGGTAGGGTTTATATTTTCCCAGATGAGGTCATGTGATCCCTCTGTGGATGAGATCAGCGCTGGCTCTGAGGAGATCCTTGGTGTCTACCTGCAGGAATCTGAAATGGTAAAGAGAAGGCATCAGGTGTACTTGCGGCTGGGTGCAGTGACTCATGCCTGTAATCCCAGCACTTTGGGAGGCCGAGGCCGGTGGATCACTTGAGGTCAGGAGTTGGAGGCCAGCCTGGCCAACATGGTGAAATCCTGTCTCTACTAAAAATACAAAAATTATCTGGGAGTTGTGGTGCCTGCCTGTAATCACATCTACTTGGGAGGCTGAGGCAGGAGAATCGCTTGAGCCCGGGAGGCAGGGTTGCAATGAGCTGAGATCATGCCACTTCACTCTAGCCTGGGTGACAGAGCATGACTCCATCTCCAAAAAAAAAAAAAAAGTGTACTTGCATGTTGGGGTCTGCAGATGGGTGGAGTCATCTGCCCTTTCTTTTCCCCAAGAAACCAAACTACCCAGGGAGGGACACCCAGAATTGCCTCAATGAAGCAAGCCACCCTGTGTAGGAGACACTCACTGGGATTCTGTGAAATAGGGGGCCTGTGAGAGCTGGAAAACAATGTGGCAGCTGTCTGGAATGGAGGCCAATAGTAACTCAACTGGGCTGTGGCAGAAGAAGGAAGGCATTGGGCTGTGTCTGATCAGAGCCTGCGATTTTTCCATCAGTCCTAAACTGGCGTTTGCCTTCTCTGTTCACATCTTTGGGATCTGCCTCCTCTGTCAGTCCCCTAAGCCTGGCACTTCTGTGGGTAGAGCTCCTCTTCAAATGCAAATCAGGTCTCTTTGCCCACCCGCACTCATGAACTTTTTCATGGTACTTAAATGTGCTGCGCTCTCTCCACCTCTCTTTTCCCTGATAACCTTTATCCCTGTGCATTAGGGTTATGCTAGATGCTGTAACAGACCTCAGAATTTCAGCATTTAACACAATAGAGTTGTTTTCAAATTCTCAAAATGTGTGTGAGCCGGGTGCAGTGGCTCACACCTTTAATCCCAGGGCTTTCGGTGGCTGAGGAAGGAGAATTGCACTTTGGGAGGCTGAGAAGGGAGTATGGCTGGAGCCTAGGAGTTGGAGACCAGCCTGGTCAACACAGTGAGACTTCATTTCTACAAAAAATAAAAAATATTAGCCAGGCACGGTGGCACACATTTGTAGTCCTAGCTACTTGGGAGGCTGAGGTGGAAGGATTGCTTGAGCCCAGGAGGTTGAGGCCACTGTGAGTCGTGATTACACCACTGCACTTCAGCCTGGGCAGCAGAGTGAGATCCTGTCTCTAAAATAAATAAATAGGCTGGGTGTGGTGCTTCATGCCTGTAATCTTAGCACTTTGGGGAGCTGAGATGGGTGGATTGCTTGAGCCTGGAAGTTCAAGACCAGCCTGGACAACATGGCAAAACCCCATCTCTATAGAAAATCTACAAATTAGCTGGGTGTGGTGGTGTGCACCTGTAGTCCCAGCTTCTCAGGAAGCTGAGGTGGGAGGATCACTTGAGCTCGGGAAGCGGAGGTTGCAGTGAGCCAAGATCATGCCACTGGACGCCAGATGGGGAGAGAGTGAGATCCTGTCTTAAAAAAAAAATTGCAATAATAAAATTCTCAAAACAATCTATATAGCTATTCCAGGTTGTGTGGTGCTAGTGGTATTGTGGAGTTGCTATCTCCCACACTAATATGAAGAAGGTTTGTTCTTTCTCTTTTTTGAGACAGGGTCTCTCACTCTGTCACCCAGGCTTGAGTACAGTGATATGATCACAGCTCAATAGATCCTCAACCTCTAGGGCTCAAGCAATTCTCCTGCCTCAGCCTCCCGAGTAGCTGGGACCACAAGCACACCCCACCATGCCTGGCTGATTGTTTTTTTGTTTTGTTTTGGTAGAGATGGGGTTTTGCCATGTTGTCCAGGCTGGTCTTGAACTCCTGGGCTCAAGGGATCCTCCCACCTTAGCCTCCCAAAGCTCTGGGATTACAGGCATGAGCCACCATGCTTGGCCAGATGTGATTGTTTTACATCAGCAAATAGATTAGATTGCAGTTCCAACTACAAAGGAAGAAAGAAGTGGATCAAATACTGCATAAAGTATATAATTATTTTTATTGAGGCAAAATTCACATAACATAAAATTTGCCATTTTATTATTTTATTTATGTATTTATTTTTTCAGAGTCTGTGGGGCGGGGAAGTGGTCTCTCTTTGTGCTCAAGCTGGTCTTGAACTCCTGGGCTGAAGCCATGCTTCTTCCTCAGCCTCCTAAGTAGCTGAGACTACAAGCTTGCAGCCCAGTGCCCTGCTTAAAATTAGCGATTTCAAGGCTGGGCGTGGTGGCAAGGCCTGTAGTTCCAGCTACTTTGGAGGCTGAGGCAGGAGAGTCATTTGAACCCAGGAGGTGGAGGTTGCAGTGAGCCAAGATCATGCCACTCCACTCTGTCCTAGGCAACAGAGCAAGACTCAGAAAAAAAAAAAAATAGAGATTTCAAAGGGTGGCCATTTCAGTGGCATTCAGTACACCTGCAATGCTGTGCAACCACCACTTCTAACAGGTTCCAAAATTTTTCCATTACCCTAAAGGAATACCCCTTGCCTGTTAGCAGTCACCCCCTACCTCAATCACCCCCGCAGCTCTAATCAACTATCAATCTGCTTCTAACTCTATAGATTTACCTGTTGTCGATATTTCATGTAATTGGTACCATACAATATATGAGCTTTTTTTTTTTTTTTTTTGAGACAGAGTCTTGCACTGTTGCCTGGGCTGGAGTGCAATGGCGTGATCTCAGCTCACTGCAACCTCTGCCTCCCGGGTTCAAGCCATTCTCCTGCCTCAGCCTCCCAAGTAGCTGGGATTACAGGTGCTTGCCACCACGGCCGGCTAATTTTTTGTATTTTTAGTAGAGATGGGTTTTTTGTTTTTTGTTTTTTTTCTTTTTTTTAAGATGGAGTCTCGCTCTGTTGCCCAGGCTGGAGTGCAATGGCACGATCCCGGCTCACTGCAACCTCTGC
This sequence comes from Homo sapiens, assembly GCF_000001405.40. Classification (NCBI taxonomy): domain Eukaryota; kingdom Metazoa; phylum Chordata; class Mammalia; order Primates; family Hominidae; genus Homo; species Homo sapiens. The sequence goes on along the minus strand of NC_000010.11, from coordinate 97,339,856 downwards.
CTCCTGGGTTCAAGGGATTCTCCTGCCTCAGCCTCCCGAGCAGCCGGGACTACAGGCATGTGCCACCATGCCCAGCTAATTTTTGTATTTTTTTTAGTAGAGATGGGGTTTCACCATGTTGACCAAGATGGTCTGGATCTCTTGACTTCATGATCCGCCCACCTCAGCCTCCCAAAGTGCTGGGATTACAGGCATGAGCCACCGCGCCCGCCCTATATTAGGTCTGGCTTCACTCAGCATGTTTTTGAGCAAAATGTTATAGCATGTATCAATAGTTCATTCCTTTTCATGGCTGAATAAAATTTTGTTGTATTGGCCAGGCACGGTAGAGATTGCCGCCTTGCACTCCAGCCTGGGCAGCAAGAACGAAACTCCATCTCAAAAAAACAAAAAACAAACAAACAAAAACCAAAAAACTTGAACATCAGGCTGGCACGGTGGCTCACACCTGTAATCCCAGCACTTTGGGAGGCCAAGGTGGGCAGATCACCTGAGGTTGGTTTCATGTGCGTCCGTGTGAAGAGACCACCAAACAGGCTTTGTGTGAGCAACATGGCTGTTTATTTCACCTGGGTGCAGGCGGGCTGAGTCCGAAAAGAGAGTCAGCGTAGGGAGATAAGGGTGGGGCTGTTTTATAGGATTTGGGAAGGTAATGGAAAATTACAGCCAAAGGGGGTCGTTCTCTGGTGGGCAGGGGTGGATCTCACAAAGTACATTCTCAAGGGTGGGGAGAATTACAAAGAACCTTCTTAAGGGTGGGGGAGATTACAAAGTACATTGATCCATTGATCAGTTAGGGTGGGGCAGGAACAAATCACAATGGTGGAATGTCATCAGTTAAGGCTGTTTTTACTTCTTTTGTGGATCTTCAGTTACTTTAGGCCATCTGGATGTATACGTGCAAGTCACAGGGGATGCGATGGCCTGGCCTGGGCTCAGAGGCCTGACAGTCGGGAGTTCGAGACCAGCCTGAGCAATGTGGAGAAATCCCGTCTCTACTAAAAATACAAAATTAGCCAGGCATGGTGGCGCTTGCCTGTAATCCCAGCTACTCAAGAGGCTGAGGCAGGAGAATCGCTTGAACCTGGGAGGCAGAGTTTGCAGTGAGCTGAGATCACGCCATTGCACTCCAACCTGGGCAACAAGAGCAAAACTCCATCTCAAAAAACAAAACTCGAACATCCCTAAGAGTATTTCTGCTCCCTAGAACCTATGCCAACACCACCCTCAGGGTCCACATGATGAGTCTTCCCATACATATTATTCTCATGTAATATAACCATTTCATAAAGAAGGGACCGTCCCCCATTTTACAGATGAGGAATCAGAGGCACGGAAGGATAAAGTGACCCCATCCAGGTGGTATTCCCAAGCCTAGTGTTCATCCCACTGTACTGTAGCTAATGTCTCTGAGGGCAGGTAACTTGAAACAAGGTCTGTGTGGAAAGCAAACTCCTTGCAGAGAATTTCAACGCAATCTAAGTGAATGCAGAAAACCCTTGAATTCTGTTCTTCCCTGGGCGATTGTGAATGCTGTCCGAGAGTGTGTCTTTCCAGGCAGGGAGCCAGTGTGCTGGGCTCACAAGTTCTCATCGCTTCCCTTTTTGATACCGTCTCATTACTTTTAATTGCATCTGAGTCTTTCTAGCATCTTGTATTTTGCTTCCTAATCCAGGGCATTTCTCTGCCTCCCACTGGTCCAGCACAGCACTTCTCTCTCTCAGAGCTCTCCAGAGAGGTGCCCCCAGAAAATGGAGCTGGTCTTCTGTAATGAATTCATCTCTGTAATGAATAGTATAATATCCAAGTCCCAGCATATTTACATAGCAATCTTCACACAAAAGCAACATTACAAAGGGAAGATTTTTTTTTTTTAAAGAATGCCATCTCAAAGCTCCATTTCCTATAGTACGAAGAACACTATTGGAATTACCCTGACAGGAAAACAAAAACAACTTCCAGGGATGCTGGGTGAGAGACAATAGTTAAACCAGACCCATTAATGTTTAAAATCAATGGAGCATAAAACTGCTTTTCTCTACTTACAGCCAGGCATCATCATACAGAAAGGAGGAAAACATTACCATTTTAACTCTACTGAAATCCGTAAGCCCTCCCCTAATTTTCATTCCTCTCGAAATTCTCCAGTAAGTACCATCGGAATGAAAATGAGAATCAGTCTCTCCGGGGGGAATGGCTTCCAGTCCTCATCAGTAAAGTGTGTGAACAGCCCTCGGGAGATGGAGGTGGGAGGCTGCCCACTGGGAAAGTCTCCATCACTCAAACCTGCAGAACTAGTTGCGGAGACTCACTGTGGGGCATGGGAGCCTCCGGGCTGACTTCAGTAAAGCCCTACACAATCCCAGGTCAGGGTAGACCTGAGGCAGAATTTAAGAAACCTGGCAAGTGCACAGAAGTAATACCCTCAGGGTACGTTTCACCTAGTGGGCTGCATGGGGGGGATCTTCAACATTATTATGTTAAATGCTCCCCAGGGGGGACTCGCTGGAATTGAGCCAGACCTCTGTTAGTAAACCGCTGGACCTAATCCTACATTTGTGTAATGCCTGACAACACCCGTTCCCATTATCTTATTTGATCCTGAAAACAATCCTCAGAGGGAGGCCAGGCAGGGATTATTTCTCCTATTTACAAGTGAAAACACTTGTAAACTGATTTGCCTGGAGTCCCACACCCAGGATGTGGCAGGAATGAGACTTGGATCTAGGTCTTTGTACAACCTGTTCTGGGTTCTTTTGACTTCACACAACAGACTGATCAAAACATTCCCAGCCCCACCCACTCCTCACAACCACCAGCTTAACCAGCAACTGGAAACTCACCAGACAGCTTGTGTTTATGCTACCCTCACACCTCTGTCCTAGTGAAGAAACACACCTTTGGCTGGCAAGCTCTCCAGGAAAAAATTAATTTCATGTCATCTCCTTGAAACAAAGACCAACATTAATCCCAGATGGATTTGAAAAAAAAATCAAGGCATTTGAAAAATCTAAAGAAAATAGAATGGAATATTTAATAACTTTCTGGCAGCAAGGAGACTCCAAATTTAGCATCGTGTTAGAAATTTCAAAGAGATTTTAAAATTTGCCTACATGAAAATTTGGTTTTAGTGGGGGAAAAAATGACTGTACAGAGCCAACAAAAGCCTGGAGACGTATTTGCGGCAAAATATGAAAAGGGTTAACATTTGGTATGTAAAGGAGTCATGCAAATACGTAAGAAACACTCCCTAGGAAAATCTTATTAGGAAATAGACAATTCATAAGAAAGGAAGTACAGTTTGTTAACAAACATTTAGAAAACTGCTCTACCTAACTGAAATCAAAGATATGCAAACTGAAGGGAGAAAATTTCCCTATATAATCCGCAAAAAAAAAAAAATTCAATAATACTCAAATACTAGTGAAGGTGTAATGATGTATGCTCAAGCATTAATGATGGTAGAGTACATTTACCTAACTCTTGGAAAGACACTTCCTGAACATTTATCAGTAAACCTTAAAATACCCAACTACTGTGACTTAAAATTCCACTCCTGGGAATATGCCCTAAGGAAAGAATCATCAATATCTTAAAGTGTCGCGCACAAAAATGTTAGTTACACACTTAACGATGGTGAAATTAGGCAAATGTTAAAAACATAGGCACTTGATGGAAACTTATGTAATCATTAAAATGTTTTCAAAGTGCATGCAATAACACGAAAAACGTTTATGATGTAAGGCAAAGTGGAAAAGTGTGTAACACTGTATGCATGTGTTTGTATACTACACTTTCATAGAACAAAGGCTAAAAAGGAAAAAAATTTAAATGTGAACCATGAGAGATTTTTTCCATCCCTTATATTTTTCTTTTTTTTTTTGAGACGGAGTCTCGCTTTGTTGCCCAGGCTGGAGTGCAGTGGCGTGATCTCGGCTCACTGCAACCTCCGCCTCCAGGGTTCAAACCATTCTCCTGCCTCAGTCTCCCGAGTAGCTGGGATTACAGGCGCCCGCCACCACGCCCGGCTAATTTTTGTATTTTTAGCAGAGATGGGGTTTCACCATGTTGGCCAGACTGGTCTGGAACTCCTGACCTCAGGTGATCCGCCCGCCTCGGCCTCCCAAAGTGTTGGGATCACAGGCATGAGCCACCCACCGCTCCTGGCCAATCCCCTATATTTCTATTTGAACCTTAAAAAAAAAAAAAGACCCTTCTTTAGCCGAGCGGCGGTGAGTCCTATTCTCATGATATGTCCGGGGGCTTGAAGACTGCGGGAGGGAAAGCCTCTGGGACCTCACCTCAGAGCGATTCTGCTCTGCTTCAAAGCGTCCCCTCTTAGGCCGGGCGCGGCGGCTGACGCCAGTAACCCCAACACTTTCGGAGGCCGAGGAGCGAGGACTCCTTGAGCCCAAGAGTTCGAGACCAGCCTGGGCAATATAGTGAGACCCCCCCCCCCCACCACCGTCTCTACAAAAAAAATTTTTTTAATTAGCCAGGCGTGGTGGCCGCGCCTGTGGTCCCAGCTGCTCCGGAGGCTTAAAGTGGGATGATTACTTAAGCCAGAGTTCGAGGCTGCAGTCAGCCGTGTTCGCGCCACTATACTTCAGCCTGGGCGACAGAGACCTTTTCTAAATAATAAATAAGTAAATAAGTAACGTGCCGCCTCTTCACTCCCAATTCCCTCCGCCTTTCCCCGCCCCGCCTCGTCGAAGCCGGACCCGCGGCGGCCCGCCCCTCCCCCACGACCAGGGCCGGGAACTGCGGGTGCGCGGGGCGGGAGTCGGGCGGGCTTAGGCGCGGCCGACACGTGGGGAGGGAGGCCGCGGCCCAGGAGGCGGGCCCGGAGTGGGTGTGGGTGTGTCCGTGCGTGGGAGAAACCAACCTCAGCCTCCTCCGAGGCGCCACGTTTCAGCACGGCTCGTTGGGCCCGGGAGGTCGGAAATCAGTCCCCACGCCCCGGACCCCCTCCTGGAGGGACAACGAACACAGGCGCGGGACGGCTTCGGTCACCGCCCGCGCCGCCCTTTGCCCCCGTGCCTGCTCGCGCGTCACCCCCGCCCCGGTGCGGTGGTAGGGCCCGGCGCGACGTCACCCATTGTTTACAAATCAACCCGAGCCGGCAGGATTCCGGCTCCAGCGGCTGCAGGCGCGTGGCTCGAGTGCCTGGCGGGCTCCGGCTTCCGCGTCCGCCCCTGCTCCGGCTTCGCCCGCAGCTCCGCGCCCGCGGGCAACCAAGCCCCCAGCGAAGCCCGCACAGCTCCGGGTGCCAGGACGGGGGGCCATGCCGTGCCGGAGGGAGGAGGAAGAGGAAGCCGGCGAGGAGGCGGAGGGGGAGGAAGAGGAGGACGACAGCTTCCTCCTGCTGCAGCAGTCGGTGACGCTGGGCAGCTCGGGCGAGGTGGACCGGCTGGTGGCCCAGATCGGCGAGACGCTGCAGCTGGACGCGGCGCAGGACAGCCCGGCCTCGCCGTGCGCGCCCCCGGGGGTGCCGCTGCGGGCCCCGGGGCCCCTGGCTGCGGCGGTGCCGGCGGACAAGGCCCGGCCCCCGGCGGTGCCGCTGCTGCTGCCGCCCGCTTCGGCTGAGACGGTGGGCCCGGCGCCCTCTGGGGCCCTGCGCTGCGCCCTAGGGGACCGCGGCCGCGTGCGCGGACGCGCTGCGCCCTACTGCGTGGCGGAGGTCGCCGCAGGCCCCAGCGCGCTGCCGGGGCCGTGCCGGCGAGGATGGCTCAGGGACGCGGTCACCTCCCGCCGCTTGCAGCAGCGCCGATGGACCCAAGCCGGGGCACGCGCCGGCGACGACGACCCGCATCGGCTCCTCCAGCAGCTCGTGCTCTCGGGAAACCTCATCAAGGAAGCCGTGCGGAGACTCCAACGAGCCGTCGCCGCGGTTGCAGCCACGGGCCCCGCAAGCGCCCCTGGGCCCGGGGGAGGCCGCAGCGGACCTGACCGCATTGCCCTGCAGCCCTCAGGCTCCTTGCTCTGACGCAGGCCTCCTGGAGGAGGAAGTGGAGGCCGCTGCGTAGACCCAACAGCGTCCAGTTCCTACTAACTCTGAGCTGAAGCCGACGTCGCCAGCCTGGGAGCGACCACTTTGGCTGCGGGGAGGCGCGTGGGGAGAGATCTCAACCAGAGAAGTTACCAGCCGCGGCGAGGCCGTCGGAGAAAACTTAAGCGTGGAGAAATGTATGCGCCAGGGTGCTTCCGTGGGGCATGAGAATTTCCCGGGCCATCCAAGCCCAAGGACCTGGGATAAACTGGGAGAACTATGGCAGCTACTTGCATCGACTTGTACCTCACTTAGCCCTTGGGGGCGTCGTGAGCTTGGATTGTTTAAGGAGGGCTCAGGGGTAGGAATCGCGATGGCTTTATAACAATACTTGAAAACTAACGACACGCATACATTTTCTTATTTTCTGGTGGAGGAGCTTAGTAAGTGGTGCTACAATTGCTGTGCAAAGAAATTCCAGAGGGGAGAAGAATGTAAAAGTTTGGTGGTGGGTGGCTTGGCATTGCCCCTTTTTCCCACCGATTCGGTGGCTGGTGAAGGTGGGAGATGTGAACTCCAATTAAGGGACTGGAGAGAGGTGAAGAATTTTGCAGGTGGGAGATTTGGATTTGAATGTGGACTTGTAAATGACTTGACCTTGCCATCTGTGTTCAAGGTCACGGTTTGCTGTGGGGTTCCTGGGAGAGCTTACTCACCCCGGAGTCTTTTCTTTCTCTTGCTCCAAGAAGAGCCCTGTTGGTGCTTTACCACCGCTTGGAGTCTCCCGAGGACACAAACAGGCAGAGAGGGACGTGTAGGGAGAGTTCTTTCCTGTTTTCTGTGCTTTCCTTTTTACAGGACTCCCGGAAGGCCACTCATGGCCATGCCAGGAGCTTTCTCAGAAACAGTCATAAACGATCTCTTGAGTCTCTTTCTTGTCCTCCCAGCTGAGCTTTCTTATTCCACCCTTTCTGGTGTCTATAGGAATGCATGAGAGACCCTGGACGTTTTTCTGCTCTCTTCTGGCCCTCCATGGAGTCATGGGCCTCGGCCTCGGCGGCTCCTCACCCTCACAATTTATTTCCTCCTCCCGTGCCAGCCCTTCTTTTGTGTCTGAAACCGGTTTTAAAATGTGACTCTCCCAGAGAAGAAGCCGCTGGCTGTATGAAACTTGACGGCGCTTTTGTAAGGTGCCACCCCCAAACTTTAAGGTAGCTAAACCAATTTTTAAAAGATTCAATGGCTTGTTCATCCTCCAGATGTAGCTATTGATGTACACTTCGCAACGGAGTGTCTGAAATTGTGGTGGTCCTGATTTATAGGATTTCATAATTAAAATGTCTGCTGAATAAATTTGGCTTTTGTTTTGGAGCACGGTTTGGCATTTTGGTGGAAGGTGGGAGAGGGGCAGAAAAGCATATGGGGATGTCCTTAATAAAGAGGGCACTTGGGCTAAACCGGGGGGGGGGGACCTGGACAAATGGTTTGGGCCAATGCTGATGGGCACAGAATCCTAGTAGAGCCACAGGACTTGAGTGCTTCTAAGTTTTTATTCCACAAGATCAGAAAATTGAGTCCAGGTTTTTAGAAGCTGCAAGATGGGCTTCCACTCCCTTTGTGGAAAGACAATGTATTCTAGAAATGCTTTCTGGGCTGGAGAGCAAAGAGGTGCTGTGGTGGAGGGAGGTGGGTTTTCATCTGGACGTTTTTGTGCAAAATGGGGAGGGCACAGGCGAAGCCAGCCTGCTTTCCCCTTTGAGACTGACCTAGTCTTGAGCTATGGCCTTGGGAGAGAAAAACAGGGTTTTACAGCAGTGTATTTGGTAGTTGTAAAATGGCTTGGTTTGAGCACTCAGGGGTTAGATTTGACCGAAGTAGCCCTCCTCCTCTCCTCATTCTCTCTCTGCCCTGTCTTCCCAGGCATAGAGCCCTTGCTGAATCCCTTCCTAGTTCCTGCCTTGCCCTTTTCTCTTTTTAATTTAATTTTATTATTTTGAGATGGTGTCTTACTCTGTAACCCAGGTTGGAGTGCAGTGGCACGATCTTGGCTCACTGCAGCCTCAACCTCCTGGGCTCAAACAGTCCTCTCACCTCAACCTCCTGAGTAGCTGGGACTACAGGCTCATACCACCATGCCAGGCTAATTTTTTATATTTTTAGTAGAGATGGGTTCTCACTGTGTTGCCCAGGCTGGTCTTGAACTCGAGCTCAAGTGATCTGCCCTCCTCGGCCTCCCAAGGTGCTGGGATTAAAGGCGTGAGCCACCACACCTGGCCCCTGCCTTGCCCCTTCCTTGCCCAGCTCTACTAACCCAGCCCCCGGGGAACCTCTCCTGCTCAGCACACTCCCGAGGCTGGGGCTGCAGAGGAAGGCTGATGCTCAGTTGCCTCAGCCCTTTCTGCTCACCAGCTGTGTCATGGTGGGCAAGTCAAGACTCTGAGTTTTTCCCTTGTGATTTGTAAAACAATAGTACTTAATAGGGGAGTTGGAAGGGTTAAATGAGGACTTGAAGGGGAGACTTCATTGCTCAAAAAGTGATAGCTGCTCATTCTTGGTACTACCACATGGCTTTATGTGCCACGAGGTAGGCACTATTTTTCCATCTTATAGATAAGGACTACAGACAATGGGAAAAGACCTACAAGATCTGAGTGTTTCTCTACTTCCTAGGTAGAGATGGAGCTGATCCCTGTTAGGGCAGGCACCCTGGTTGGCACCTTTTACAAGATTTTTTTTTTTTTGAGATGGAATCTCGCTCTGTCGCCTGGCTAGAGTGCAGTGGTGTGATCTCAGCTCACTGCAGCCTCCCTCTCCTGGGTTCAAGTGATTCTCCTGCCTCAGCCTCCCGAGTAACTGGGACTACAGGAGCATGCCACCACACCCAGCTAATTTTTGTATATTTAGTAGAGACGGGGTTTTACCATGTTGGCCAGGATGGTCTCGATCTGACCTTGTGATCCGCCTACCTTGACCTCCCAAAGTGCTGGAATTACAGGCATGAGCCACGGCACCTGGCATTTTTTTTTTTTTAAGACGTGGTCTTGCTCTGTCCCCAGGCTGGAGTGCAGTGGCATGATCTTGGCTCACTGCAGCCTCCACCTCCTGGGTTCAAGCAATTCTCCTGCCTCAGCCTCCCAAGTAGCTGGGATTACAGGTGCCCGCCACCACTCCCAGCTAACTTTTGTATTTTTAGCAGAGATGAGGTTTCACCGTGTTGCCCTGGCTGGTCTCAAATTGCTAACCTCAAGTGATCCACCTGTCTTGGCCTCCCAAAGTGCTGGGATTACAGGTGTGAGCCACCGTGCCTGGCCCTACTTTGCTTTTTACAATGGTGAAAGGAATTATTGGTGGTAGAGCAGAATCAGAACTCAGGGCACTTAAGTTGGTCCTCTTGCCCCCTGTCTGAGCCTACACACAATGCTCTTCTCACACACCCTTGTCACCTGTCTGAGCCTACACACAGTACGCTCTTCTCACCCCAACTCTTGCTACTGATCCAGCCATTTGCAAAGCCTGTGGAGGGCCTGGGCCTGGGGAAGTGTCTCTGTCTACGAGGCAATGGGCATTTCCAAGGTGTTGCAGCTTGGGATAGCCCATTCCTAGTACTCTTAGCTCAGGAATGATTTTGGCTAGGATATCCCTAGCCCCTTGTAGTGGATGGTCACAGAGTTGAGACAGCTTCGTCTTCTGAAGGGGCCATTGCCCATGTTTCCCTGATAACATTCTGCAAGTCTCTAGCCTAGAAGGACCAGAGCAATAGGGAAATAATGAGAAATGGTATGTGTGTGTGTGTGGTGTTTGGAGAATTAGGAGTTTCACATGGGAAGTTACGAGGACAGAAGCCTGGTGCCTTGTAAATGACTAGGAGTTGGAGAGGGTTCAGGGCTTAAGATAAAGATTTGGCAGTTAAGGCTAAGGGGGTGGGATGGGGTGGGGCGCAGAATGGGGCCTGGAAGATGGGCAGTAATAACACTAGCTAATGTGCAATAGTGCGTGCCATGTGCCAGGCTGTGTTCTAAGCACTTTTTCTTTCTTTTTTCTTTTTTTTTTTGAGACAGTCTCACACTGTTGCCCAGGCTGGAGTGCAGTGGCGTGATCTCGACTCACTACAACTTCTGCCTCCCAGGTTCAAGTGATTCTTCTGCCTCAGCCTCCCAAGGAGCTGTAGCTACAGGCGGGCACCACCACATCTGGCTAATTTTTTTTTTTGTATTTTTTTGGTATAGACGGGTTTTGCCATGTTGTCCAGGCTGGTCTCGAACTTTTGACCTCAAGTGATCCACCCGCCTCGGCCTTCCAAAGTGCTGGGATTATAGGCGTGAGCCACCACACCCAGCCTGTGTGTGCCCGGCCTTCTAAGCACTTTACAAATACCCAACTCATCAAATCTCTGGGAGGAAGAAGACTACACAAAAGGAACAGACAGAAAATAAAAGTAGACCCAGGAGAAGCCAAGGGAGACTGTAGGGTGAACAGTAGTGGGTCCACATGTGCACATAACACAAACACAGCTGTATCTATTATCCCTATGTATATCCTCTGTAGTCAGGCCACAGAGGTCCGGGGCATATGGAATCAGATCTTATTCAATGACTTTCACTGTCTTTGAATCCTGAAGTTAATTCTCAAGTTGCCTTTGTCAGCACCCTTAAGTAGCGTGTTTTGAACATCTGCACTGGATTCCTCCCCTCCTTAGCCCAGCTGAAGAAAAGTACTATTTATGCTGCATCAGCAGAAAGGGGTTTGTGACTTCAGTGTCTAGGAAAGATTTTCAGGAAAACCTATAGGAAACCATTTTTCACCGATCTTAGGCTGTGGAATCTAATTTAGGCAGTTACAGAAACAGGCAAAAGGCAGGGCAAAGGTAACAGGATGATAACCAGCTCTTGCTTTTTTTAACCCACCCAAATCAATAAGTCAAACAAACTGCCTGGGCAGCCTAACAGTTGGGGGTTGTGATTTTACTTGCTATGAGTCAGTTAACAGTTGATAAGAGGGAGCACTTAAACTCCTTGGTATCAGTTTTCATTTTCATTCCATTATAGCATCAGCTACAGATAATTCATTCACACAAAAACAACAGAAACATGTCCAGCCATCCCAGGCATGAAGGATGGTTTCAGCAACCAATCTGTCAGGTTGCAGCCACACTGTGGCAGGACAGTTAGTGACACAGGGAGCTGTCATGTGGGGCATCCACAACCAGAGTCCCCCTAAGCCCTGCCCTTCAAACCTGCCCTGTCTGAGGACCCCATACTGTCCCACTCCTCCAGGAACTTAGACCTTTATAGCATCTTCCCTTTGATTTCACCCCTTTTTTTTTTTCTTGAGACGGCATATCGCTCTGTCACCCAGGCTGGAGTGTAGTGGCGTGCAACCTCAGCCTCCCGGGTTCAAGTGATTCTCATGCCTTAGCCTCCTGAGTAACTGGGACTACAGGCGTGTGCCACCACGCCCAGCTAATTTTTGTATTTTTAGTAGAGACGGTTTCACCATGTTGGCCAGGTTGGTCTCAAACTCTTGACCTCAAGTGATCCACCCGCCTTAGCCTCTCAAAGTACTGGGATTACAGGCGTGAGCCACCGTGCCTGGCAATTTCACCCTTTTGTATCCTCTCTCCACACCCAGATGAGCACAGTTCTCCCCTGGCTGAGTGAATCCTTCCCTTGGCCATTTTCCCTTTTTAGCTGTAGTCACTCTTTTCCCATCTTCAGACTTGCAGGCACCACAACACATCATCTACGTCCTAAGCACCCCACTCCCTTAGCCTCTGCCAGTCTGTTGAAATTGCCCATTGTTTGCTCTGCAAATATTTACTAAATACCAGTACCCTGGTGCTGTTGCTAAATGCAGCTATGTTGCAGGCAGGCAGTGGCCTAAGCATTTTTACTAGCATTAGCTCAATTAATCCTCACAACAACCCTCTGAGGGGGGGACTTTTTTTTTTTTATCATGGGACTTTGCAACTGAACGTAAGGTTAGAGAGGTGAAGTTACCTGCCCAAGGTCACAGGAAGGAGCTTTCAAGGAAGGAGCCAGGCAGTCTGGCTCCAGAGCCATGATTTTACAGCTACACAGTACAGTTAACTGAGGCCTACCGGTTTTCTTTTGGAAGTGTCTCTTGTGTTTTCCTCTCCCTTAATCGCCTGGGTGCCTGGGAGCTTTAACACCATTCGGCTGATCTGGCTGACCATCAGTGTTTTCCTCAGCTCCAGACCACTCCCCATGCCATGCAGCCTGACAATCTGCCTAAAACATCCTCATCATCTTGTCACTCCTCTGCCATCACAAAATACATAATCTATTGGGGAAGAGAACACATTCATTCACATATGAGTCCCTGAGATAACTCTATAATGACAGTAAATGAAATGTGAGAGTGAGAATGAAATGAACTCAAAGGCCACTTCCTGTGAAGAAATTGCATGCATGGTTTTCTCTTTTTTTTTTTTTTTTTTTTTTTTGGAGATGGAGTCTCACTCTGCCACCCAGGCTGGAGTGCAATGGCACCATCTCAGCTCACTGCAGCCTCTGCCTCATGGGTTCAAGCGATTCTCCTACCTCAGCCCTCCGAGTAGCTGGGACTACAGGCGCATGCCACCGTGCCTGGCTAATTTTTGTATTTTCAGTAGAGACAGGGTTTCACCATGTTGGCCAGGCTAGTCTCGAACTCTTGACCTCAGGTGATCCACCCGTCTCAGCCTCCCAAAGTGTTGGGATTACAGGTGTGAGCCACCGCACCCGGCCTATTGTATGGTTTTCTCAGTGCAGATTATAGCCAGGACTGGACAGGACAGCAAGTAGAACTTGAGTATTTGAATTTTGGAAAAGGATAGGTTTTCTGATAGGAAATGGGGGAGTTAAGAGCTGTGGCCCCAGGCTGTGTTCACTGCCAACTGCCAACCCTATCCTTTGTGATATTCCTGCTCCCTCTATTCCACCAGTTCCAACCCTGAGCTGCTTTGCAGGCTTAGCTTGGCTCCACCCTTTTTTTCTCTCTCTTTTTAGATGCCCATGCTGGAGTGCAGTGGCGTGATCTCAGCTCACTGTAACCTCCGCCTCCTGAGTTCAAGCGATTCTCCTGCCTCAGCCTCCCAAGTAGCATGCACCACCACGCCCAGCTAATTTTTGTATTTTTAGTAGAGACGAGGTTTCACCATTTTGGCCAGGCTGGTTTCGAACTCATGACCTCACATGATCCGCCTGCCTGGGTTTACCAAATTGTTGAGATTACAGGTGTGAGCCACCGCACCCGGCCGCCTCCGCCCTTATTCCCTTCTTCTACACTTCCCTTAACACCCACCTATGCAACTGGGGTGCATGATCAGGAAACTGGTCTGACCTTCAGAAGAAACAGGTTTGTGCCTGTTAAGAAATATTGAAGAAGTCAGTAAGAGGCAGGGTTTTCTGCAGAAGACTCAAAGAAGTGGCCTTAATGCAACGTCTCTCAGGAACAGTGTTCTGTTTTGTTTATTATTTGCTCTTTGGTTCCCATACCATTTGCTCTTTGGTTCTAATTTAATTTTCACACAAGTCTTCAAGGTGCTCTACCCTTACCCACATTTTGCAAATGAGTTCATTGAGCTTACTGAACCTGTCCCATATCACACAGCCGACAGTGGAGGGCTGCCTGCAGACCCCCCACTCTTACCTATTATGTCTTTTGGGTAACACTGGTAGGGGCAGGTCAATTGCTCTCCCTTCAGTTATGATGGAAAACCAGGAGGAAACACTACTCGGAAGAGTTTTGCCCCTTTGCCTGCACCAGCTTTCACAGTGTTCAAATGGAGCGCACCTCGGAGTGGAAACCTCTCTGAGCTTCCATCTCTAAATGAGGCGGTAGCATCAGACTGCTGAAAGCTGAGCTCTCCGGGGGCTGATGGTCTGTGATTACTGAGCATTGGTAGAAGTGGGGGCTAATTGAGTGAGTTAGTAATTTCGTTGCCAAGGTAACTCTTTCCTGATTGGAAGGAAGGGATCACAGGTTTCAACATAGACTTTGCTAGATAGGAAAGTGGTGTCTGATCTTCGCTCCAGCTTTCTGCATCTGAGCTGGAAAAAGAGCAAAAACGGGTAAAAATTGAATCCAAATATTGTCGGATGTATGCCTAATTTAGAATGAAATCTTGGGGTGGCAGACTCTGGAGTTCTCTGTGAGGTGTGGCATTCTTTTCTCTAAATCACTTATTTGCCAATGTATGTGTCACTTTGTTTCATTCCATTTGTAGCTTTGTTCTCATATCTCACCCAGGCCATTTTCTGTGGCCAGCTGTCTTCATAGGATGCTGAACATTTTGTAAGGAAATGGCATTCCCTAACTCAGCCTAGGAACTTGGAGCAGAATTTTCCAGGGTTCCAATGGCAGGGTCACCAATTTGGGCAATTGTAGGGATGTCATTCCCATGGTAGCCTATGTGCAGAGTTGTGCAGTGAACAATATTGGACCATGTTTGATGATATGGAGCCACTGGAAAGAGCCCTGAGTTGGGAGCTGGGAGACCTAGGTTCTAGACTCTGCTAGGCCTCTGGCTTCATAAACAACTTTGGTAGGTCATTCTTCCCTGCTCACTTCCTTGGACTATTTTTCCACCTATAAAATGGTCTAATATGACTTTTTTTTTTTTTTTTTTTTTGAGACAGAGGTTTTGCTCTTTTTTGCCCAGGCTGGAGTGCAACGGTGAGATCTCAGCTCACTGCACGCTCCACCTCCTGGGTTCAAGCGATTTTCCTGGCTCAGCCTCCTAGTAGCTGGGATTACAGATGCCCACCACCACGTCCAGCTAACTTTTGTATTTTTAGTAGAGACGAGGGTTCCCCATTTTGGCCACGCTGGTCTTGAACTCTTGACCTCAGGTGATCCACCTGCCTCGACCTCCCAGAGTCCTAGGATTACAGGCATGAGCCACCACGTCTGCCCCAATATGACTTTTAAAATACTTTATGTAAATCCTGGCTGGGCGAGGTGGCTCACACTTGTAATCCCAGCACTTTGGGAGGCTGAGGCAGGTGGATTGCTTGAGCCCAAGAGTTTGAGAACAGCCTGGGCAACATGGCAAAACCTTGTCTTTATAAAAAATTTTAAAATTATCCAGGCATGGTGGCACGCACCTGTAGTCCAATTACTCAAGAGATGGGAGAATCACTTGAGTCCAGGAGGTGGAGGTTGCAGTGAGCTGAGATCTCACCGTTGCACTCCTGGGTGACTGACTGAGACCCCGTCACAAACAAACAAACAAACAAAAAACCCCACACTTTATGTAAATCCTGACTTATCCCAAAAAAAGTATTTTGGGGTGAATAGTAAAACTTGGCAGGATTTGGCTGGGTGCGGTGGCTCATGCCTGTAATCCCAGCACTTTGGGAGGCCGAGGCGGGCGGATCAGGAGGTCAGGAGATCGAGACCATCCTGGCTAACGCGGTGAAACCCCATCTCTACTAAAAATACAAAAAATTAGCCGGGCATGGTGGCGGGCACCTGTAGTCCCAGCTATTCCAGAGGCTGAGGCAGGAGAATGGTGTGACCCCAGGAGGTGGAGGTTGCAGTAAGCCGAGATCATGCCACTGCACTCCAGCCTGGGTGACAGAGCGAGACTTCGTCTAAAAAAAAAGAAAAAACTTGGCAGGATTTGAAAAAAAAAAAAAAAAAAAAAACAGGCCGGATGCGGTGGCTCACGCCTAAAATCCCAGCACTTTGGGAGGCCGAGGCAGGCGGATCACCTGAGGTTAGGAGTTCCAGACCAGCCTGGGTAACATGGGGAAACTCCGCCTCTACAAATATACAAAAATTAGCTGGGCGTGATGGCGGGTGCCTGTAGTCCCAGCTACTCAGGAGACTGAGGCGGGAGAATCACTTGAACCCAGGAGGTGGAGCTTGCAGTGGGCCGAGATCACGCCATTGCACTCCAGCCTGGGTGACAGAGCAAGACTCTGTCTCAAAAATAAATAAGTAAATAAGATAAAAAATAAAAACACAGATGAACGGTTACTGGATTATAATGTGTTTAGAGTGCTAACTTGCTTTATGTAGAGAGGCTTTAGTTTTTCCCAATTTTCCTTTTTTAGGAGTGGGTTGTTCTGCATGGGCCCTAAGGTTGAGTCTGAACTTAACCAGTCATTCTTATTACAAGAAGCTATGCACAGTCGGTGCAGTGACATCAAATCATAGCCTATTTCAGGATGGAAAGCCCTGGATTGCTCATAACCCCTTGACCTTGGATAAATCGTACATCAACTAAGAATGGGAACTGGGGACTTCAGGGCTACTCCCATGCCAGGGGACATCAGCACCTGGCCACTTTCCCCTCATGCTCAGCGCCCAGAGGTGGTGCCCACTACACTATTGGGGGCTCCTTTTCCTCAGTTTGTATTAGAGCCTCCATAGTTACCCTTCCCATGCTGGAGAACACTGGACTGAGGCCCCCACAGCCCTTTCTGGGCATGTTGTGGGAAATGGCAGGCTTGGTGTGTTCTGAAGGTACTCCTCAGAGACCATCAGCGTCTGTGTGTGAATTTGAGAAAATGGGGCATTGAACCAAAAAGGAAGTTAGAAAATCAGGACTCGAAGTCATAGAACACTCCAGAAAGCAGATTTGGGATCATGGCATGCTCTTGTTTTGTGGGAAAATGAGGACACCTGGGACACCGCCACCTGGGAAGGAAGGGGTAGGGACTAGATACTGTTCATCTGCAGCATGTGCCAGTCACCATATGCCTTTTATTAATTTATTTTTTTGAGGCAGGGTCTTGCTCTGCCACCCAGGTGGGAGTGCAGTAGCTCAATCATGGCTTACGACAGCCTCAAACTCCTAGGCTCAAGCAATCCTCTTGCCTCATTTATTTATTTATTTTATTTTATCTTATTTGAGACAGAGTCTCGCTCTGTCGCCCAGGCTGGAGTGCAGTGGCGCGATCTCAGCTCACTGCAACCTCTGCCTCCCAGGTTCAAGCGATTCTCCTGCCTCAGCCTCCTGAGTACCTGGGATTATGGGCATGCACCACCATGCCCAGTTAATTTTTGTATTTTTAGTAGAGATGGGGTTTCACCATGTTGGTCAGGCTGGTCTTGAACTCCTGACCTCGTGATCAGCCCTTCTTGGCCTCCCAAAGTGCTGGGATTGCAGGCATGAGCCACTGTGCCCGGCCATTTATCTATTTATTTTTGGAGAGGTGAGGTCTCACTATGTTGCCCTGGCTGGTCTTGAACTTCTGGGCTCCAGCAATCCTCCACTTTAGCCTCCCAAAGTGCTACTAGGATTACAGGTGTAAACTACTGGGCCTGGCCCACCTTTTATTTCATTATCCCTGTTGTACGGATGAGGAAACTGAAGCCACAGAGGTAGAGCAACTTGTCCAAGGTTCCCTTCCCACTTCAGAAGTGGGCTTAAACTCTGGGTACTCTTTCCTCAGAGGGAGGAAATTAGCTCCTTCCATGAGGGAACAGACTGAAGTAAGTCAGAACCATAAGGATAGACATGGCCTGTTATGTCACTGCTTAGGGACAGAATGGTATAAATGTGCCAGGGGCAAAGACAGGAGTCTTTTGTAAGTTTCCACCCAGCTTTCCTACCACCAGGCTCACATTGTGAGCAGTCTCCTAATCAAGAGCTGCCCCAGCCTTAAGGCCCACCTTGTGGAACAAGTGCACTTAATGGCCACGGTGAGAAAGAAGAAAAAAAGAAAAAGAAAAAAAAAAAGATAAGCCTCCCAGTTTGCAGTGACTGGCTGATCTGATGTCCTTTGCTAATAGAGGCAGCTTTATAACACATCTCCATCACTGACTAGTAATCCAAAAGGCTCTGAGGTTTTAACGAATGGGATTGGTCCAAAACCTGACCTCACTTTCATTTAATTTCATGCCAGCTCCAATACACACCCAGCTGCGGAGACCTTGTCTAGCTAGTGAGCTGCTCAGACACAAAGGCGCTCTAATTACCATCCACAAGCCAGGCTGACAGAGATTTCAAGTGTTTTCATGTTTATGGAGATCAGAGAAATGTGTTCTGTACATCTTTTTCACTGATGGCAAGTATAAAATAAAACCAAACAAAAAACCCAACACATTTATTCAAAGCAGGCATTTCAGTTAAGTTAAAATCCTATAATCAGGATAGCCACAATTCCAGACACTCCGGTGCGAAGTGTAGATATGTCAGTAGCCACATCTGGATGATGAACAAGCCATTGACTATAAAAACGAGAACAACAGCACAGTCTCAGCGCCTTTAGAGTGAGTGAACAGTATGTTCCAAGCACTTCACCATGGTTCACAATGGCAAAGCCTGCAGCTTCTCCATTTGGAGGGTCACATTTTCTACTCGGTTTCCTGCACTTACAAAGGCCAGCTGGCATGGCTGGGGGAGGGGCAGAGGGAGGAAATCAACTCGTCTATCCAGGGAATTGCAGCTGTTATTGCAAATGGCCCCGGAGAGCCCATTATAAGCTGCTGTGCTAGGCTGTGTGTCCCTGGAGTGTCCATCACATGGCGTCTCCCTAGCCCCCAACCCAGGCCCCCAGGATCCCAGAGCCACCCGCTTGAGTAGGACTGCAGAGCCGAGTAGGAGAGGAGGAACCCAGGGCCCGGTCTCGGGAGTTTCCGTGAAAGCCCGGAGCGCGGCCAGGGGCGGTGGTCGCCTACCGAAGCACAGCCGCCCAGCACGTCCGCGCTTTCCCACACCCGCGGTGGCGGCGACGCGCGTGTCCTCAGGAGACTCCAGCACTTGCAAAACACTGCGCTCTTCTCCGAGCACCGGCAGAACCTGGCTACTCTGTCCCGCAACCCAGTGCGTGCCCAGGAAACAGTGACCTTGAACCGAGGAGAGGCGGGCCGGCTCTGAAAATACACTTTAGACAGGGCGTGGGGTTCACTCCGCGCCTCTCTACCCTTCCACCACCATTCAATACTCCCCGCCCCCACCTCCTTTCCCCACCCGTGTCGTACAGCCTTCCCCCACCACTCTGAGAAGAGAGACAGTTGCAAAGAGAGCGCAGGGGTTAACTCCTATTCAACCCCCAAAGGGTCCCTTCATGGCACCGCATGTTTGGTATTAAGCAGCACCTCCAAAGACACAAGATGGTTTTTTTAAGTCTGGCAGATTGGGCTGCACCCTGAAATTATCTACTCATGTTCTCCTCCCCCAAAGTGGATCAGGAGCCAGCCCTGAAAAGGTAAAGCAAGTAACTGGCATCATCCTCCGTGGTTCCGGCGCACCGCGATCCGGAGAAGCGTGGATTGTGGCCACATGGTCGCGGGGCTGGAGGGCACTGAGAGGCTGCGAGGAAATGCAGGCTCCGCGGCCAGGTCGGGTCACGCCAAATAAGGAGTCCTACTGACTTGTACGTTTGAGGTGCGCTCTGTAAAATCTGCCTTAAATAGGGCCAAAGTCCTTCATTCCAAATATTTTGGCCCTCAACCCCAGTTACCCGCGAAACACTCGCGATTTTTCGGTTCCTCGTCATTAGCTTTTTACTCTCGCTTCCAAAAGCCAGAGTTCTCCACCAGCCTGAGTAGAACTGCAGCCCTCAAGGGAACCCCTTGCCCTCCAGTCTGAGGCTGGCGCTGTGGCCACCCCGGGCGTGTTAGCTGCCAGGCACAAGAACGCCGTCGCCAGTTCTGAGCTGCGCCCTCCCGGAGGCGCCAGGGTCACTGCAGGCCGCGCGAGGGCTGCGAGGCGAAGGGGGTTCATGCACCGGGGCCGACAGAGGTCCCAGGAGCGGGCGTTGGGGAAGCTTTGCACGTAACTGCAGCCGTCGCGAATGAAGCCTTCGCACGGCCTCCTTGATGAGGTTTCCAGAGAGCACTAGCTGCTGCAGAAGCCGGTGCGGGTCGTCGTCGCCTGTGCGGGTTTCTGGTTGGGACCCGCGTCGCTGCTGCAGGCGGCGGGAGGCGGCGGCGCCCCGGAGCCATCCTCGCCGGCACGGACCCGACAGCGGCTGCGGGATGCCCTGCTTGCCAGCTCCCGGAGGCCCATCAAGGTCGGCCTGAGGGGGCAGTGGGGACAGCGCGCTGGGGCCTGTGGCGAGCTCGGCCACGCAGTAGGGCGCAGCGCGGCCCCGCACGCGGCCGCGGTCCCCCAGGGCGCAGCGCAGGACCCCAGGGGGCGCCGGGCCCACAGTCTCCGCCAACGCGGGCGGCAGCAGCAGCGGCACCGCCGGGGACCTGGCCTTGTCCGCCGGCACCGCCGCAGCCAGGGGCCCCGGGGCCCGCAGCGGCGCCCCCGGGGGCCCGCACGGCGAGGCCGGGCTGTGCTGCGCCGCGTCCAGCTGCAGCGTCTCGCCGATCTGGGCCACCAGCCGGTCCACCTCGCCCGAGCTGCCCAGCGCCACTGACTGCTGCAGTAGGAGGAAGCTGTCCTCCTCCTCTTCCTCCCCCTCCGCCTCCTCGCCGGCTTCCTCTTCCTCCTCCCTCCGGCACGGCATGGCCCCCTGTCTGGGCACCCGGAGCTGTGCGGGCGTCGCTGGGGGCTCGGCTGCCGGCGGGCGCGGTGGGCCGCGGCGGAGCGGGCGCGGAGCTGAAGACTAAGTCTGGACCGGGGCCGGGGCGGACGCGGAAGCCGGAGCCCGCCAGGCACTCTAGCCGCGCGCCTGCAGCCGCGGGAGCCGGAATCCTGCCGGCTCGGGTTGATTTGTAAACAATGGGTGACGTCACGTCGGGCCCTACCACCGCGCCGGGGAGGGGGTGCTGTGCCGCTGGGGGACGGCGCTTCTGTGGGATTGGGGGTCTGGGTGAAGCCGGACTGCCTTCTGAGCTCCTTCGCTCAGGGTGCTGTCTGCAAGGGCGCCCTGGGGACCTGATCCTGGCTCCCGCAGTCGGGCGCGATTGGCATTTCCAGAAATGGGCACCAGCGTGAACCCTGTTGGTTTCTTCCACACACAAGCAAGCACGCACACTAACACACACCCACCCACCCACACACCCCTTCTCTCCGTGCGTCAACTCAACCGGTTTTTAGCGTTTGCGCTTTTGAGGTCCGGCATGCGGGCGTCTGGTGAGGATGGAAAGGAAAGGGAGTCAGGCTAGGGATTTGTACGGAGATTAGGGAAATGAAGCTGACGGGAATGGAAAGGAAGAAGGGGACCTTGTCGTTCGATGGAGGTGGCAGAGTTGGAAATGGCAAAGAAAGGCCACAGATTAATGTTTTTTGATCGAGATCCTGGGCGGATGGGGGCCTGGACTGGGGTTGGCATTGCTGGAGAGGAGGTTGCTAGTCTTTTTGTTTATTTGTTTGTTTGTTTTTTTGAGACGGAGTCTCGCTCTATCGCCCAGGCTGGAGTGCAGTGGCTCGATCTCCACTCACTACAACCTCCGCCTCCTGCGTTTAAGCAATTCTCCTGCCTCAGCCTTCCGAGTAGCTGGGATTACAGGCGCCCACCACCACGCCCGGCTAATTTTTGTATTTTTAGTAGAGACGGGGTTTCACCATGTTGGCCAGGCTGGTCTCGAACTCCTGACCTCAGGTGATCCACCCGCCTCAGCCTCCCAAAGTGCTGGGATTACAGGCGTGAGCCACTGCGCCCGGCCTAGGTTGCTACTCTTTTTGTTTTGTTTTGTTTTTTTGAGACAGAGTTTCGCTCTTGTTGCCCAGGCTGGAGTACAATGGCGCAATCTCCGCTCACCACAACTTCCGCCTCCTGGGTTCAAGCAGTTCTCCTGCCTCAGCCTCCCGAGTTGCTGGGATTACAGGCATGCGCCGCCATGCCCAGCCTAATTTTGTGTTTTTAGCAGAGATGGGGTTTCTCCATATTGGTCAGGCTGGTCTGGTACTCCCGACCTCAGGTGATCCACCTGCCTCGGCCTCCCAAAATCCTGGGATTACAAGCGTGAGCCACCACGCCTGGCTATAGGTTGTTAGTCTTAAGAGGGGCTATGTCCAGAAAGTTGTTTAAAAAAAAGCCTCAGACCAGTAGGGGGGATGGGCTCTGAGGAGGTACGTAGTAGCAGAGAAAAATACCTGTTTGGATGAAAATGGAGATACGCTTCCTTCCTTCCTTTCTTCCTTTTCTTTCTCTTTCTTTTCTTTCTTTGACAGAATTTCACTCTGTCACCCAGGCTGGAGTGCAGTGGTGTGATCTGGCTGATTGCAGCCTTGACTTCCCAGGATCAGGTGATCCTCCCACCTCAGCCTCCCGAGTAGCTGGGACAATAGGCACGCGCCACTACACCTGGCTAATTTTTGTATTTTTAGTGGATACAGGGTTTCGCCATGTTGGCCCGTCCGGTCTCAAACTCCTGGACTCAAGCAATCCCTCCTCCCGAAATGCTGGCGTTACAGACATGAGCCACCGCGCCCAGCCTGGAAGCAACTTTAAAATTCTGAGCATGATATAGAAAATAGGATACAAAGAAAGAAATGAGCCTGGAGATCCAGATAAATAGAAAACGAGGGTCTTGTTGGGCAGTTCCAACGATAATAATTATAGGAGCAAACCTTTAGGAAGGGATGAGTGCAGGAAAGAGGTAGGGAAGTTGGTTTAAAAAGAGTTGGGTTTGTTTTTGTCAAGTGTGGAGGAAAAAATGTAAAAACAGAGGAAGAGACAGTTTAAACAAAGCCATTGGATTTCTAATCTACGAAATCTGGATTTCTACAGGGTGTCATAAGGTTCATCACCTTGTTTTTGTGGATTCCTTAGGATTTTCTATATAGAAGATCGTGTCATCTACAAATAGAGATAGTTTTGCTTCTCTTCTTTTTCTTTTTTCTTTTCTTTTTTTCTTTTTTTTTTTTTTTGAGACAGGGTCTCATTCTGTGGCCCAGGCTGGAGTGCAGTGGCATGATCTCTGCTCACTGCAGCCTTGACTTCCCCAGGCTCAGTTGATCCTCCTATCTCAGCCTCCTGAGTAGCTGGGACTACAGGTGCAAGCCACCATGCCTGGCTAATTTTTGTATTTTTTGTAGACCCAGGGGGTCTCACCATGTTGCTCGGGCAGGTCTTGAACTCCTGAGCTCAAACGATCCGCCCACCCCAGCTTCCTAAAGTGCTAAGATTACAGGCATGAGCCACAGCACCTGGCCCTGTCTTATTCCTGATCTTAGATGAAAACATTCAGTCTTTCACAACATTAGGTAGGATGTTAGCTGTGGATTTTTCATAGATAGTATTTATCAGGTTAAGAATGTTCCCTTCTATTCCTGGTTTGTTGGGCATTTGTTGTTGTTGTTGTTGTTGTTGTTATTGTTGTTGTGATGGAGTCTTGCTCTGTTGTCCAGGCTGGAGTGCAGTGGCACAATCTTCGCTCACTGCAACCTCTGCCTCCCGGGTTCAAGCAGTTCTCCTGCCTCAGCCTGCTAAGTAGCTGACACTGCAGGCGTGCACCACCATGCCTGGCTAATTTTTGTATTTTTAGTAGAGATGGGGTTTCACCATGTTGGCCAGGCTGGTCTTGAACTCCTGACTTCAGGTGATCCGCCTGCCTCGACCTCCCAAAGTGCTGGGATTTACAGGCATGAGCCACCAGACCCGGCCTACTTAAAATTTTCAAATGAAAATAATTAGTAGCAGTTTACAATTTGTGCATTTTTATCTTTGGCTCACAACTTATAAGCCTCATATATTGTTGTGGGCATGAAAAATGGTACAACCACCTTGGAAAAAGGCCTGACAGTTTCTTATAAAATGAAACATACACCTGTCCTGGAACACAGTTTCAATCCTGGATACTTAGCTAAGAGAAATAAACACATGGGCCCACATCAAGGCCTACAGGGAGGTGATCATAGCATATTTTTTTTTCTTTTTAATTGAGACAGGGTCTCCCTCTTTTGCCCAGGCTGGAGTGCAGTGGCACGATGTTGGCTCACATCAAAGGAGTTTTATTCATAAAAGCCAAAAGTGAAATGGCCCAAGTGTTCATCAACAGGTGAATGGACAAACAACCTATTGTACATTCACACAGGATGATGACAGAAAACAGTTCAGCAACAGAAAGGACTGAATATTGCTGCATGCAGTAACATGAATGAAGCTTAAAAACAGTATGCTAAGTGAAAGAAGCCAGATAAAAACGGATATATGTCATATGTTTCTGTTTATATGAAGTTCTAGAACAGGGAAAGTAACTTACGGTGGGGAAAACATCAGAAGACTGGTTGCCTTTGGAAAAGGTAGAGCAGGGGCAGGACTGACACTGTGACACTGAACAGACAGAGGGAACTTGCAGGAGGGTGGACATGTTCTAAATCTTGATATCTTGATTTGGGTTTCATAGGTTTAGGCATGTGTTAAAACTCATTGAGTGGGCTGGGCGCGGTGGCTCACGCCTGTAATCCCAACGCTTTGAGAGGCTGAGGTGGGCAGATCAGCTGAGGTCAGGAGTTTGAGACCAGTCTGGTCAACATGGTGAAACCCCGTCTCTACTAAAAATACAACAAGTAGCAGGGCATGGTGGCTCATGCCTGTAGTCCCAGCTACTCAGGAGATTGAGGCAGGAGAATTGCTTGAGCCCGAGAGGCAGAGGTTGCAGTAAGCCAAGATTGTGCCACTGCACTCCAGCCTGGGCAGTAGAGTGAGACCCTGTCTCAAAAAAACAAAAAACAAAAACAAAACAAAACAAAACAAAAAAACAAAGAGAAAAAAATTGTAGATTTTACATGAAGAGAATAAATTGTAAAGAAAGCTTGAATTATAGTAATAGACATGCTGATGAGTTTGGAGTGAGGTGTACTGATGTTTGCAATTTATTCCAAAGTACAGTAAAATGTGAGAAGGATTAATATAGATGGATTAGAAGGATAGTTAGACAGGTAGATATGTGATAAAACATGTATAGTAATATGTTAATGTTACCATATGACCCATCCATTCTACTTTTAGCTATATACCAGAGAAAATTGAAAACATATGTTCACATAAAAACGTGTACACAAATGTTGATAGCAGCATTATTCATGATAGTCAAAAAGTGCAAACAACTCAGATGTTCATCAGCTGATAAATGGATGAATCAAATGTCGTATACTCATACGATGGAGTATTATTCACCATAAAAAGGAATGAAGTACTGATACATGCTACAAAAGGAATGAATGTTGAAAACATTATGCTGAGTGAACAAATCAGACAGGAAAGGCAACATATTGTGTAATTCTATTTATATGAAACGTCCAGAATAGACAAATCCATAGAAACAGAAGGTAGATTAGTGGTTGCCAGGGGATGGGAGAAGGGGGGAATTAGGACTAACAGCTAATGGGTAAGAGTTTTCTTTTTGGGGTTATAAAAATGTTTTGAAATTAGTGGTGATGTTTGTACAACATAATGAATATACAGTACTAAAAACTATTGAAGTGTACACTTTAAAATGTTGAATTTTATGTTATGTGAAATATATCTCAATTTTTAAAATACTAGGATCTAGGTGTTGGGTAACAGGGTATTCTTTCAATTTTGTTGGCTGTTTGAAAAATTTTACAATAAAGTGTTAGAAACAATAAGCCATAGAAAAGGGGAAATTGGCTGGGTGCAGTGGCTCAGGCCTGTAATCCCAGCACTTTGGTAGGCCGAGGTGGGTGGATCATGAGGTCAAGAGATCGAGACCATCCTGGCTAACATGGTGAAATCCCATCTCTACTAAAAATACAAAAATTAACTGGGTGTGGTGGCGCACACCTGTAGTCCTAGCTACTCTGGAGGCTGAGGCAGGAGAATCGCTTGAACCTGGGAGGAAGGCGGAGGTTGCAGTGAGCTGAGATCACGCCACTGCACTCCAGCCTGGCGACAGAGTGAGACTGTCTAAAAAAAGAAAAGGGGGTCTGGGCGTGGTGGTTCACGCCTGTAATCCCAGCACTTTGGGAGGCCGAGGCAGGCGGATCACGAAGTCAGGAGATTGACACCATCCTGGCTGACACAGTGAAACCCCATCTCTACTAAAAGTACAAAAAAAAAAAAAATAGCCGGGTGTGGTGACATGCTCCTGTAGTACCAAGTACTTGGGAGGCTGAGGCAGGAGAATGGCTTGAACCTGGGAGGCAGAGGTTGCAGTGAGCTGAGATCGTGCCACTGCACTCCAGCCTGGTGACAGAGTGAGACTCTGTCTCAAATTTAAAAAAAAAAAACAACAACACACACACACACACACACACACACACACACAAAATTAGCTGGGCATGGTGGTGGGCACCTGCAATCCCAGCTACTTGGGAGGCTGAGGCAGGAGAATCGCTTGAACCTGGGAGGTGGAGGTTGCAGTGAGCCGAGATCATGCCCTTGGGCGCCAGCCTGGGCAACAAGAGTGAAACTCCATCTCAAAAAAAAAGAGAGAGAGGTTACGGGACTCAAACTGAGATGCTAAGAGATGAGGATGAGATATTAAACACCTCTCAGTAGGCCAGGTGCAGTGGCTTACATCTGTAATCACAGCAGTTTGGGAGGCTGAGGGGGGCGGATCACCTGAGGTCAGGAGTTCGAGACCAGCCTGGCCAACATGGTGAAATCCCATCTCTACTAAAAAAAAAAAAAAAGAAAAAAACATTAGCTGGGTGTGGTGGCAGGCCACTGTATTCCCAGCTACTTGGGAGGCTGAGGCAGGAGAATCACTTGAAACCAGGAGGTAGAGGTTGCAGTGAGCCGAGACTGTGCCACAGCACTCTAGCCTGGGTGACAGAGTGACACTCCACCTCAAAAAATAAAATAAAATAAACGTATCTCAGTAGATTAGCAGCTGAGGAAGCCATGGAAGGCAAAAGTTAAAAATGTCCTGAAGCTGCTGACTGGGCAGGAAAGATAAACCACTGGTTAGACAGTGGGGAGTGGGGGTGGGAGTTAGAACAGTTGGGTCTGGAAGCCAGTAGTTAAAATGACTAGATGGCTTCAGAGCTAACACTGATGGAGCAGTGTAGAATGTTTTGCTATCTGGTGCAATCTCGGCTCACTGCAGCCTCCGCCTCCGGACTCCAAGCGATTCTCCTGCCTCAGCCTCCTGAGTAGCTGGGATTACAGGCACCCGCCACCATGCCTGGCTCATTTTTGTATTTTTAGTAGAGACGGGGTTTCACCATGTTGGCCAGGCTGTTCTCGAACTCTTAACCTCAAGTGACCCGCCCGCCTTGGCCTCTCAAAGTGCAGGAATTATAGGCGTGAGCCACTGCACCCGGCCTTTTTAAAGTATTTTTAACACAGCATTGCCTGAGGATATTTTGTCATTTATAAAAGGAGAAAGGTCTCTAGGTTAGGGAGATAGTTCAGAGGGATGCACCCCTCAGGTTGGAGGCTGGAATAGTGTACCGGGTTGAGTAGCTTCCCCTAAATTTCTATCTACCCAGAACCTGTGAGTATAACCTTATTTGGAAATAGCGTCTGTGCAGATGTAATCAAACTAAAATGAGGACATACTGGATTAGGGTGGGACCTAATGAGGGGACTGGTATCCTTACAAAAAGAAGGAAATTTGGACACAGACACATGAGGAGAACACCATGTCAAGCATGTTGCCACAAACCAAGAAACACCAAGGACAGAGAAGCATGAGATTATTTTTTTATGGTTACAGCTCAGGCTGGCAGCTCAGTGATTGAGAACCTCTGTGATGGATGTTGGGTCATGACAGACCCAGCAAGATCTACCATTACAACAGGAATCAAGTGTGAATAGGCCAAGCACGGGGCTCATGCCTGTAATCCCAACACTTTGGGAGGCTGAGGCCGGGGTATCACTTGAGCCCAAGAGTTGGAGACCAGCCAACACAGCAAGACCCCATCTCTATCCCCTGCAAAAGAACGAGGAGATGGGAAGACAAGGGGTCAATAAATCTCTCATGGGGTGTGTGTGTGTGTGTGTGTGTGTGTGTGTGTGTGTGTGTGTATGCATATATATATATATATATACATTTTTTTGAGACAGGGTCTCACTCTGTTGCTTAGGCTGGTGTGCAATGGCACAATCATGGCTCACTGTAGCCTCCACCACCTGTGCTCAAACAATCCTCCCACCTTAGCCTCCCAAGTAGCTGTAACCACAGGTGTGCACCACCACACCTGGCTAATTTTTGTGATTTTTTTTGTAGAGACAGGGTTTCGTCATGTTGTCCGGTCTGGTCTTGAAGTCCTGGGCTCAAGTGTTCTGCTCAGCCCATCCTCCCACAGTGCTGGGATAATAGGTATGAACCACCGTGCCCGGCCCCCTCATGGTATGTTGATCATAGGTAAAAGACGGCCATGTTAGGACCAAGTCTCAGGGACCATGATGATGACTCCATGTAGGCTGAAGCAGTAAGTTCTCCCATTTCTGGGACTGTGCCATCCTTGCTACCTGGGTGACAATGGGAATGGAAAAGTAGATGCTCAAACTTGCCGCATGATTGCTTGTAGGTGTCTGGAGGAGGCAGTCTTTTTTTCTTCCTTTTTTTTTGAGGCAGAGTCTTGCTCTGTCACCCAGGCTAGAGTGCAGTGGCGCCATCTTGGCTCACTGCAGAGGAGGCAGTCTTAGATCCGCAGAAGCATGGTGTCCATATGGATGCCTGGGACAGCTGTGGTATCGACAGAGCTGTAAGTCAGGAGACACATGGTTGGGTATCATCATTCAGTATTTTTTTTTTAAGACCAG
Organism: Homo sapiens; assembly: GCF_000001405.40. Taxonomy (NCBI): domain Eukaryota; kingdom Metazoa; phylum Chordata; class Mammalia; order Primates; family Hominidae; genus Homo; species Homo sapiens. Next base: position 97,311,335 of record NC_000010.11, on the reverse strand, counting down.
TCTCACTCTGTCACCCAGGCTGGAATGCAGTGGCTAAGTCATGGCTCACTGCAGCCTCAACCTCCCAGGCTCCAGTGATCCTCCCACCAGTAGCTGGGACTATAGGCACTCACCACCATGCCTGGATAATTTTTGTATTTTTTGTAGAGACAAAGTCTCACCATGTTGCTAGCCTGCAGTATTTTTTTTTAATTCTAGTTTTACTTATTTGAGTAGACACTACAGCCACATAGTTCAAAAGTCAAAAGGCAAACTATACTACATGTGTTGTGTGTCTTTTCAAAGATAGTTTATTTATTTATAGTCTGCCTCCATTTTACACAAGTAGTAGCTATAGCAGAGGCTGCTGTTTGCCTCCCAATAACCACTCTCCTCTTTAATAAACCCCAAATTGTAGCTGTACCAGAACCATAAGAACCCATCTCTATCCCCTGCAAAAGAACAAAGAGATGGGAAGACAAGGGGTCATTTGTCATCTTCTCTTGCAGCCAAATGGGGCCATGTGATTAAGTTCTGGTCAATGAAATATAAGTGGGCTATGTATGTATATAAATATATATATATATTTTTTGAGACAGAGTTTCGCTCTTGTTGCCCAGGCTGGAGTGCAATGGCTCAATCTCGGCTCTCCACAACCTCTGCCTCCCGGGTTCAAGCGATTCTCCTGCCTCAGCCTCCCAAGTAGCTAGGATTACAGGCATGCTGCCACCATGACCGGCTAATTTTGTATTTTTAATAGAGACGGGGTTTCTCCATATTGGTCAGGCTGGTCTCTAACTCCTGACTTCAGATTATCTGCCTGCCTCGGCCTCCCAAAGTGCTGGGATTACAAGCGTGAGCCACCGCGCCTGGCCAAATGGGCCATATTATGTGATACCTTTGGAAAGTAACCCTGTGAGGAAGGGGGCAAGCCTGTCTCTTTTTCTTTTATTTTGTTGCCTGGATCTTTTGAAGGCCCCAGACATGGTCCTGGACTGCCTACCTCTGGATCTTTTTTTTTTGAGATGGAGTTTTTGCTCTCATTGCCCAGGCTGGAGTTCAGTGGCCCGATCTCGGCTCACTGCAACCTCCGCCTCCCAGGTTCCAGCCATTCTCCCACAGGTGCACCACCACACCCAGCTAACTTTTTGTATTTTTAGTAGAGATGAGGTTTCATCATATTGGCCAGGCTGGTCTTCAACACTTGACCTCAGGTGATCTGCCTGCCTTGGCCTCCCAAAGTGCTGGGATTACAGGCGTGAGCCACCGTGCCTGGCCCTGTTTGTTTGTTTTTAAAAACACATTTTTTGCTTTCAGCTTTTGGCTCAGAAGAGGCCAAGGTGCAACTTTCTTTGGTCGTCCTGAATCCAGGTTCATCCAATACCAGCCGCCTCCACCATGCCGCCGAAGTTCGACCCCAACAAGATTAAAGTCGTATACCTGAGGTGCACCGGGGATGAAGTTGGTGCCACTTCTTCACTGGCCCCCAAGATCAGCCCCCTGGTTCTGTCTCTAAAAAAGGTTGGTGATGCCATTGCCAAGGCAACAGGTGACTGGAAAGGCCTGGGGATTACAGTGAAACTGAACATTCAGAACAGACGGGCCCAGATTGAGGTGGTGCCTTCTGCCTCTGCCCTGATCATCAAAGTTCTCAAGGAACCACCAAGAGACAGAAGAAACAGAAACACATTAAACACAGTGGGAATATCACTTTTGATGAGATCATCAACATTGTTTGACAGAGGCGTCACCAATCTTTAGCCAGAGAACTCTCTGGAACCATTGAAGAAATCCTGGGGGACGGGCACGGTGACTCACGCCTGTAATCCCAGCACTTTGGGAGGCCGAGGCGGGCGGATCACGAGGTCAGGAGATTGAGACCATCCTGGCTAACATGGTGAAACCCCATCTCTACTAAAAATACAAAAAAATTAGCCGGGTGTAGCGGCTTGCACCTGTAGTCCCAGCTGCTGGGGAGGCTGAAGGGAGGCTGAGGCAGGAGAATGGCATGAACCTGGGGAGGCGGAGCTTGCAGTGAGCCCAGATCGCACCACTGCACTCCAGCCTGGGTGACAGAGCAAGACTCCGTCTCAAAAAAAAAAAAAAAAAAAAAAAATCCTGGGGACTCCCTAATCTGTGGGCCATAATGTTGATGGTCGCCACCCTCATGACATCACAGATGACATCAACAGTGGTGTTGTGGAATATGCCCAGCTAGTGAAGAAGCACAAAACAAAATATTTCAATAAAGGATCATTTGAACAAAAAAAAAAACAAACTTTTTTTGGCTGGGCGTGGTGACTCACGCCTGTAATCCCAGCACTTTGGGAGGCCGAGGCAGGTGGATCACGAGGTCAGGAGTTCGAGACCAGCCTGACCCACATGGTGAAACCCCATCTGTACTAAAAATGCAAAAATTAGCCAGGCGTGGTGGTGTGCACCTGTAATCCCAGCTACTCAGTAGGCTGAGGCAGGAGAATTGCTTGAACCCGGGAGGCAGAGGTTGTAGTGAGCTGAGATCGTACCACTGCACTCCAGTTTGGGCGACAGAGCGAGACTCTCTCAAAAAAACACAAAAAACACAAAAAACAAACATTTCTAAAAATACAAAAATTAGCCGGGCATGGTGGTGCATGCCTGTAGTCCCAGCTACTCGGGAGGGTGAGACAGGAGAATCACTTGAACCCGGGAGGCGGAGGTTGCAGTGAGCTGAGATTGCGCCACTGCACTCCATCATGGGCAACAGAGCGAGACACCATCTCACACACAGAAAAAAGTATACAACTGAATGGTTTTTAGATATTTACAGAGTTGTGTAACCATAATCTAATTTTAGAACATTTGCATCACTCCTAGAAGAAACTTTGTACCCACTAGCTACATTGGATATTTATTTTATTCCTGGTACCCTGAAAATTGCTTTAAGGATATTATTTCAGTTAGTCTTCCAAAAACCTCTGAATTTGGTATTATTATTCCTTTTCATGGATAAGAAAACCAAGGCCCAGAAATAAGTAAACTTGCCCAGAATTACACATATTTCTAGTGCCAGGCCCAGGATTCAAACTCAGTTTTGATAGATGCCAAAGCCTGCCCTTCTCAAACCACTACCCAGATGCCATAACCCAGCCTCTGGAGTCTGGTCTTTTAGCTCTGCCTTATTATGTTCCTCAAGGCACACTGATTCTTTCTTCAGTGCCTCAGCTGGTGGTTCTATTTCGGTCCTACTGCCCGATGCCCTTAATGTTTTTTTGGCCAGGTTCATGCATCTTGGGTCAGAACCCCGGCCTCTTTCCCTTTAATCCACTCTTCTGACAGATCAACTTCCTAATGCCCAACCCTGCTCAGGTTACCCACGGCCTCCCCTCTGAACAGGTCCACATGGCCTCTGGAGTAAACTCTTCCACTCCTTAACACAGTGTCCAGAACTCTCAGGGGGGCTTGCCCTGGTCCACTCCTCCAACTTTATCTTGTCCTCCACCTCCACATAAACCTTTTGTTCGTGTCAACTGGGCCCTTGCCAGCTTTCAAAAACATCTTACATGTTCCTATCACCCCATGTTTGTTCCTGCTCTTTGTGTAGAGAATGCACTCCCTGAATTCCACCCATCTAAATCTTAGTCCAGCTACAAACCTCCTCATGCAGCTATCTCTGCTCTCACCAAGAGTCAGTGGTTCCTCCCACTCTCCTTCTTCCCACTCTCTTTGGTTCCTCCAAGTGAGCCCTTACCACATACCTCCTTTCTATAGTGAGTTGGGCTGGTCTAGACTGTCAGATCCATGAATCTAGAGGTTAGGTTCCTCTGATTTGCCAGGCCTGTGTCGCTTGCCCACTCCTGTAGCCAGAAATGGGATCAATGCCACTTAAAACACATGGACTGAGGATAAAGGAGCATAAAGGAGCAGAGAACCTCTACAGAGATGCTGCATGCATCAGAACAAAATCCTATGTCCAATATAGGCAGGATGTGTTTTTTCCATAAGATCTAAATAATCTCATTGTTTCTATGCATTTTTTTTTTTTTTTTGAGACAGAATCTGGTTCTGTAGCCCAGGCTGGAGTGCAGTGGTGTGATCTCGGCTCACTGCAACCTCTGCCTCCCGGGTTCATGCAATTCTCCTGCCTCACCCTCCCAAGTAGCTGGAACTACAGGCACCTGCCACTACGCCTGGCAAATTGTATTTTTAGTAGATATGGGGTTTCACCATATTGGCCAGGCTGGTCTTGAACTCCTGACCTTGTGATCTGCCCGCATCAGCCTCCCAAAGTGCTGGGATTACAGGCATGAACCACCGCGCCCGGCCAGGAATCTTTGGTTTGATTCATTTGTTCCTTTATTCATTCAACAAATAGTTGGCTAAGTAAAGCCAAATGTGTCACTTGACCAGCCTTAAAATAAAAAAGATCCTTTTTTTTTTTTTGAGATGAAGTTTCGCTCTTGTTGCCCAGGCTGGAGTACAATGGCGCGATCTCAGCTCACCACCACCTCTGCCTCCCGGGTTCAAGCAATTCTCCTGTCTCAGCTTCTCAGGTAGCTGGGATTCCAGGCTCATGCCACCACGCCCGGCTAATTTTTGTATATTTAGTAGAGATGGCACATTGGTCAGGCTGGTTTCTAACTCCTGACCTCAGGTGATCTGCCCACCTTGGCCCCCCAAAGTCCTGGGATTACAGGCGGGAGCCACTGTGCCTGGCCGAAAGATTCTTAAGTCATGAAGCTACACTCCAGTAGAAGACAACACCACTCAAGCAATCATATAAACACATCTAGAAATGCAGCAAATGTGAAATGGCAGCCTGGGACAGAGTTCTTGAGTTCTCCAGAAGTTGTTTAGGTTTCCTAATCAAAATGATTATGTGGAATTATGTTAACTGGGCAACAAGCATTTTCTTTCACAATTGGAAGCGGTCCTTATTCCAGGCCGGGGGTGGTGGCTCACGCCTGTAATCCCAACACTTTGGGAGGCTGAGGCTGGTGGATCACCCGAGGTCAGGAGTTTGAGACCAGCCTGACCAACATGGTGAAACTCCATCTCTACTAAAAATATAAAAATTAGCCAGGCATGGTGGCAAGTGCCTGTAATCTCAGCTACTTGGGAGGCTGAGGCAGGAGGATCCCTTGAGCCCAGGAGGTGGAGGTTGCAGTGAGCCAAGATTGTGCTACTGCACTCCAGCCTTGGGGACAGAGTGAGACTCCATCTCAAAATAAATAAATAAATAAACAAATAAATTCACATATTTCAGAAGAGGTAGTTTTGTATTTAATTCACATTAAAGTGTAAGTGAATGAACAAAAGCAGCTCTTTTGATAACTCTGAAAGAAGGTAAGTCCTATGGATGGGAATGACTAGATCCCTGGATGGGGATGTGTAAGCCTAAGGAGCTGAAGGACAATTTCCTTTATTTCTGATTTTTTTTTTTTTTTTTTTTTTTTAGACAGGGTTTCACTCCTGTCACCCAGGCTGGAGTGCAATGGTGTGATCTCAGCTCACTAAAACCTCCACCTCCACGGCTCAAGCAATTCTCCTGCCTCAGCCTTGAGAGTAGCTGGTACTGCAGGTGCAAGCCATAGCACCCAGCTAGGTTTTGCACTTTTTTTGGCTGGACGTAGCGGCTCCCGCCTGTAATCCCAGCACTTTGGGAGGCCGAGGTGGGCAGATCACCTGAGCTCAAGAGTTCGAAACCAGCCTGGCCAACATGGTGAAACCCCGTCTCCATTAAAAATACAAAAATTAGGCCAGGGGTGTTGGCTCATGCCTGTAATCCCAACACTTTGGGAGGCCGAGGCTGGCAGATCACGAGGTCAGGAGATCGAGACCATCCTGGCTAACATGGTGAAACTCCGTCTCTACTAAAAATACAAAAAATTAGCCGGTGTGGTGGTGGGCGCCTGTAGTCCCAGCTACTTGGGAGGCTGAGGCAGGAGAATCGCTTTGAACTTGGGAGGCGGAGGTTGCAGTGAGCTGAGATCTCGCCACTGCACTCCAGCCTGGGCAACAGAGCGAGACTCCATCTCAAAAAAAAAAACACCCACATAAATTAGGCCCAGCGCAATGGCTCATGACTGATTGCCTGAGGCGGGCAGATTGCCTGAGGTCAGGAGTTCAAAACCAGCCTGGGCCACATGGTGAAACCCCATCTCTTTTTTTTTTTTTTTGAGACAAAGTCTTGTTCTGTTGCCCAGGCTGGAATGCAGTGGCGCCATCTCAGCTCACTGCAAGCTCCACCTCCCGGGTTCATGCCATTCTCCTGCCTCAGCCTCCCGAGTAGCTGGGACTACAGGTGCCCGCCACCATGCCCAGCTAATTTTTTGTATTTTTTAGTAGAGATGGGGTTTCACTGTGTTAGCCAGGATGGTCTCGATCTCCTGACCTTGTGATCTGCCCGACTCACTGGGATTACAGGTGTGAGCCACCACGCCAGGCCGGTGAAGCCCCATCTCTACTAAAAATACAAAAAATTAGCTGGGTGTGGTGGTGCACTCCTGTAATCTCAGCTACTCAGGAGACTGAGGCATGAGAATTGCTTGAACCCAGGAGGTGGAAGTTGCAGTGAACTGAGATCGTGCCACTGCACTCCAGCCTGAGTGACAGAGCAAGACTCTGTCTCAAAAAAGAAAAAAGAAAAATGAAATAAATAAATAAAAATTCTGTTTTTTGTAGAGACAGGGTTTGCCATGTTGCCCAGGCTGGTCTTGAACTCCTGAGCTCAAGTGATCCACCTGCCTCGGCCTCCCAAAGTGCTGGGATTACAGGTGTGAACCACCATGCCTGGCCTTACTTTCTGATTTTGAATGGGGGAATCTTTGAAGCTGACTCTGAAGCCTCCATATCTAGAGGACAGAGAGGTGGGGAAATATTAGTGCCTTTCCTGACCTTCATCCTACTTCCTAATCACTATAGAGACTTTATGTGCAAAATTTCTCTTCATACCAAAACAAACTCCATGAAAATGGGTTACAGTGGTAGGAAAAAGGGATCTGTGCATCAGTTCACAAGACCATGGAGGCAACATCCAACGTAGTGGGCTCACAATGTACTGGCTTGCTCTTGACTATCACAAATGTGTTACTGCTTTGAAACTTCCCACCAGCCCCTGTGGCCTTCTGACCTGAGGCCTGGGTTAGGGTCTTAGTTTGTTCTCTGTTGCTTATAGCAGAGTTCCTGAAACCGGGTAATTTATAAAGAAAATAAATTTATTTCTTACAATTATGGAGGCTGAGAAGTTCAAGGTCAAGGGGCTGCATCTGGTGGGAGCCTTCTTGCTGATGGAGACTCTGTGAAGAGTCCCAAGATGGTACAGGGCATTACATGGCAAGGAGGCTGAGTGTGCTAGCTCAGGTCTCTCTTCCTCCTCTTTCTTTTTTTTGAGACGGAGTCTCGCTCTGTCATCCAGGCTGGAGTGTAGTGACGCGATCTCGGCTCACTGCAAACTCCGCCTCCCGGGTTCACACCATTCTCCTGCCTCAGCCTCCCGAGTGGCTGGGACCACAGGTGCCTGCCACCACGCCCGGCTAATTTTTTGTATTTTTAGTAGAGATGGGGTTTCACCTCTTAGCCAGGATGGTCTCGATCTCCTGACCTCGTGATCTGCCCGCCTCGGCCTCCCAAAGTGCTGGGATTACAGGCGTGAGCCACCACACCCGGCCTTTTTTTTTTTTAGACAGAGTTTTGCTCTTGTTGCCCAGGCTAGAGTGGAATGGCATGATCTCAGCTCACTGCAACCTCTGCCTCCCAGGTTCAAGCGATTCTCCTGCCTCAGCCTCCCGGGTAGCTGGGATTACAGGCACCCACCAGTACACCTGGCTAATTTTTGTATTTTTAGCAGAGACAGGGTTTCACCATATTGGCCAGGCTGGTCTCAAACTCCTGACCTCAGGTAATCAACCCGCCTCCACCTCCCAAAGTGCTGGGATTACAGGCGTGAACCACTATGCCCGGCCTCTCTTCCTCTTCTTGTAAAGCCACCAGCTTGGCCTGGTGCGGTGGCTTCATGCCTGTAATCCCAGCACTTTGGGAGGCCAAGGTGGGAGGATCATTTGAGGACATGAGTTCAAGACCAGCCTGGGCAAGAAAGCAAGATGTGTCTCTACCAAAAAAAAAAAAAGAAAAAATTAGCTGGGCATGGTGGTGCGTGCCTGTAGTCCCAGCTACTTGGGAGGCTGAAGTGGGAGAGTTGCTTGAGCCCAGGTTGAGAGTGTAGTGAGCCATAATTGCACCATTGCACTCCAGCCTGGGTGACAGAATGGGACCCCATCTCAAAATAAATAAATAACTAAATAAAAATAAATAAATAAAGTCACCAGTTCTCCTCCCGTGACAACCCACTAATCTATTAACCCATTCATTCATTAATCTGTGAATGGATTAATACATTCATGAAGGACCCACCTCTCCATATTGCCACATTGAGGATTAAGTTTCAACATTAGTTTTTTTTCTTTTGAGGTGGAGACTCACTCTGTCACCCAGGCTGGAGTACAGTGGAGTGATCTTGGCTCAGTGCAACCTTCACCTCCCGGGTTGAAGCAATTCTCCTGCCTCAGACTCCCAGGTAGTTGGGACTACAGGCACGCACCACCATGCCCAACTAATCTTTTTCCTTTTTTTTGTATTTTTAGTAGAGGCGGGGTTTCACTCTGTTGGCCAGGCTGTTCTAGAACTCCTGACCTCAGGTGATCCGCCCTTTCGGCTTCCCAGAGGGCAAGGATTACAGGAGTGAGCCACTGCACCTGGCCAACATGAGTTTTAAATTGGACATTCAAACCACAGCAGCCAGAGAGATTTCAAATGTTTGGTGTGTTTGCAGGCTTTCGCGCTCACCCTGTCAGGCTCAGGGTCACCCATGCCACCCACGTCACCCAGGCCCTCAGACCTGGTCCCCATGCCAGGCCTGTCTTCTGGGAGTATCTTCTTGCTTTTGGAAAGTTCAGTCCTTTGCTCTGTTGTGGCCCAGATGGCATAGCACCCTTGCCCTCGGGCCCCAGTCTGCAAGCCTCCTGAGCGTAGGATCCACGACTCCTTCTCCATAGCCCCAACACTGAGCTCAGTGCCTGAGGTGGCCGAGTCCCCATCACAATGCTCTGTGACTGCTTGTGCTTTCAGCCCTCTCTGCTAGCTTCCTACCAGTGACCTTTCCCAGCTTGTAGTTCTCCTGGCTGGGGAAAGTGACCTCCAGAGTTTTTATCCTGGAGTTCCAGCACTGAATGTTTTTAGCAGCACAGAGTTGGTTCTTCTTCCCTCACCTCACTGAGTCCCCTTTCCCACTCTCTGGTCCCGTGGTCAGTCTTGAAGAGCATTCCACAGCAAAGCTGAAGACGGTTTTCTTTTTTTCTGCATATGGAATGATGTAGATGCTAGAGTCTTTGGTGTGTCCGAAGAAGACTGAGGCATTAAGTTTTTTGTTTTTGTTTTTGTTTTTTTTTTTGAGGTAGAGTTTTGCTCTTGTTGCCCAGGCTGGAGTGCAGTGGTGCAATCTCGACTCGACTCACTGCAACCTCTGCCTCCTGGGTTCAAATGATTCTCCTGCCTCAGCCTCCAAAGTAGCTGGGATTACAGGCATCCGCCACCACTTCCGGCTAAATTTTTGTATTTTTAGTAGAGATGGTGTTTCACCATGTTTGCCAGGCTGGTCTCGAACTCCTGACCTCAGGTGATCCACCCGTGTGGCATTAAGTTTTGCCCCAGCCCTGAATAAACATGTGGTTGTGTACACAAAGAGACGTGGGAGGCAAAAAATTGAGAATGATTTGTAGGAAATGTGTGTCCCTTAATTATTCCCCCCTTTGGGAGTTTTCTCCACAGGGAGAATTCTAGTGGGAGGCAAGGCTCTTCTCCCAGCAGACAGTGGAGGCATGAGACCTAGGCTTGGCCTGCCAGACATTCTCACTCAAGACTCTGTCTTTCCAGGGAGTGACAAGCCCACAAGGATAAATGGGCACTCGGTGGAGGGGAGCCTGCTGCAGTGGACAGGTCTGGATGGCGTGACCTCAGCTGGGTTTCCTGCTCTCTAACCCCTTTTCTTCCAGGCAGTTCTTCAGTCTAGTTTCCTTCCAACAAATCCAGTTTCTGTTTCTGTTAGGTAAGTCCATTTTCAGTGCTTGCAACTCTGCCTGACATATACATAAAAGTTCAATTAGAGGGGATGGTTTAAATAAATGCAGAAACATCTACAGTGTGGAATACCATGCAGCGGTTCAAAAAAGTAATGGCAGAACTATGCACATAGATGTGGAAAGATCTCCATAATACATGTCTAAGGACAGTACAGTATATCACTCTTTATTTAAAAATTAAAACAAAGTTATGTATGTCTTTTTTTTTTTTTTTGAGATGGAGTGTCACTCTGTTGCCCAGGCTGGAGTGAAATGGCGTGATCTTGGCTCACTGCAACCTCTGCCTCCTGGGTTCAAGCGATTCTCCCTGCCTTAGCTTCCCAAGTAGGTGGGATTACAGATATGTGCCACCACGCCTGGTTAATTTTTGTATTTTTAGTAGAGACAGGGTTTCGCCATGTTGGTCAGGCTGGTCTCAAACTCCTGACCTCAGGTGATCTGTCCGCCTCAGTCTCCCAAAGTGCTGGGATTACAGGCATGAGCCACCATACCCAGACAAAATTATGTATTTCTCTGTGCATGTGTGTGCTACCATTATAGTGAAATGCTGAAAAAGAAGGACTTTATTTGTTCATACCTATATTCCCAGGCCTAGAACAGTGTGTGGCACATAGTAGACACTCAATAAATATTTGTCGAATTAAAATATTATATAGAAAAAGATCTGGAAGGACACATATAAAACTGAAAATAATGGTTTCTTAGAGGGACCAGAATGTAGACAAGGGTAAAGCCGGGCGCGGTGGCTCAAACCTGTAATCCCAGCACTTTGGGAGGCCAAGGCAGGCGGATCACAAAATCAAGAGTTCGAGACCAGTCTGGCCAATATGGTGAAACTCTGTCTCTACTAAAAATACAAAAATTAGCCGGGCGTGGTGGCGGGCACCTGTAATCCCAGCTACTTGGGGAGGCTGAGGCATGAGAATCCCTTAACCTGGGAGGCGGAGGTTGTAGTGAGCCCAGATCGTGCCACTGCACTCCAGCCTGGACGACAGAGCAAGGCTCCGTCTCAAAAAAAAAAAAAAAAAAAAAAAAAAAAGAAGAATGTAGACAAGGGTAAATTTTTATTCATATTACTTGAGTTTTTTTAATAATGAAAATATCTTTCTGTATTACTTGTGTAATTAAACAATAAAAAAAGAAGAGCACTAAATATTAACAGGTGGCTGGATGTGGTGGCTCATGCCTGTAATCCTAACACTTTGGGAGGTCAAGGTGGGAGGATCACTTGAAGACAGGAGTTTGAGACCAGCCTGGGCAACATAGTGAGACCCTGTCTGTAGAAAAAAAAAGAAATATTAACAGGTGAAAAGAAAGCCATTAAAATGGTAATTTCAAAGATGGTTTTATAACGAATACAAGTTAGGGAGAAAAGAAAGAAGGCAACTGGTATTCCAGGTAACTACATGATATTTTGGTGGGAGTGTTGGCTATTTTGACAAGAGAACAAACACAATCACATTTTAGATTTTCTTTCTTTCTTTTATTTATTTTTTTTGAGATGGAGTATCGCTCTGTTGCCCAGGCTGGAGTGCAATGGCGTGATCTTGGCTCACTGCAACCTCCGTCTCCCGGGTTCAAGTGATTCTCCTTTCTCAGCCTCCCGAGTAGCTGGGATTACAGACGCCTGCCATCATGCCCAGCTAATTTTTGTATTTTTTTTTTTTTAGTAGAGACAGGGTTTCACCATGTTGGCCAGGCTGGTCTTGAACTCCTGACTTCGTGATCCGCCCACCTCGGCCTCCCAAAGTGCTGGCATGAGCCACCGCGCCCAGCCTAAATTTTCTTTTCTTTTTTTTTTTTGAGACAGAGTCTTGCTCTGTCACCCAGGCTGGAGTGCAGTGGCGCGATCTCGGCTCACTGCAAGCTCCACCTCCCGGGTTCACGCCATTCTCCTGCCTCAGCCTCTCGAGTAGCTGGGACTACAGGCACCCGCCACTACGCCCGGCTAATTTTTTGTGTTTTAGTAGAGACGGGGTTTCACCGTGTTAGCCAGGATGGTCTCGATCTCCTGACCTCGTGATCCGCCCGCCTTGGCCTCCAAAAGTGCTGGGATTACAGGCGTGAGCCACCGTGCCCGGCCTAGATTTTCGTTTTTTAAAAGATATTCAGTAGGCACCCTCACCCCATCCCTAACAAGATTAGAAACCGATGCAAGGCTCAGAAATGCTTATTGTGCACATGATGCTTTTGTATTTTGATGTGGGCATCAAAATGTCCTGCTTTAGGCCCAGCTAGGTGGCTCATGCCCATAATCCCAACACTTTGGGAAGCCAAGTCGGGCGGATCACTTGAGGTCAGGAGTTCAAGACCAGCCTGGCCAACATGGTAAAACCCTGTCTCTACTAAAAATACAAAAATTAGCCAGGCGTGGTGGTGCGCACTCATAGTCCCAGCTACTAGGGAGGCTGAGGCAGGAGAATCGCCTGAACCTGAAAGGCAGAGGTTGCAGCACAGTGACCTGAGATCGCACCACTGTAGTCCAGCCAGGGCGACAGAGCAAGACTTCATCTCAAAAAAAAAAAAAAAAGTCTTGCTTTAATTTAAACAGAGGGCAGAGCTAGAACAAAAGTATAAAACACAAAGATGCATCAAGGTCTGCGAGTCATCTGCACTGTTGAAGGGTGAAGTTAGAGGTGGGGTCGGGAGCACATCTTCATTTTCTTCCTTTTCCAACATGTTCCTTTGTTGACTTCCTTCCCAGCTTTCCTCCCTCCCTTTTTCCCTGCCATGGAGGCTAGGGCCTGGAAAAACAAAGATGATTAGAACACCACTTCTGCCCCCAAAGCTCGCAGTCTTGTGGGGTAGGTAGATGGATTTGTAGTGACATCCATGGCCGACTCAAGTCCTAGGGCTTGCTCCTAAACCCTCCTGACAGTCTTGGCCTCTTCCCTTCTCCACACTTCTGAATTCCTAGAGTCTGTTCCCTACTTTGATATTTAGCCCCCACCCAGCCCCCGTAATTCTAAACTATCTTCTGTGGTGTGTGACTTATATGTGTTCATTTTGTCTCCCTGAGTCTACTGTAAACTATTTGAGGGCTGGGGCCACCTTTCTGTGACCTTTTGTTCAACTAGACTGTTGAAAACAAGATAACTTTCTGAACTGTCTTGAATTCCTGCTGTACACACTTATCACCAGGCTGACACTCTGTACCTAGATAGAGTAAGGATGACTTCAGGGAAGTCATGATACCCCTGCAGAAATAAAGGTGTGTGGGCTTGTCAGCTGAGTTTGTGTTTTTACAGCACTCAGCAATGATATTTGCTTTTAATCAGAAGTCACAGCAGAACAGTTGGTTTTGAGGAGAAACACTTCTCTCTCCAGAGTAACTGATTAAACTGTAACCGTGATGTAATGTGTAGTCCTTATCACACAGCCATGGAGATAGATGTGTTATCCGAGAAGGGAGAGAAGGGAGTCTAGCATTCTTTTATTTCTTTATTTATTTTAGAGACAGGGTCTTACTATGTTGCCCAGGCTGGAGTGCAGTGGCTATCCACAGGCACAATTGTGCTACTGATCAGCATACGGTTTTTGTTTGTTTTGAGACAGAGTCTCACTGTGTCGGCCAGGCTGGAGTGCAGTGTCGCAATCTCAGCTCACTGCAACCTCCGCCTCCCAGGTTCAAGCGGTTCTCCTGCCTCAGCCTCCCGATGGAGGCTAATTTTTTGTATTTTTAGTAGAGACGGGGTTTCGCCATGTTGGTCAGGCTGGTCTCGTGAGCTACTGTGCCCAGCCAGCATGGGGTTTTTGATATACTCTGCTTCCAACCTAGGCTGTATCACCCCTCCTTAGTCAACCTGGTGGCCCCCACTCCTGGGAGGTCACCACATTGATGCCACACTTAGTGCAGACACCCCATAGGCATAGTGCATTGTAATACAGAACTCCTGGGCTCAAGCAATCCTCCCGCCTCAGCAGTAGCTGGGACTACAGGTGCATGCCCAGCAAGTTTAGCGTTCTTTTAGCATTCTTTTTTTTTTTTTTTTTTTTTTTGAGACAGAGTCTTGCCCTGTTGCCCAGGTTGGAGTGCAATTCTCAGCTCACTGCAACCTCTGCCTCCCGGGTTCAAGTGATTCTCCTGCCTCAGCCTCCTGAGTAGCTGGGATTACAGGCGCGTGACACCATGCTAATTTTTTTGTATCTTTAGTAGAGACAGGGATTTCACCATGTTGGCCAGGCTGGTCTTGAACTCCTGACCTTATGATCCACCTGCCTCAGCCTCCCAAAGTGCTGAGATTACCAGCGTGTGCCACTGCGCCTGGCCGAGTTTAGCATTCTTAATATTCATCATGTCGTCTCCAACATTGATCTAATCTTAGTATGTTCTAGACACTGTGCTACTAAGCAGCTTTTCAGAAATTATCTTTTTTTTTTTTTTTTTTTTTGGGACGGAGTTTCGCTCTTGTTGCCCAGGCTGGAGTGCAATGGCGCGATCTCGGCTCACCACAACCTCTGCCTTACGGGTTCAAGCGATTCTCCTGCCTCCGCCTCCCAAGTAGCTGGGATTACAGGCATGTGCCACCATACCTGGCTAATTTTGTATTTTTAGTAGAGACGGGGTTTCTCCATGTTAATCAGGCTGGTCTCTAACTCCCGACCTCAGGTGATCCGCCCGCCTCGGCCTCCCAAAGTGCTGGGATTACAGGCATGAGCCACTGCGCCCAGTCTCAGAAATTATCTTATTTTACTCTTCACCATACCCTTGTGAGACTTATTATCCTCATTTTACAGAAGAGGAAATGGAATCAGAAAGCTAAGTAACTTATCCAGGGTCACATAGCTAGGAGCTCTGGAGCCAGGATTTGAACTTGGGTTTATTAACTCCAGAGCCCATGTAACTACTGTGCTGTATTTTCCCAAACATTATATAAACATGTGATTTGGCCAGGTGTGGTGGCTCATGCCTGTAATCCCAGCACTTTGGGAGGCCGAGGTGGGTGGATCACCTGAGGTCAGGAGTTCGAGAGCAGACTGGCCAATATGGCAAAACCCTGTCTCTACTATAAATACAAAAACTAGCCGGGTGTGGTGGTGGGTGCTTGTAGTCCCAGCTACTCGGGAGGCTGAGGCAGGAGAATTGCTTGAACCTGGGAGGCGGAGGTTGCAGTGATCCGAGATCATGCCACTGCACTCTTGCCTGGGTGACAGAGTGAGACTCTGTCTCAAAAAAAAAAAAAAGGTGCGATTCTTCATTAAAAAAAATGAACCAGAAATATAGTTTTGTGGCGTTCCTCCTAGTTGCAGTGGTAATACTTTAAAGTTTTGAACAGTTTTTCTTTTGTGAAAGCATCAATTTCATTCAATCCATCAGTCCATGTGCTGGGTGTCATGGGGCTAGAAACAAAACTAGTTCTTATTTTGAGGGAAGGGCAGAATTTGAGCCTTGGGTTCCTTGCTTTGTATATATAGCAATTAACACAACCTGGATTTTCTTTTCTTTCTTTCTTTTTTTTTTTTTTTGAGACATAGCCTCAACCTATTGCCCAGGCTGGAGTGTAGTTGCACGATCTCGGCTCGCTGCAACCTCCATCTCCTGGGTTCAAGTGATTCTCCTCCATCAGCCTCCCGAGTAGCTGGGATTATAGGTGTGTGGCAACACGCCCGGCTAATTTTTGTATTTTTAGTAGAGACAGGGTTTCACCATGTTGCCAGGCTAGTCTGGAACTCCTGACCTCGGGTGATCCACCCGCCTCAGCCTCCCAAAGTGCTGAGATTACAGGTGCGAGCCACCTCGCCTGGCCTTTTTTTCTCTTTTCTTTTCTTTTTGAGACAGTCTCACTCTGTTGCCGAGGCTGGAGTGCAGTGGCACATGATCTTGGCTCACTGTAACCTCCACTTCCTGGTTTCAAGCGATTCTCCTGCCTCAGCCTCCTGAGTAGCTGGGATTACAGGTGTGTGCCACCATGCCCGGCTATTTTTTTGTATTTTTAGTAGAGATGGGATTTCACCATTTTGGTCAGGCTGGTCTTGAACTCCTGACCTCAAGTGATCTACCTGCCTCGACCTCCCAAAGTGCTGGGATTACAGGCGTGAGCCATCACACTTGGCTTCTTTTTCTTTTTTTGTTTTTTGTTTTTTGTTTTTTTGAGACAGGGTCTTGCTCTGTCAGGGTGGAGTGCAGTGGCATGAACATGGCTTGCTGTAGTCTCAATCTCCTGGGCTCAAGTGATCCCAGCCTGGATTTTCTAAGGCTGTCTGAGGTTCAATGAAAAATTTCACTGATACGTTTGCTAAATTTTATGTTTCTTTCCATGTATTTGCTCAATAAACATGATTTGTTAAACATCAAACTAAATAAGACTGGGCATGGTGGCTCACACCTGTAGTCCCAGCACTTTGGGAAGCCTAGGTGGGTAGATCACTTGAGTTCAGGAGTTCGAGACCAGTCTGGCCAACGTGGCAAAACCCATCTCTACTCAAATACAAAAATTAGCCAGATGTGGTGGCACACACCTGTAATCCCAGCTACTTGAGTGTCTGAGGCTGGAGAATTGCTTGAACTCGGGAGGCAGAGGTTGCAGTGAGTGGAGACCATGCCACTACACTCCATCCTAGGCAACAGAGTGAGACTCTGTTTCAAACAAAAAACATAAAAAACATCAAACTAAATGCAATTTTATTTGGACACATTTATCAAACTTTTATTTTCTTTTTTAGAGAAAGGGTCTCATTCTGTCGCACAGCCTGGAGTTCAGTGGCACAATCATAGCTCACTTTAACCTTGAACTCCTGGGCCCAGGTGATCCTCCTGCCTCAGCCTCCAAAAGTGATGGGATTATGGGTGTAGGCCACTGTGCCTAGCCCTTATCAAACTTTTAGTATTAATTCATCAATTGAAAAAAATCTATTAGAGTATATGATTTGATTTTTTATTTGGATATAATAGTTTGAGGACTTGCTTATATTTTTCAAAAATATTTATTGGACAGCCATTATGTGCCAGAAACTGTGGGGAGCAAAATAAATATAGTCTCTGCCCACTTGTGGCAGGAAGCCTAGCTGGGAACCCTCACATGAAATAAATAGTCACACAAATGACTATGTAATTGTGAGTTGTGATATGAACTGTGAAAGAATAGTACAGAGTTCTTTGTGAAAGTTTACTGAGGGAATTGATTTATACAATGGGGGTCATGGAAGATCTTTGAGCCAGTGACATTTAAGCTTCGACCTGAAAGCCAAAAAAGTGGAAAAATGGACGAGCCAGAAAAAGCAACATGTGCAAAAGCCCTAAGACAGTTCAGAAAGTGAAGCATGTGCAGTACAGTTTAGTAAAAAGGAGGCAGAGTGCAGGGAGAGCCCCAGGTGGCAGGATATCAGAAGGATCAATACAGAAATTCCCGAGAAAAGTCCAGCATAGGAAAACAATATGGAAAAACAAAAAACAACAATGCTCAAAATTTACAATGTTCTCACATATGTTGCCTCAGTTAATCCCTAGGAGAAGTGTGTGCCGCAGGGAGGACAAGGATAATTATGGTTATTCCTACCATTGAGGATTAAAGTTTAGTTTGGGACAAAGTCATGCAGCTTTTGGTTCCATGGTTCATATCACAAGGCAAACTCTGTGGGTTCTCTGGGAAGTTGGAAGGGAGTGAATGTATTGAAGCAGAAATGACCGACTCCAGCCTGGCCAACAGGGTGAAACCCCATCTCTACAAAAAGTACAAAAATTTGCCCTGTGTGTTGGTATGCTGCAATATTGTACTGTGCTCCAGCATGGGAGACAGAGGGAGACCTTATCTCAAAAAAAAAAAAAAAAGAAAGAAATAAAGGAAGAAAGAAATGACCTATGGCTAGGGCTATGCTGAGTATCTGAAGAAAGAAGGCTTTGAACTATACGTTTAAAAGCAAGTACTTCTAGGTTGCCACTCCCTGCCTGCACTTGAGGGATTTATCTCTGGGTCAAGACAGAGAACGAGTCTTGCATTAAATTACATTAAATTAAATGAATTAATTTATGGCTGGGTGCAGTGCCTCATGCCTGTAATCCCAGCACTTTGGGAGGCTGACATAGGAGGATTGCTTGAGCTCAGGGGTTCGAGACCAGCCTGGGCAACATGGTGAAACCCTGTCTCAACAGAAAAAAAAAATTAAAAAAATTGTAAAAAAAAATTATTTATTTTCAACTTTTATTTTAAATTTAGGGGGTACATGAGTTGGTTTGTTATCTGGGTATATTGTGTGATGCTGAGATATAGGGTACGGAGTCTTGCATTTTAGAAAGTGATGAGTCACTTTCAAAGTTGACAGTTCTATAATTCCCTGATTTACATATCAGGACAAAATTTGAGCATAGGCTGGTGATTTCTGACTTGAACCTAAAGGTCTGTGGAATCGGAAGGGTTCATCAAAATGAGAAACTACAACTCCCGGCAGGCCTCGGGGCTGGGTCTTCTTCCCCGCCCCTCCCTCTTTTTCCGCCAGGGCTGGGAACGACCAATGACGGTTAGTCATTTGAATAGACCAATAATATATTAAACGGTTCAGGTTGAGGAGGGGCGGTCGAGTCATCCAATCGCACGGAAGAGGTGAAAACATATTAGCCAATCCAAATATGTGGGGGCGGGACGTAAGGTGGGGCGGTGAAAGAAGTTTGCTGACGAAGATGGCGACTGAGGCACAGAGTGAAGGGGAGGTGCCAGCCCGCGAATCCGGCCGGAGGTGAGCTGAGTTTGGTCCAGTTTCCTGGGAAACGCGGCCTTGGGCTGGTAGTCCTGCCGCCTTTGCCTTGGGTCACGGAGGCGCACGGTTCGGGCTTTGTTTCTTTCTCCCACGGCGTTTCTCATCGTCGCGCCTGCGGGGGCTGAGGCGCGGGGGTCGGGCCTGGGCGCTGGACTCCAGCCAAACCCCCCGCTCGGTCCTGCCGGTGCCCGAGGGGGCTCCTCCCGCTGCGCTGGCTGCAGACGTCCAGCTGGGGGTGGCAGCGCTGATCGCTTTGGCGCCGAGACACCTCTTGATGGCGAGGAAACGGAAGTCCAGGGCTGGTTAGCGAATTCCTCACTGTTGCACACAGCGCTTCACATCTTCTCCGAGGCACTTTGTGCGTTCAGGTCCGAGCAAGGATTTGAGTGTCAATTAGAAACAGTGTTGAGTCCTTGGGCCAGTTTTTAAACCTCTCTCGACTTCAGTTTCTTCATCTGCAAAGGGACGTGAGGATGCCTATTTCCAAGTGTCAAGATTGAATAAGACAATCCATTTAAAGCTAGCACTGAGTTTAGCCGATAATGACAACTCTACGCAATAGATTTTCTTCTTCCTAGTAGAACAGCTAAGGAGCAGATGGGAGAGGGATCTGTAGTCCAGGACATCATGACTTTATTTCCACAGGATGTTCTTTCCTAAACAGCCACACCGAGATTTAGCGTTTTCAGGAGAGAATTTCGAGGTGGTGTTGCCTTAGCCTTGAGACCTAAGTTGTCTTAATTGATTACAATTTTGTTTTTGGTGTAATTCAATAGATTGAGTTTATTTACGTTGCCTCAGTGTAACTCAGTAAAATACTTCGGTTTGGCGTCTTTTGGTTCCATTTGTACCGAATAAGAGATTCCAAGAATCTTGGGAAACTAATAACTTTGTGACTCGGCTTCTTCCTGAGCCCAGATGAGCGTGGTTGAGTGTGTTATTTAAAATATCATACGGGGCCGGGCATGGTGGCTTACGCCTGTAATCCCAGCACTTTGGGAAGCCGAGGGGAGCGGATCACCTGAGATCAGGAGTTCGAGACCAGCCTGGCGAACATGATGAAAGCCCGTCTCTACTAAAAATACAATAATTAGCCGGGTGTGGTGGCGGGCGCCTGTAGTCCCAGCTACTCAGGAGGTTGAGGCGGAGGTTGCAGTGAGCCCAGATGCGCCATTGCATTCCACCCTGGGTGACAGAGCAAGACTATGTCTCAAATAAATAAATAAAATAAAATATGATATGGAAGAGTTTTCCACTCTTTTTTGTTTTGTTTTGTTTTTGTTTTGCAGTTGCAAGATTTCATAGAGTGAAATAGAGTGAAAACACAGCTCCCACACAAAGGGAGGGGACCCAAAGTGGGTGGCCGTTGCTGGCTCTAATGCCTGGGTTTATATCCTGATCCTTGTCCCTCCCGCTGTGCTCTCAGGCAAGAGATGATTGGCTATTTCTTTACCTCCTGTTTTTGCCTAATTAGCATTTTAGTGAGCTCTCTGATTGGTTGGGTGTGAGCTAAGTTGCAAGCCCCGTGTTTAAAGGTGGATGCGGTCACATTCCCAGCTAGGCTCAGGGATTCTTAGTTGGCCTAGGAAATCCAGCTAGTCCTGTCTCTCAGTCCCCCTTCTCAACAGGAAAACCCAAGTGCTGTTGGGGAGATTGGCCGATGACCGCCCTAACTGCTTCCTGCTGAATTGGGGCGTAGTAGGGGTTGTGCAGTTGAGATTTCCTCGGGAGGGTTGCCTTCGATGTCATTAACATCGGAGCATGGGCTAGCAGGCTGTTCCAGGGGTCCGCGGTGGATCTTAGTCATAGACTGCATCTGGGGCTCCATTTGAAGAATGATTTGTAGTTTTACAGTTTCAATTCTGGAAGAGACAAACGCTTTGGATGCCCCTTCGTGGTCACCAAAATGTTACCGGGGGTCCTTGCTCACAGAGCTCCCAAGATGGTGGCCAGCCGCTTCTAAGATGATGGCGGGCCGCTTCCAGGATGGTGGCAAGCCTAGTGTTCTCTGACCTGGGGTTCTCAGCCTCACCGATTCCAAGGAATGGAATCTTGGGCCATGGGGTGAGTGTTACAGCTCTATTAGAAGCTGTGGGTCACGGAAGAGAACCGTGGAACCCAGTGACTGGTGTTCAACTTGATTAGGACGAACCCAGGCACTTAGCCATGCAGGAACAATGGCAAGCCTTTAGCACGATCGGGAGTGGCAATGGGAGTCTCACTGGATCAGGAGCACAGCAGACACCCTGCCAGATCCGGAGGGATGGGAGTCAGCAGCGGGATGGGAGTCAGCGGCGGGTCTGCGACAGCGGCAAACAGCAGTGGTAGAGGGCGAGCAAAAGCTCAGCTCCAGCCATAACAAACATAGACCAGAAGAGTGCAGTTGCAAGATTTAATAGAGTGAAATAGAGTGAAAACAGAGTTCCCATACAAAGGGAGGGGACCCAAAGGGGGTTGCCCGAGTTTTCCACTCTTGAAGCTGCCTATAAATGGTTGATCATTTTTTTTTTTTGCCCGGGAACTGTAGAGGTGATTGATACATTTGATTAGATCATCCTTCATCCAGTTCTTTAAAAATTTCTAAATTTTGGTGAAAATCTGAGGACAAATAAAATACTATTCCATAGCAAGAGTAGTTTGAATTTATTTTCTTTTCTTTTCTTTTTCTTTTCTTTCTTTCTTTCTTTTTTTTTTTTTTAACACAGGGCTCCTTCTGTTGCCCAGGCTGGAGTGCAGTGATACGATCACAGGTCCCTGCAGCCTCAACCTCCTGGGCTCAACTGGTCCTCCCTCCTCAGCCTCCTGAGTAGTTGGGACTACAGGCACGTGCCACTATGCCCAGCTAGTGTTTTTGTTGTTGTTGTTGTTTTGTTTTTTTGTAGAAACCGGGGTCTTGCCATGTTGCCCAGGGTGGTCTTGAGTTCCTGGCATAAGTGATCCTCCTGCCTTGGGCTCCCAAAGTGCTGGGATTATAGGTGTCAGCCACTGCGCCTGGCCTGAATTTCTTTATAGTATATTGCCAGTTGAATTTAAATTTTCAGTGAGAGTATTAGTTAATTACATGATCAGTAGGTATTCACATAATCGTACCTGAACCTGAAACCATTTCATCAATTCCATATTGTAAAAGAGAAGTGGGCCAGGTGCGATGGCTCACACCTGTAATCCTAGCACTTTGAGGCTGAGGCGGGTGCATCACCTGAGCTCAGGAGTTCCAGATCAGCCTGGGGAACACAGTGAAACCCCATCTCAATGAAAAATACACAAAATTAGCAGAGCGTGGTGGCGTGTGCCTGTAATCCCACCTACTTGGGAGGCTGAGACAGGAGAATCGCTTGAACCTAGGAGGTGGAGGTTGCAGTGAGCTGAGATAGCGCCATTGCCCTCCAGCCTGGGCGACAGAGCGAGACTACGTTTCGAAAAAAAAAAAAAAAAGCCGGGCACGGTGGCTCACGCCTGTGATCCCAGCACCTTGGGAGGCTGAGGCAGGTGGATCATGAGGTCAGGAGATCGAGACCATCCTGGCTAACACAGTGAAACCCTGTCTCTACTAAAAATACAAAAAAAAGTTAACCAGGCATGGTGGCATGCACCTGTAGTCCCAGCTACTCGGGAGGCTGAGGCAGGAGAATCGCTTGAATCCGGGAGGCAGAGGTTGCAGTGAGCTGAGATCACACCAGTGCACTCCAGCCTGGGCAACAGAGTGAGACTCCAGCTCAAAAAAAAAAAAAAAAAAAAAAAGGAGAGAAGTTTGGGGTTTCTGTAAGGCATTTTGAGGGCGGGATACACATATGTATTTATCACATATTCCCAGTGCTTTGTGTAGGTGGTCAATAATTAGTGAATAGTAGTCTGTCATTTCTAAGAGAAATATTTTCTCGTGGTGATAAATACTTTACAGATTCTTTCTTGCTCTTGCTCTGCAGGGATTAATCTTTTTTTTTTGTTGTTCTTTTTTTCTTTTTTTTTTTTAGATGGAGTCTTGCTCTGTCACCAGGCTGGAGTGTAGTGGCACGATCTCAGCTCACTGCAACCTCTGCCCCCCCGAGTTCAAGCGATTCTCCTGCCTTAGCCTCCCAAGTAGCTGGGACTACAGGCGTGTGCCAGCACGCTCAACTAATTTCTGTATTTTTAGTAGAGACGGGGTTTCACCATCTTGGCCAGGATGTTCTCCATCTCTTGACCTCATGATCCACCTGCCTCAGCCTCCCAAAGTGCTGGAATTACAGGTGTGAGCCACCACTCCCGGCTGCAGGGATTAATCTTTCTAACGTTCTGTTGATAGTGTGGCCTCTTGTATTCCATAAAGAAGAGGAAAAATGGTCTGATTTGCACAGATGAATACATATGTAAATATTGAATGCAGAATATGTGATCATTTAGAACTGCCCAGCTTTTTGTTTTTTCATCATTATTTTAACACTGCTCCTAATAATTACAAATGCTTTAACTTCTTTTAATAAAATATTTATTTATTTATTTATTTTTGAGACAGAGTTTCGCTCTTGTTGCCCCGGCTGGAATGCAATGGCACGATCTTGGCTCACCGCAACCTCCACCTCCTGGGTTCAAAAGATTCTCCTGCCTCAGCATCCCGAGTAGCTGGGATTACAGGCATGTGCCACCAAGCCCGGCTAATTTTGTATTTTTAGTAGAGACAGTGTTTCTCCGTGTTGGTCAGGCTGGTCTTGAACTCCCGACCTCAGGTGATCTGCCTGCCTTGGCCTCCCAAAGTGCTGGGATTACAGGCGTGAGCCACCGCACCCAGCCAAAATATTTATTTTAAAAAACTTATTATGATTTTTTTTGAGACAGGATCTCACTTTGTGGTCCAGGCTGGAGTGTAGTGGCATGATGATGGCTTACTATAGCCATGACCTTCTGGGCTCAAGCAATCCTTCCACCTTAGCCTCTCAAGTAGCTGGGACTACAGGCATGCGCCACCACACTCGGCTAATTTTTAAAATTTATTCTAGAGACTGAGTCTCCCTATATTGCCCAGGTGGGCCTCAAACTCCTGGGCTCAAGCATTCCTCTTGCCTTGGCCTCCCAAAGTGTTGGGAATATAGGTGTGAGCCACTGCACCTGGCCAAAGATTTAAACAAGGAAAAATTGCTCTGCCTATAAAGATTCCCATGTTATGTTTTTGACCTGTTGATGAGGAACACCCCCTCCCTTCCATTTCTGGTTTTTATTAAGTAGAATGGTCCTTTAAAATTTAACACATTTCATTTCTTATACCTTCAAGTTACTCTTAAGCAGACAATACTAAAGGGGAATCACAAATAGAAAATATCCACTGCCAGGCATGGTGGCTCACGCCTGTAATCCCAGTATTTTGGGAGGGGGAGGCAGAGACAGGAAGATCACCTGAGGCCAGGAGTTTGAGACTAGCCTGGGCAATATAGGGAGATCCTATAAAAAAAATAAAAACACATAGCCAGGTGTGGTGATGCACGCCTGTGGTCCCAGCTACTTGGGAGGCTAAGGTGGGAGGATCACTTGAGCTCGGGAGGTGGAGGCTGCAAACAGCCATCATCCTGCCATTGCACTCTAGCCTGGGTGATAGAGTGAGACCCTGTACAAACAACAACAACAACAAAAACAAAAAAAACTATCCACTTTATCAATAATAGTATAAACATAATACAGACCTTTAAGGGTCAAAGAGAAAAGGCGAAAGCAGGAAATGAAATAAAGCTACTTCTCCTCATAATTGGCAGTAGGGAAATACGCACAGCTTAGTATTTTTTAATTAAAAAGAGACTTAAAAAGAAAGTGCTAACTATTATTACATGAAGAGCCAGCTTAGGAACAGACAGTAGAATGCCTGGAAATGTTTCTGGAGGACAGGGGAGGTGTCTGAAGATGTGGAAAGGGTTCTATGTCTTGTTAATTTACATATACCTTAGGTATGGAATATTGGTTAGTAAACATGACTTCTGAGCCTTGGTTTTTTGACACGGAGTCTCGCTCTGTGGCACAGGCTGGAGTGCAGTGGCGCAATCGTGCCTCACTGCAACCTCCGCCTTCTGGGTTTAAACAATTCTCCTGCCTTAGCCTCCTCAGTAGCTGGGACTACAGCCATGTGCCACCACGTCCAGCTAATTTTTGTATTTTTAGTAGAGATGGGGTTTCATCATGTTGGCCAGGCTGGTCTTAAACCCCTGACCTCAGGTGATCCACCCACCTTGGCCTCCCAAAGTGTTGGGATTACAGGTGTGAGCCACCGTGCCTGGCCTGAGCCTTTTGGTTAAATTGCTTTTTCTGTAATAAGACAGTAATGTGTTCCTTCGAGAAAAATGGTTTAAAAGGTTTAAACCTTTATTGATCCCAGGAAGACTTGTCTGTTCTTACATGCACAGTTAAGTGAGAAAACCTGAATCTAGTTTTGTATTTGTGCTGTTAAATTCTATCTGAAGGGTAATGAGGAGTAGATTTCTTCAGGGGATTTTCTTGAATCTGGTTTTATTTTACATTTTATCAATGATCAGGTTTAGAGAGTTTGATCATATTTGTAAATAAGGCCTGTCTTGGAAGGAGGGGAAGGAAGAAAACAGAATTTTAAAATTAATCTGCATAAACTGGTAAGTGGCATGAAACCACAGCATAAAGCAAAGCAGATATTGTTGCACAAGTTTACTTTGGTCAGAACAATTGGGTCGGTAGTGTTATAAAGAGTGATATAGGAAATCTGTAAACTTTTTGCTGTAAACATTACATTTGGCTTAGGCCAAGCATGGTGGCTCACGCCTGTAATCGCAGCACTTTGGGAGGCCGAGGCGGGCAGATCACTTGAGGTCAGGAGTTCGAGACTAGCCTGGCCAACATGGTGAAACCCTGTCTCTACTAAAAATATAAAATTAGCTGGGTGTGTGGCGGTTGCCTATAATCCCAGCTACTAGGGAGGCTGAGGCAGGATAATTGCTTGAACCTGGGAGCTGGAGGTTGCAGTGAGCCGAGATTGTGCCACTATACTCCAGCCTGGGCAACAGAGGGAGAGACTCTGTCTCAAAAAAAAAAAAAAAAAAGCAAAAAAAAAAAGAGAAAATTATCTAGGTATGGTGGCACATACCCGCAGTCCCAGCTACTTGGGAGGCTGAAGCAGGAGGATCACTTGAGCTCAAGAGTTTGAGGCTGCAATAAGCTAGAATGCCGCCACTACACTCTGGCCTGGGTGACTGAGACCCTGTTGTTAAAAAAAATAAATAAAAATAAATTTGTTTTAAAAAATTGTATTAAAAAACATAACAGTTTATCATCTTACCTATTAAGTGTGTAGTTAATTAATGTTAACTACATTCGCATTGTTCTGTGTCCAGCCATTTTTTATATGGAACATCTACAACCTACAAATCCATTGAAGCTTTAAGAGTATATACTTTCGGCCTTGCACAGTGTCTCATGCCTGTAATCCCAGCACTTTGGGAGGCGGAGGCGGGCGGATCACCTGAGGTCAGGAGTTTAAGACCAGCCTGGCCAGCATGGTGAAACCCCGTCTCTACTAAAAATACAAAAAATTAGCTGGGTGCAGTGGCATGCACCTGTAATCGCAGCTACTTGGGAGGCTGAGGTAGGAGAATCGCTTGAACCTGGGAGGCGGAGGTTGTGGTGAGCTAAGATCACACCATTGCACTCCAGCCTGGGCGACACAGCGAGACTCAGTCTCACAGGAAAAAAAAAAAAAAAAAAAAAGTATATGCTTTTTTTTCTTTCTTTCTTTTTTGTTAAGAGTATATAGTTTGGCTAAAAGTGGTGGCTCTCATCTGTAATCCTACCACTTTGGGAGGCTGAGGTGGTAGGATCACTTGAGCCCAGGAGTTTGAGACCAGCCTGGGCAACCTAGCAAGACATTGTCTCTACTAAAAATAAAAATAGTTAGCCAGGCGTGGTGGCACATGCCTCTGGTCTCAGCTGCTAGGAAGGCCGAGGCAGGAGGATTGCTTGAGCCTGGGAGGTCAAGGATGCACTGAACCGTGAGTATGCCACCATTCTAGCATGGGCAATAGAACAAGACCTTGCCTCAAAAAACCCCCAGTATATACTTTTTTCCCCTCTTCCCCACTATGAAATAAACTTATATAATATTTACTACAGAAGGCTAGAAAAATATGTAGAAAAAAATGGGGGCTGGTCTGAGTGTCTCACGCCTATAATCCCAGCACTTTGGGAGGCCAAGGTGGGCAGAACACTTGAGGTCAGTAGTTCGAGACCAGCCTGGCCAACATGGTGAAACCCTGTCTCTACTAAAAAGACAAAAATTAGCTGGGCATGGTGTCGCACATCTGTAATCCCAGCTACTTAAGAGGCTGAGGCAAGAGAATCGCTTGAACCTGGGAGGCAGAAGTTGCAGTGAGCCAAGATTGCACCACTGTACTCCAGCTTGGGCAACAGAGTGAGACAATGTCTCAAAAACAAAAAGCAAAAAATACAAATAAAAATAAGAGAAAAAAGCTAGGTGTGGTGGTGTGCACCTGTAGTCCCAGCTACTGGGGAGGATGAGGTGGGAAGATTGCTTGAACCTAGGAGCTTAAGGCTGCAGTGAGCTATGATGACACCACTGTGCTCCAGCCTGGGTGCCAGAGTGAGACCCTGTCTCTAAAAAAAAGAAAAAAAAAGGAAAGAAAAATATGTAGAAAAATGGTAAACTAGCCACTCCAATTTACCAGATAGATACAACCATTATTAATATTGAGACAGTTTTTTTTTTTTTTTTTTTAATAGAGATGAAGTTTCACTATGTTGTCTAGGCGGTCTCAAACTCTTGGGCTCATGTACTCCTCCCACCTTGGCAACCCAAAGTGCTGGGATTACAGGTGTGAGCCACCATG
Source organism: Homo sapiens (assembly GCF_000001405.40). Taxonomy (NCBI): domain Eukaryota; kingdom Metazoa; phylum Chordata; class Mammalia; order Primates; family Hominidae; genus Homo; species Homo sapiens. The sequence continues at coordinate 97,283,719 of NC_000010.11, read as the reverse complement.
TCTGGTTCCTTCTGAGTCTTAAACTGTAATGCCTCTTATCTAAAATATGACCCATCCAAGATCTGATTTCTATCTTGGTTTCCCAGTTTCCTCCCAATAAGTGCATCATTTCTGGTTGGAAACAGTATAGCAAAAGAGTGATTGAAATACAATTTTTTTTTTTTTTGAGACAGAGTCTCACTCTGTTGCCCAGGCCGGAGTGCAGTGGCATGATCTCAGCTTGCTGCAGCCTCCGTCTCCTGGGTTCAAGCAGTTCTCCTGCCTCGGCCTCCCGAGTAGCTGGGACTACAGGCATGCGCCACCATGCTGGCTAATTTTTGTATTTTTAGTAGAGACGGGGTATCACCATGTTGGCCAGGTTGGTCTCGAACTCTTGACCTCATGATCCACCCACCTCAGCCTCCTGAAGATGCCCTCTGGTCACCTTCAGTGAACACTCTCACCTACACTTTTACTAACCATCTTTTAGGGTGGGTTGTTTCTACAGATGCTGGAGCCTATTTATTTTGTGCTGATGTTTTGCTACTGTTACCCGATATAAACTAAATTCAGCTAGGCCATAGAAACTACATAGTAACAGCCGGGCGGGTGGCTCACGCCTGTAATCCCAGCACTTTGGGAGGCTGAGGTGGGTGGATTGCCTGAGGTCAGGAGTTCAAGACCAGCCTGGCCAATATGGTGAAACCCCGTCTCTACTAAAAATACAAAAATTAGCCAGGCGTGGTGGCAGACGCCTGTAATCCCAGCTACTTGGGAGGCTGGGGCAGGAGAATCGCTTGAACCTGGGAGGTGGAGGTTGCAGTAAGCCGAGATCGCACCACTGCACTCCAGCCTGGGCGACCAGAGTGAGACTCTGTCTCAAAAAAAAAAAAAAAAAAAAGAAAAAAGAAACTACATAGTACTTTAAACAGAGAACATTTAATAGGTTATAAACTATAACTGGGGATTCGAGTAACAAGGAATTGGCTAGTAAGAAGTAAAGAGATCTCTAAGAAATATAGAAATAGATACAGGAATCAGCTGAGTTAGAATGTACAAGGAAGAGGGTCCCTAGGGCAGAGTTCCAGACCTTGCTGGAGATGGCATGGCCATGGCTGACTGATTGGCAGCCATTGCTCTGAAGGGGAAGATACAGAAGGGAGGGCTCAGATTCATACTGGGACAAACAGACTTACACATTCATATTTGTTAGGATTCTTCAGTTATATGTGATAGAAACTAAAACTAGCTTAAGCAAAAAGAGACTCTATTAATTGGCTCAAGAAACTGAAAAGTCCAGGGGATAAATCAAGTATGGTTTAATCTGTATGGAAAATCTCAAATCTCAGTGTTGTTAGATATCTACCTCTTTACTGTCTTAGATCTGGTTTCCTCTGTATTTGCTTCCTAAGAAGGCAGATTCTGTATAAAAAGTGGCAGTAATAGGCCACCAACGGTGTCAGTCTTACATCCCACCAGCTTAGCAATTTTAGGATTCACAAGAGTCTTGGAGTTGAGACTTTTTGTCCTGGTTTGACTTGTGGGCCTTTGCTTGGATTCATGAAGGGAATAGAATGTTTCAGTTGGTTAAGCTTGGATGACATGCTCACAGGCAGTGCCCACCAGGTCACATAGATTCGAAAGATGGGGAGAGGTTTATTGCTTAAAGGAAAATGGGGGTGCTGTTACCAGAGGAAGGGGAAAATACGTATTGGGAATTCAAAAGCAGCAGATGTCCACTGTGCTATCTCTGTAACTCCCCTGTGTACCTCTCTTTAAATTTATGTTTTGAAAAGGGCTGGCCACTAATGTGTGGCGAAAACATTTTATGTTTCTTAAAAAAACCCTGAGAAACCAAAAAGCACCTTAAGTATTAGCTCTTTTTTTCTCCCACTGTCTAACTCCTACACGTCTTTAAGATCTAGCTCAAATCTCTTGTATATGGGTAAAAGATTCTCTCCTGAATTCTTAGAGCCTTTATTGTCTGTATCATGCATTTGGCTATTAATGATCTTGTATCATCTTTTGCGTTGTGGTCTTTAGCTACTATTTGAAATCGCGTAGCACTTAGTGAATTTTCAGTTCCTGGAGGCCAGAGACTTACCTTAGTTTTTGTCCCCTATACCTTACAATACCGTAAAGTTACAAAGCAATTAGTAGATCATGATTGGATTGATTTTAAATGACACACAAGTGATCGATTTCTTGTTTGGGTACCATATGTCTCAGAAAAGCAATTCACCTTCTTATGTTGGTTGATGAAAAGATTTATAGTTAAATTTGTGAAATATTGAATATTTCTGGCTGACTACAAGTATAGAAACTCTTTTCTTTTTTGAAACAGGGTCTCACTCTGTTATGACTCAGGCTGGCGTGCAGGGGCAAGAACACACCTCACTGCAGCCTTGACCTCCTGGGCTTAGGTGATCCTCCTACCTCAGCCTCCTGAGTAGTTGGGACCGTAGACTCAAGCAACCATGCCTGGCTAATTTAAAAACAATTTTTTTTTTTTTTTTTTTTTGTAGTGACAGAGTCTTGTCAGGTTGCTTATACTGGTCTTGAACTCCTAGGCTCAAGTGATCCTGCCACCTTGTCCTCACAAGGTGTTGGAATTATAGACATGAGCCGCTGTGCCTGGCCAGAAACTCTTAAGAATTTTCAATTTGTGAACTTGTGTAGATATGAACAAGTCATGTGCCAGAACAAAAACCATTAGCTGTCTCTTGGATAGTATGTGTCACTCTGAACTTTGGAACAAATGAATATAGAAGTAGTCTTTTAGGACCTAATCAGATCATACGTAGAAGTACTTCTAGTTTTAATTGCCTGAGACTCATGGCACTTAAAAGTCTGTAGGAGGCTGGGTGCAGTGGCTCATGCCTAATGCCAGCACTTGGGGAGGCTGAGCTGGGAGGATCGCTTGAGGCCAGGAGTTTGAGACTAGTGTGGTCAACATAGTGAGACCCTGGGCTGTATTAAAAAATTAGCCAGGTGTGGTGGCACACACCTTTAGTCTTAGCACTTTGGGAGGTTGATGTGGGAGTATGGGAGGATCCCTTGAGCCCAGGTGTTGAAGGCTGAAGTGAACTATGATTGCACACTGCATTACAGCCTGGTCAACAGAGTGAGACCCTGTCTTAGGGGAAAAAAAAAAAATAGGAAAAGAGAGACTCATGAAGCATTGACTCTGATTTTTTGAGGAGCAAATATTTTTTAGATAAATGGTAAGAAAGAGACTGTATTATCAGTGAAGCATCCTATAGAACTTTTTCCAAGTTAATAGGGAATTTTGATGTTACCTTTTTTTTCTTTTAATTATTATTATTATTTTTGAGATGGAGTCTTGGTCTGTCACCTTGGCTGGAGTGCAGTGGTGTGATCTCGGCTCACTGCAACCTCTGCCTCCCGGGTTCAAGTGATTCTCCTTCCTCAGCCTCCCTTGTAGCTGGGATTACAGGTGTGCACCACCACACCCAGCTAATTCTTTTGTATTTTTAGTAGAGATGGGGTTTCACTATGTTGGCTAGGGTGGTCTTGAACTCCTGACCTCAAATGATCTGTCCACCTCGGCCTCCTAAAGTGCTGGGATTACAGATGTGAACCACTGCACCCAGCCTGATGTTACTTTCTTAATACAAATAACTTTCTTCCCATTGTACACTAGCATGAGGGAGAAAAATTAAGGAAGGTGTCAGCAGCATAATTAATGCTTATTCATATGACACCCAGAAAGATAAAAATTACCAAGCAAATAAATGAGTGAGTAAATTGGCATTATTTATACTCATCATTCTTGACTGAGAATATTACATTGTCATTCCATAGGGCAGAATCTTAGATTAGGATTCCAAAAATGTTTAGGTTAAGAAGGTAGGCAATCAAGAGTTTTTTCATCTCAGAATAGTTTGCCAGTTTAATTTTGGTTAAGTTGTATTATTAGTTTGAAATTTGGGCTGGGCGTGGTGGCTTATGCCTGTGATCCCAGCACTTTGGGAGGCCGAGGTGCGAGGATCACTTGGGCCCAGGAATTTGAGACCTGGGCAACGTAGAAAGACTTGTGTCTACAAATAATAAAAAAAAATTAGCCAGGTGTGGCTGTGCATGTCTATGGTCCCAGCTACTTGGGAGGACGAGGTGGGGGAATTGTTTGAGCTCAGGCAGTTGAGGCTACAGTGAGTCATGATTGCGCCATTGCACTCTAGCCTGGGCAACAAGGGAAGACCCAGCCTCAAACAAACAAACAAAACGCACACACACACACACAAAAGCAAGCAAGAAAGAAATTTGTTCAGGTTGAGATCAAATATAGGGGCTAAATATATTTGCAGACTTTTGGAGTCTAACTTAGAGATAATTTTGTAGTCCATACTATAAAACATTGCACAGCTACTCCTAAGGGCAGACCTTAGGGTATAAATATTTCAAAAATTTTATCTAAGAAATTGGATATCGTTCCCTGAATTGTGGTACGACTTATTAATGTTGAACTGTCTCTGGTATTAAAAAGCACCACCAGCTTGGACATGTAGGGCCTGTTTAGTTTTCTCTTCTCTTTTTATGTACAGCTTTCATGATACTGGCTTAAATTTGATACATAGAAAGAGGGAAGAATACAGTCTTTTCTTTGATAGTTGTATTTCTTATCTAACAGCTTTCCAACAAAGTGACACATTTAAAGCTGTGTTTCAGAGCCTTTTAGAGTTGAAAAAGCAGTAAGAGAGAGGGCATTCTTCTCTCAGGGTGGTAAATCAGATTTAGACAACTTTAAATATAGCTCATATTTTGATAAATCTTGCCAAGGTTGTGGTTCTTGGAAAACAAATCAAGTTAGGCAATTCACCAGGGAGGAAACATTTAGTTTTGTGGGTATGCAGTTTTGGTATAGTCAGCCAAAAGATACATCTGCAGGATGCAGTTTTTTTTTTTTTTAACTGCCTTGAATTTTGCAGATTCATGGCTTCAACATGCCTCAGAAGCACTTGCATTTCATTTTTCTGTAATTGATTTTTCAGCTGTGGATTGTTTCCAGTCCTTTCACTGAGCATATCACCTTACATGTAGGGTTCCATCTAGTGGTAAAAGTGGTAATTGTATACTGTGAGTAGGTTATACAAATTATTATTTTTTTAGTATTACTAGATTGATAAATTTATGCCACTTTGACATGATAGGCCACAATCCACCTGATTGATACTCATTTGGCACACTCTTCTCAATTCTGTTCACTGAGTTATATCTTGAGTTAGGATGAAAATAATGCAGCTTTCAGGCTTTAAAGTGACTAAATTTAAACTGCTAAGAGTCCTGACATTGTCTGCACAAGACAGCATTTTCTGTCACTTACAGAAAGTTACGTTTGGCATGTCAAGAAAAAAAGAAACATAATCCCAAAGCAGCAACCATTTAAAATAAGACTGCCACAAGGATTCGTGCAGAATATTTAAAATTTTCCTGTTGAACAAAATGATTTAACTGATTTTTCCTTCAGGGATGATGCTCTCAAATAGCTTATATGCATCTTTTGGAAATCGAAAGATCCTGGAATAGCGTCTTCCATGTGGGACATCTTGAAAGATAGTATTTTGGTTTCAGTGAGTTAGGTGAATGAATCTCCAGTCCTTATCAGTGTAATGGGTCTGCTTACAGAGTATAAGTTTGTTTCTTAGATGTGTAGAATTTATAAAGAAAGAAAATTATAGCCTGTACACCAAAGACAAGGACAGTGGTATTTATTGTACCTGATGTAGTAACTGTGGTGGAAGTTGTAGAAGAGAAAGGCAGACTTGTGGTTTTAACTCTGGAAAATGGGAATTATAATTTCCTTTAGGCTTCTCTGTTTCCCAAGATTTCCACAAAATCCATAAAAAGTCATTGTGAACTCAACATACAAAGCCTCAGCAAATCTGCTCAGATTCACTGAGTGTGAAACACTGGATCTATGTGTCACTGTGGAATTGATTGGCAACAGAGTGGCAGTTGGCACAGAACAGAAGTCTGTCCTGTTCACCACACGACAGTCTATAACTGTTGAATTATGTGAACAGTAGCTCTCATCTTCTTTACATTCTATGCAAAAGCAGCTATTATTAACAGTGCTTTATTTTATTTTTTTTATTTATTTATTTATTTTTTTTAATTTATTTTTTTATTGATAATTCTTGGGTGTTTCTCACAGAGGGGGATTTGGCAGGGTCATGGGACAATAGTGGAGGGAAGGTCAGCAGATAAACAAGTGAACAAAGGTCTCTGGTTTTCCTAGGCAGAGGACCCTGCGGCCTTCCGCAGTGTTTGTGTCCCTGATTACTTGAGATTAGGGATTGGTGATGACTCTTAACGAGCATGCTGCCTTCAAGCATCTGTTTAACAAAGCACATCTTGCACCGCCCTTAATCCATTTAACCCTGAGTGGACACAGCACATGTTTCAGAGAGCACAGGGTTGGGGGTAAGGTCACAGATCAACAGGATCCCAAGACAGAGGAATTTTTCTTAGTGCAGAACAAAATGAAAAGTCTCCCATGTCTACTTCTTTCTACACAGACACGGCAACCATCCGATTTCTCAATCTTTTCCCCGCCTTTCCCGCCTTTCTATTCCACAAGGCCGCCATTGTCATCCTGGCCCGTTCTCAATGAGCTGTTGGGCACACCTCCCAGACGGGGTGGTGGCTGGGCAGAGGCGCCCCTCACCTCCCGGACGGGGCGGCTGGCCGGGCGGGGGGGGCTGACCCCCCCCACCTCCCTCCTGGACGGGGCGGCTGGCCGGGCGGGGGGCTGACACCCCCACCTCCCTCCCGGACGGGGCGGCTGGCCGGGCAGAGGGGCTCCTCACTTCCCAGTAGGGGCGGCCGGGCAGAGGCGCCCCTCACCTCCCGGACGGGGCGGCTGGCCGGGCAGGGGGGCTGACCCCCCCCCACCTCCCTCCCGGACGGGGCGGCTGGCCGGGCAGAGGGGCTCCTCTCTTCCCAGTAGGGGCGGCCGGGCAGAGGCGCCCCTCACCTCCCGGACGGGGCCACTGGCCGGGCAGGGGGGCTGACCCCCCCCACCTCCCTCCCGGACGGGGTGGCTGGCCGGGCGGGGGGCTGACGCCCCCACCTCCCTCCCGGACGAGGCGGCTGGCCGGTCGTGGGGCTGACACCCCCACCTCCCTCCCGGACAGGGCGGCTGGCCGGGCGGGGGGCTGACCCCCCCACCTCCCTCCCGGATGGGGCGGCTGGTCGGGCGGGGGGCCGACCCCCCCACCTCCCTCCCGGACGGGGCGGCTGGCCGGGCAGAGGGGCTCCTCACTTCCCAGTAGGGGCGGCCGGGCAGAGGCGCCCCTCACCTCCCAGACGGGGCGGCTGGCCGGGCGGAGGGCTGACCCCCCCACCTCCCGGACAGGGCGGCTGGCCGGGCGGGGGGCTGACCCCCCCACCTCCCTCCCGGACGGGGCGGCTGGCCGGGCAGAGGGGCTCCTCACTTCCCAGTAGGGGCGGCCGGGCAGAGGCGCCCCTCACCTCCCGGACGGGGCGGCTGGCCGGGCGGGGGGCTGACCCCCCCACCTCCCTCCCGGACGGGGCGGCTGGCCAGGCGGGGGGCTGACCCCCCCACCTCCCTCCCGGACGGGGCGGCTGGCCGGGTGGGGGGGCTGACCCCCCCATCTCCCTCCCGGACGGGGTGGCTGGCCGGGCTGAGGGGCTCCTCACTTCCCAGTAGGGGCGGCCGGGCAGAGGCGCCCCTCACCTCCCGGACGGGGCGGCTGGCCGGGCGGGGGGCTGACCCCCCCACCTCCCTCCCGGACGGGGCGGCTGGCCAGGCGGGGGGCTGACCCCCCCACCTCCCTCCCGGACGGGGCGGCTGGCCGGGTGGGGGGGCTGACCCCCCCATCTCCCTCCCGGACGGGGTGGCTGGCCGGGCTGAGGGGCTCCTCACTTCCCAGTAGGGGCGGCCGGGCAGAGGCGCCCCTCACCTCCCGGACGGGGCGGCTGGCCGGGCGGGGGGCTGACCCCCCCACCTCCCTCCCGGATGGCACAGCTGGCCGGGCGGGGGGGCTGACCCCCCACCTCCCTCCCGGATGGGGCGGCTGGCCGGGTGGGGGGCTGACCCCCCCCCACCTCCCTCCCGGACGGGGTGGCTGCTGGGCGGAGATGCTCCTCACTTCCCAGATGGGGTGGCTGCCGGGCGGAGAGGCTCCTCACTTCTCAGACGGGGCAGCTGCCGGGCGGAGGGGCTCCTCACTTCTCAGACGGGGTGGTTGCCAGGCAGAGGGTCTCCTCACTTCTCAGACGGGGCGGCCGGGCAGAGACGCTCCTCACCTCCCAGACGGGGTCTCGGCCGGGCAGAGGCGCTCCTCACATCCCAGATGGGGCGGCGGGGCAGAGGCGCTCCCCACATCTCAGACGATGGGCGGCCGGGCAGAGACGCTCCTCACTTCCTAGATGTGATGGCGGCTGGGAAGAGGTGCTCCTCACTTCCTAGATGGGATGGCGGCCGGGCGGAGACGCTCCTCACTTTCCAGACTGGGCAGCCAGGCAGAGGGGCTCCTCACATCCCAGACGATGGGCGGCCAGGCAGAGACACTCCTCACTTCCCAGACGGGGTGGCGGCCGGGCAGAGGCTGCAATCTCGGCACTTTGGGAGGCCAAGGCAGTGCTTTAAAACAGGAAACACAGCTGTTGCAGCCTTCATAGGTTTCTGGTGCTGGAGTGGTGACTGATGGGAAGGATGTCACTGGCATTGGGGTTATCTTGGAGGTGGCGACCCACAGCAGTGGGCAGGAGAGCCCCGATGTGGTGTCCTCAGCATTGGTATCCAGAGGAAAGCTGCTACACACAACATCCTGTCAATCCCTCTGTCTCCTGCAGGCCACCTCCCCGAAATTGTTCTTTTTTGAGGGGTCTTGCCTCTATCATTCTTTGGGATAGTTGCCCAGAGCCCTTGTTATTTCTGTATGCCTACATATCTAGCTACTAATTTTCCTGGTTCTGGCCATCTATGTAAAAACTTTTATGATGAGGAAATTAGTCTTTAGTATATACTTTGATTTTCTATAATATTTATATCAAATTGAAGTGAGATTTAAGCCAAAACTACTTGGTTTCTTTAAAAAAAATTTGTCATGAAACGTCAATTATACATACAAGTTTATAAAATAATATAATCAGTATTCTTCCCATTACCCAGCTTTAGCAAATCTTAACATTTTGCCATATTTGCTTCAAATGCTCCCCTTTTCGCATAGCTCAGTGATTTATCCACAAGAACAGTATTAGCACTTCAGGAACTCTTTTTTTTTTTTTAAGATGGAGTCTTGCTCTGTTGCCCAGGCTAGAGTACAGTGGCGCAATCTCAGCTCACTGCAACCTTCACCTCCCGGGTTCAAGCAGTTCTTCTGCCTCAGCCTCCCACGTAGCTGGGATTACAGGTGCCCGCCACCATGCCCTGCTAATTTTTGTATTTTTTAGTAGAGACGGGGTTTCACCATGTTGGCCATGCTGGTCTCGAACTCCTGACCTTGTGATCCACCCACTTTGGCCTCCCAAAGTGCTGGGATTATAGGCATGAGCCACCGCGCCCGGCCTCAGGAACTCTTTCATACCTTCATGCCTCTTAATCACTGTCCACAAAAGGTAACCATTATCCTGAATATTATGGTAAATACATTTCTGCTTCTCTTTACAGTTTACCATTTAAGCAAGTATCTCTAAATACTAGTTTCGTTTATTTTTAAAATTTGATATAAATGTCATCATATAGTATGTAGTTGTCTGTGTGTGTGTGTGTTTGTGTGTGTGTGTGTGTATGTGTGGCTTCTTTTGCTTTTCATTTGTGAGATTTAGCTGTGATTGTACATATAGCTAGAGTCTGTCCATTTTCATTACTGTGTAATATTCCATTACAAATAAAGCCATTAAATTAAAATTCTGCTGGACATTTTGCTTTTTCAGTTTTGGCTGTTTAGAAAATAATGTTGTGGGTCGGGTGTGGTGGCTCATGCCTGTAATCCCAGCACTTTGAGAGGCCAAGGTGGGTGGATTGCTTGAGCCCAGGAGTTCGAGACCAACCTGCTCAACATGGTGAAACCCTGTCTCTACTAAAAATACAAAAATTAGCTGGGCACAATGGCACTCACCTGTAATCCCAACTACTCAGGAGTCTGAGGCATGAGAATCGCTTGAACCAAGGAGGCAGAAGTTACAGTGAGCCAGGATAGTGCCACTGTACTCCAGCCTGGGCGACAGAGAGAGTCTCTGTCTCAAAAAAAAAAAAAAAAAAAAAAGAGAGCAGAAATTAATGAAATAGGCTGGGCGTGGTGGCTCATGCCTATAATTCCAGCATTTTGGGAGGCTGAGGTGGGTGGATCACCTGAGGTCAGGAGTTCGAGACCAGCCTGGCTAACATGATGAAACCCTGCCTTTACTAAAAATACAAAAATTAGCTGGGTGTGGTGGTGTGTGCCTGTAATTCCAGCTACTGGGGAGGCTGAGGCACGAGAATTGCTTGAATCTGGGAGGTGGAGGTTGCAGTGAGCCAAGACTGTGCCATTGCACTCCGGCCTGGAAAACAGAGCAAGACTTCATCTCAAAGAGAAAAAAAAAGAAACTAATGAAATAAACAACAAACAGGCTGGGCGCTGTGGCTCACGCCTGTAATCCCAGCACTTTGGGAGGCCGAGGCGGGCGGATCACAAGGTCAGGAGATCGAGACCATCCTGGCTAACACGGTGAAACCCCGTCTCCACTAAAAATACAAAAAATTAGCCAGGCGTGGTGGCGGGCACCTGTAGTCCCAGCTACTCGGGAGGCTGAGGCAGGAGAATGGCGTGAACCCAGGAGGCAGAGCTTGCAGTCAGCCGAGATCGTCCCACTGCACTCCAGCCTGGGCGACAGAGCGAGACTCCATCTCAAAAAAAAAAAAAAAACAACAAACATAATCAATAGAGAGGTTCAACAAAGCTAGAAGTTGGAACCTTGACAAAGCTAATTACATTGAAAAAAAATTACCAATATCAGGAACAAAGAGGAGGACATTACTATGGAACGTAGAGACATTAAAAAAGATAAGAGGATATTATATACAAATTTATACCAATAAAGTTTGAAGGTTTATGTGAAATAGACAAATTCCTTGAAATCTACAACTTAACAAAATTAACACAAGAAGTAAAGGAAAATGTGAGTAGTCCCATAACACAAAATAAGTGGAATGTGTAATGAAAAACTTTTTCACAAAGAAAATTCTAGGTTCAGATGGCTTCATCTGCCAATTCTGTCACATATTTACAGAAGAAATAACACTAATCTCACATAAATTTTTTCAGAAAATAGAAAAATAAGACATATTGGCCACGCGTGGTGGCTCATGCTTGTGGGATACCAAGGCGGGCAGATTGCCTGAGCTCAGGAGTTCGAGACCAGCCTGGGCAACACGATGAAATCCCATCTCTACTAAAATACAAAAAAATTAGATGGGTGGGGTGGCGTGTGCCTAGTCCCAGCTACTCAGGAGGCTGAGGCAGGAGAATTGCTTGAACCTGGGAGGTGGAAGTTGCAGTTAGCTGAGATCGTGCCACTGCACTCCAGTTCGGGTGACAGAGTGAGACTCTGTCTGAAAAAAAAAAAAAAAAAAAAAAGACATATTTCCCACCTAAGTGTATAAGGCTAGAACAACCTTGATATAAAACCTAATGAAGACATTACAAGGAAAATTTAAGACCAATCTCACTTATGAATGAATGGGAAATCTAGACTATTAGCAAACCAAATTCAGCAACATGTAAAAATGATAATACATCATAACAAAGTTGAGTTATTTGAGAAATGCAAGGTTGGTTTAACAATAGAAAATCTGTATTATTTACCATAAAGGAGAAAAATTATATGATCATCAATAGAGGCACAAAAAATTTTTGATAAGTATTTGATAAAATTAAACACCAATACACAATTTTAAATAAGTAAATATATAAATAAATATATATATCTCCTCTGGAAGGCAGAGGCTGCAGTGAGCCAAGATTGTGCCACTACACTGCAGCCTGGGTGACAAGAGTGAGACTCTGTCTAAAATAAATAAATAAATAACATAGCAAACTGAGAATAAAAATATACCACCTGAATTTGATTTTGCTAAGTGATGAGTAGGGAAAGATACTATTTTTAAATTTGCTTTATTCTGATAACTTGTAAAGTTGAGATTCTTTTTATGTTTATTAGTCATTAGGTCCCCTCCTCTGCGTTACTGATCATGTCATTTGACTAATTTTCTATTGAGTCAAGTGTCTTTTCCTTATTAATTTTTTGGCTTACTGGTAAATTCTGAATACTGATCCTTGGTTATATGCATAGCAAACATGTTTTTTTCAGTCTGTGGCTTGTCTTGTATTTTATTATTACTTTTAAAGTTTTAGATTTATTTATCTATTTATTTATTTATTTATTATGAATGGATAGTACGTTCAAATGAATATAAAATCCAGAAAATACAAAAGAGCATACAGTGAAAACTTTCTCTCCCACTCTTCTTCCCCTTTTATCCATTTCTCTTTAGAGGCATTGTGACTTCATTTTTAAGACATTTAGTATGTAATGTCATTTGTTATACAGAAAAATTTAATGTAGTTAAATTTATGATTCTTTGGAGATTGTGCTTTTTATGTCTTGTTTAAGAAACTCTTTCTCTGTTGCATTAATTTATTCTATATTGTTTTTTAATGTTTTTAAATTTGGCTTTTCATATTTAGATCTTTACTTTGTTTGGAATTTATTTTTTGTCTGTGATGTGAGGTAGGGATCACCCCTCCCCCATATTGTAAAACTACCTGTTATATGCTTTTACATTTGTAACTGTTTCATCTAGCATAGCTTAAGTGGTGATGGGAGTCTGCTTTTGAGCTTCATCTATGCATTGGCAAATACAGTTAATTAACTGGTCTAGTTTTTTATCTCTATTTTCCTTCTTGCAGATGAGTGCTCAGAGTCCTAAGTACTGCCTTTCAGGCCCCATAATGTGCCCTTGTATCCTCTAACATGTCTGGAATTTGCGTAGGCTGTGCTGGGGCAGGGAAAGGAGAGTTTCTTTGTCACAACAAACAAGGGGAAAGCTTTCTTCCTGTCTCTTCGATTTACCAATGCCTCATCAGAAACTTTCAGCACTTATGTAAGAAATGTATTTATTTTCTTGAACTTTAGTATATTTCGTTTGTTTTACAATATTGTAGAGTAGAAAGTTGTTTTTGCTTAAATATAGTAGTTTTTTCTTTAGTCCTATACATTTCTTAAGTTCTTAAATATGTTTCTTGATATTTTTAGCTTTATATTGTGGTGTTGTGTATTCTTTGGAAAGGGATTAGTGGGCTTTGTGATATGGGAATAACTTTAAGAAAAATAACCCGCTGTAACTCTTTTCCATCTTTCATCTTCCATTTGATTTCTCTTTTAACTATTTCCATCTCTTAGATATTGTTTTACCAGGTGGTCCACACAGAAAAAGTGAGAAAAGAAAAGTAGGGGAAAAGAAAAGAACTAGCTTAAGGAAATTAAAGTGTGACATAACAAGAAAGAATGAACATGGGAAGAAAGGGGAGAAAAAACAGAGGGGAAAAGAAACTGAGATTGTTTACATGTTACTTATGTGTTAGGAGATCCAAGGTATCTTTTTTTTTCTTGTATTCCTTATAAGTAGTAGGAGCAGTCTTGAACCTGTTTATTCTTCTACCTGTTTGTGCTGTTTAGGAGGGAGTAGTTTTGGGGATGATGTCCAAGTAGGAAGGATTCTATTGAAAAACGATACATGTTGCTTCTAGTTTCTTTCTCACTTATGTACAGTATTTGATCCAGTTTAGTGCTGGAAGGGTCAACTGTGTTGAAAGTGTTAGAATCCTGAGTTTTGCTCTGGATATTAATAAAAGTGTAAGTTTTAGGTATGTATGTGTTTCTGTTTCAGGAATATAATGGTTCCTATTAATACACATTTTTATGTTAATGCTAATTTGATCTGAATCAGTTATTGAGAATTAAAAGGGATGTGAATTCCAGAAAATGATTAGTTTAGACTCAATAAATTATAAGACTCTTTTTGGTGCTACGCATTTTATGATTTTTCTGGCCCTCCTGATAGGGTAGTAATTTCTCATTGGCAGTGATTATAAACAATAGTCTTATATTGACCCGTGCTTCTTGACTGAAATAAGCTGATGTTAAAAAAAGAGGCTCTTGTCAATGATTTAAGATGAAGTTGCTTCTAATTCTAATTGGCTTTTATTTATCATCATTGGCATTTGAACAGGAAAAATAACCTAGCGTGTAAAAAGGTTGAAGAGAGAAGCATTTTAAATTCTAGTTTTTTTAGTTACTTTTTGGCTTGAGGACATACATTCCTAGTTTTTAATTTTTATGGTATTTCTGATAATACATTGTCATTTCAGAGAAAAGAAGGAATCTCCTAGCCACCAGCTGAAGATGTGGGCTATTGATTAAATCATGTAATAAGTTTTCAAGGAAATAGAGACGAATTTTGAAGTTTACCCATGCCTTGTTTTCACTATACTGTTATTAACAATTATCCATGTAGTATTGACAATGTCCTTTGTAGATTAGTTATATTTAATATTTAGAAGTGCCATCATTTTTCCTGGAACAGGGCTTTGGTACCTAGGGTATAATGGACCACTTTTAAGTTGTGATTGCTTTTACTGTGGGTATGTTTGTATGAGTCAGGTGAATTTCAATTCTGCCCGACTGAGATATGATAACTTGTCCTTTCTAGCTTATGTGTTATGACCATTTGTTGGTTATATAATAGATGACTGCTTATGTAATAAAGATTAGAACAAGCCATTAGAATTTATTGTTAATGGATACAAACTATGTGTCTGCTCTAAGAGTTTCAATTATACAGTTCTTAAATATAACAACATATTAGAAGTAAAAAGGGGTTGATATGGTTTGGCTATGTCCCCACACAAATCTCGTCTTGAATTCTAGCTCCCATAATCCCCACGGTTGTGGGAGGAGCCCAGTGGGAGGTAATTGAATCATGGGGGCAGGTTTTTCCTGTGCTGTTCTCTTGACAGTGAATAAGTCTCACAAGAGCTGATGTTTTTATAAAGGGCAGTTCCCCTACACACGCTCTCTTGCCTGCTGCCACGTAAGACATACCTTTGTTCCCCCTTCGCCTTCCAGCATGATTGTGAGGCCTCCCTAGCCATGTGGAACTGTGAGTCCATTAAACCTCTCTTTCCTTTGTAAATTACCGAGTCTCTGGTATGTCTTTATTAACAGCGTGAGAACAGACTAATACAGTAAATTGGTACCAGTAGAGTTGGGTACTACTGTAAGGATACCTGAAAATGTGGAAGCGACTTTTGAACTGAGTAACAGGCAGAGGTTGGAACAGTTTAGAGGACTCAGAAGACAGGGAAACGTGGGAAAGTTTGGAACTTCCTAGAGACTTGTTGAATAGCTTTGACCAAAATGCTGATAGTGATATGGACAGTGAAGTCCAGACTGAGGTGGTCTCAGATGGAGATGAGGAACTTGTTGGGAACTTATATAAAGGTCACCCTTGCTATGCAAAGAGACTGGTGGCATTTTGCCCCTGCCCTAGAGATCTGTGGAACTTTGAACTTGAGAGAGATGATTTAGGTGGAAGAAATTTCTAAGTGGCAAAGTGTTCAAGAGGAAGCAGAGCATAAAAGTTTGAAAAATTTGCAGCCTGACAATGCAGTAGAAAAGAAAGACTCATTTTCTGCAGAGAAATTCAAGCTGACAGCAGAAATTTGCGTAGATAAGGAGGAGCCAAATGCTAATTTCCAAGACAATGGGGAAAATGTCTCCAGGACATGCCAGAGACCTTTGTAGCAGCACCTCCCATCACAGGCCTGGAGGCGTACAAGGAAAAATGATGTTGTGGGCTGGGCCCAGGGCCTTGCTGCTTTGCACAGTCCCTTGCTGCTTTGCGCAGTCCCTGGACTTGGTGCCCTGGGTCCCAGCTATGGCTAAAAGGGGACAGTGTATAGCTCAGGCCATTGCTTCACAGGGTGCAAGCCCCATGCCTTGGCAGCTTACATGTGGTTTTGGGCCTGCGGGTGCACAGAAGTCAAGAATTGAGGTTTGGGAACCTCAGCCTAGATTTCAGA
This sequence comes from Homo sapiens, assembly GCF_000001405.40. NCBI lineage: Eukaryota > Metazoa > Chordata > Mammalia > Primates > Hominidae > Homo > Homo sapiens. Next base: position 97,267,625 of record NC_000010.11, on the reverse strand, counting down.
GGATGTATGGAAATGCCTCAAGGCAGAGGTGTGCTGCAGGGTTGGAGCTCTCATGGAGAACCTCTGCTAGGGCAGTTCAGAAGAAGGGAAATGTGGGATGGGAGCCCCCATACAGAGTCCCCATTGGGGCACTGCCTAGTGGAATTGTGAGAAGAGGGCCACCATCTTCCAGATCCCAGAACTGTAGATCCACTGACAGCTTGCACTGCAGTGGAAAAGCTGCAAACACTCAATGCCAGCCTGTGAAAGCAACCAGGAATGGGGATGTACCCAGCAAAGCCACAGGGACAGAGCTGCCCAAGACCATGAGAACCCACCTCTTGCATCATCGTGACCTGGATGTGAGACGTGGAGTCAAAGGAGATTATTTCAGAGCTGTAAGATTTAATTACTGCCTTGTTGGATTTCAGACTTGCATGGGGTCTGTAGCCCTTTGTTTTGGCCAATTTCTCCCATTTGGAATGGGTGTATTTACCCAATGCCTGTACCCACATTGTACCTAGGAAGTAACTAACTTGCTTTTGATTTTGCAGGCTTATAGGCAGAAGGGACTTGCCTTGTCCCTGATGAGACTTTGGACTGTGGACTTTTGAGTTAATGCTGAAATAAGTTAAGACTTTGGGGGACTGTTGGGGAGGCATAATTGGTTTTGAAATGTGAGGACATGAGATTTGGGAGGGGCCGGGGCAGAATGATATGGTTTGGCTGTGTCCCCACCCAAATCTCATTTTGAATTGTAGCTCCCATAATCCCCACATGTCATGAGAGGAACTCGGTGGAAGGTAATTGAATCATGAGGTGGTTTTTTTCCCTGCGTGAATAAGTCTCATGAGATCTGATGGTTTTATAAAGGGCAGTTACCCTTCACACACTCTCTTGCCTGCTGCCATGTAAGATGTGCCTTTGTTCCTCTTTCGCCTTCTGCCATGATTGTGAGGCCTCCCCAGTCATGTGGAACTGTGAGTCCATTAAAGCTCTTTTTCTTTATAAATTACCCAGTCTTGGGTATTTCTTCACAGCAGTATGAAAATGGACTAATACAGGGGTATAGTAGGCATTGGGAAACAAAGAACAGGGAAGAAAATATTTCTGAGATTCAAAGGAGCTTTGCCAGGAGTATAGCCCAATGTAATGTAAGAGTGGAGAACCAGCTAAGATCAGGAGCCCTAGAGAGAAGAACCTGTCTGAGCAGAGGTTGGACTTAGATGATGACGAATGGGTCAGAGGCATCCAGAATTGAAGGATTTTAAAGTAAAACCTATTTGTGGACATGGGAAAAGCTGAATTAATTACTGTTTTATGTACCTGTAAATGCCTTCCCTTCTGTGAGGCTTTGTGGTTATAAGGAACAGTGTTCAAGGGCATCTGGCTCAGTTAAAGGAAGCTGACTATAAGGAAACCTCTGCCTTTGCGTGGAGTCAGGACCAAATAACCCAATGAGTAGTGCATAAGAAACATACAAAAATGATGTCCCGAAAGATTTTCTTCTGTGTTTTTCAGTGATGCCATCTGCAGTTTTGTGATCTGCAATGATTCTTCCCTTCGAGGTCAGCCCATTATCTTTAATCCTGACTTTTTTGTGGAGAAACTCCGACATGAGAAACCTGAGATTTTCACTGAGTTGGTGGTCAGCAATATCACAAGGCTCATCGATTTACCTGGAACTGAGTTGGCTCAGCTGATGGGGGAAGTGGACCTTAAGTTGCCTGGCGGGGCTGGCCCAGCATCAGGATTCTTCCGGTCTCTCATGTCTCTCAAGCGAAAGGGTAGGAGATGTGTTTGTGAAGGGTGGGCAGGCCTCAGCTGCTCCCTGGGCTTCTCTCTCAACATCTACACATTCACCGAAGAGTTGCTATTAACTTAAAGCATTTTTTGGCCATTTTTTCAGTTTTTATAAGTAGTAACACCTTAAGTAATAGTAATACAAATTATAAAAACTGTCTAGATAAATAAATAATTAAACTAAAGCAAATATTTTCAGTCCCTGAGAGAAGACATGATTAACTTAGGTAGTCATCGGGGCATCTTGATTTTCATGCCCTATTAATATGTGAAAATAATATTTAAAAACCAAAGTTACATAGCTAGAGACTATAGAACAGAATGCTTGAATTTTCTTTTTTTGAAGGGATGGGGTCCCACTTTGTTGCCGATGCTGGAGTGTGGTGGTGTCATCATAGCTCACTGCAGCCTTGAATTCCTGGGCTCAAACTCTCCTTCTGTTTCAGCCTCCCACTAGCTGGGACTACAGGTGCATGACACCATGCCTGACTGTTCTCTATTTTTTGTAGAGATGGGGTCTCACTATGTTGCCCAGGCTGGTCTCAAACTCCTGGCCTCAAGCAGTCCTCCCACCTCAGCCTCCCAAAGCGCTGGGATTACAGGTGTGAGCCACCATGCCTGGCCTTCTGTTTGTTTGTTAAATTAAATACTAACACGCTAGATATCTCCTTACTTACTAGATATATGCTTCTTACTTGAATAAGAAGATGGTCTTTCCCTTCAGGGAACCTACAGTCTAATATTGAACTTAGAGAGAGCTGATTGAGAGTTGTCCTGCTCGCGTTTTCTGGTGCACTTCCAGTTCTAAGGTTTTTGTTTACTGACCATGTGAAAATGCTTGCTGAATTGTAAAATAGGATGCTTGAGTGGTTTTAGGTATGATGATTTTGTACTATTTGTGTGAAATATAGCCCTGTCATATCATATGGTTTTTCAGAAAAAGGAGTGATATTTGGGTCCCCACTGACGGAGGAAGGCATTGCCCAGATATACCAACTGATTGAGTATCTACACAAAAGTAAGACTACTTGAAATTTTATCATTCTTTGTTTAATGAAGAATTCTGTTTTCTGTTGAGAGCTAACTGCCTTGAGTTAGTAGGTGCCAATTAACCATCAACAAAGGAACTAACCAGTGTTAATTTTGGGTGGCATGTTTTTAAATATATTTCCTTTTAAACTTCATCTCATATATTCATTTGTTTTATACTCTCAAAGTGTATATAAATTAGACCGTGTCTATGAAGTCACATTTACCTCTTGCCTCAGAGAGACACTTCTGGAAAAATACATTGTCCCTAAAGAATTGTTGCATTTATTTAAGAGAGCATGGTACCTTTTTTCTCCAGAATTCTATGATTAAAACACACTCTTTACTTTTTTTTTTTTTTTGAGACAAGGTCTCGTTCTCTCACCCAGGCTGGGGTGCAGTGGTGTGATCTTGGCTCACTGCAGCCTTGACCTCCCGGGCTCAGGTGATTCTCCCACCTTGGCCTCCCTAGTAACTGGGATCACAAGCTTGCACCACCACACCCGG